>NC_000022.11:17597422-17918275 GCF_000001405.40 Homo sapiens
TGTCATTTCCTCACAGTCATAAAAATACCACTCATACTTGCAATTCTATCTCTAAGGAACCTAACTACCAGGCATACACAATTCTTGTTTTGATAACTATTACTTAGAAGAAGGGAGTATCTACCTCAGCATCCAATACAGAGATCTGGTCCTAGCTTTCATTCTGGGGGCCACCTCCCCGCAGAAGGAAAGCAGTGACCATAAACCAGACTTTTTTTTTTCTGAGATGCAGTCTTGCTCTGTCGCCATACTGGAGTCCAGTGAGTGGCGTGTTCTTGGCTCGCTACAACCTCCACCTCCTGGATTCAAGCAATTCTCCTGCCTCAGCCTCCTGGGTAGCTGGGACTACAGGCGTGCGCCACCACGCTCAGCTAATTTTTGTATTTTTAGTAGAGACAGGACTGGACTATGAGCAGAGGGTGGACTGGTATGATAGGGAGTCTAGCTCCCTAGGCCATGTTGGTAAGGATGGTCTCGATCTCTTGACCTTGTGATCCACCTGCCTCAGCCTCCCAAAGTGTTGGGATTACAGGCGTGAGCCACCGCACCTGGCCAAACTAGACTTTTAGAGTATATTTAGCCAGCCAACAAGGGAGAGCAAGAGAGCACTGCGAGAACAACAGGAACGGCTGCAAGTAGAATACACCACAGCTCTAGCCTTGTGTCTAAGAGTGCGTTTAAATGGTGAAAATACCATTTAAAAAAGGCCTGGTATAAAGGCCACTCTCCCAGGGAGAGAAGGTAGCTGTTAGCAGCAGGAATACTCCTTACATGTCTTCAGGCAGGTAGGACTCCTGGTCAATTTGGACATCAACATCGTTTTTGGTGGCAATTTTGTACATAGGAATTGCCTTCTGCACTGCAGCCTGGAAGTATAGAACACAATGAGAGGTGTCACTAGGAACTATGAAGCAAGTATCCAAAAACTCAACAGACTATACAAGCAAGGATACCTCCATTTATCCCAGGTAAAAGAACAGAGGCACCGCTGGTGGGAATGTAAAACGGCACGGCCACTGAGGAGAAATGACAGTCTGCACACAGGAGGGAAGAGATGCGAATGGTTTCTGTCAAGATTTAACAGGGCTTGGCAGGTGATTAAACACACCAGAGGCAGTTATTACATTTGAAACATGGATCAGCAGGAGGAAGATACATTATTCCCCCAGCTGAGAGTGTTAGAAGCTGGGGGTAGGTAAGGAGAGAAGGGAGGGAAGAGAAGTTTGGCTGCTGGCATGAGCTTCAACTGGCAGTTGCAGATGAGGGGGAGACAGCAGGCACCAGAAACAGCAGTGCCATGCCATACCCATAAGGATGGTTCTTATCAAAGTAACAGTATAATAGGTCCTCAAAAAATGAAGTACACAATTACCACATGATCCAGCAATTCTACTTCTGGGTATACAGACAAACGGATAGAAAGCAGGACAGATATCCGTATACCCATGTTTGCAGCAGCATTATTCACAACAGCCAAAAGGTGGGAGTAACCCAAGTGTCCAGTGACAGATGAACGGATAAACACAACGTGGGGCATCCATACCGTGGAATATTATTCAGCCTTACAAAGGAAGGCCATTCTGACCCACCCTACAGGGACCTTGAAGGCATTATGCTAAGTGAAATGAAACAGTCACAAAAAGACAAATACTGAATGTTTCCACTTATATGAGGTGAATGGGGGAGAAGAGAAGAGAAGAGAAATAATGGAGAGTTAGTGTTTAATGAGCACAAAGTTTCAGTACGGGAAAATGGAAAAGTTCTGAAGATGGATGGTGGTGATGGCTGCACAATATTGTAAATGTACTTAATGGCACAATGTATGGTTAAAATGGTATGTGTATTTTACCACCATTAAAAAAAAAAAAGAAAGGCAGGGCACGGTGGCTCGCACCTGTAATCCCAACACTTTGGGAGGCTGAGACAGGCAGGTCACAAGGTCAGGAGTTTGAGACCAGCCTGGCCAACACGGTGAAACCCTGTCTCTACTAAAGATACAAAAAATTAGCCAGGCATGGTGGTGCATGCCTGTAATCCCAGCTACTTGGGAGGCTGAGGCAGGAGAATTGCTTGAACCCGGGGGGGCAGAGGTTGCAGTGAGCCGAGATCGCACCATTGCACTCCAGCCTGGGAAATGAGAGCGAAACTCCATCTCAAAAAAAAAAAAAAAAAGGAAACTAGATCCCTGGAATAAAAGATAGAAGTGGGTTTTTACGGCCAGGCGCGGTGGCTCATGCCTGTAATCCCAGCACTTTGGGAGGACGAGGCGGGTGGATCACCTGAGGTCAGGAGTTCGAGACCAGCCTGGCCAACATGGTGAAACCCTCCCTCTACTAAAAATACAAAAATTAGTCAGGCATGGTGGCACACGCTTGTAATTCCAGCTAGTCTACTCGGGAGGCTGAGGCAGGAGAATCGCTTGAACCCGGCAGGCAGAGGTTACAGGTGAGTGGAGATCCCGCCATTGCACTCCATCCTGGACAACAGAGTGAGACTCCACCAAAAAAAAAAGAAAAGGAAGGAAGGAAGGAAAAGAAAGAGAGAGGGGAAGGAAGAAAGGGAGGGGGGAGGGAGGGAGGGAAAAAATTATCCTAAGTTCTTTACCTTTACCAGAGGGAAATCTTGTTTCCTGCAACGAACAATCATTCGGGGCTCCAGCAACTGGTACAAACCCTGGAAGAAATAGTAGATACAGTCAGTAGAAAATGCAAACTATAAAATAAAGAAACAGGTCGGGCACAGTGGCTCAGGTCTGTAATCCTAACACTTTGGAAGGCCAAGGCGGGCGGATTGCCTGAGCTCAGAAGTTCGAGACCAGCCTAGGCAACAAGGCAAAACCCCATCTCTACTAAAAATACAAAAAATTAGCCTGGAATGATGGTATGTGCCTATAATCCCAGATTACTCAGGAGGCTGAGGCAAGAGAATGGCTTGAACCCAGGAGACGGAGGTTGAAGTAAACAGAGATGATGTCAATGCACTCCTGCCTGGCTGACAGAGTGAGACTCTGTCTCCAAAAATAAAAATAAAATAAAATAAAGCAACAGTAAAATAAGATGCTTCTACAGTTCTTTCATTTAGGTTGGAAAAATTTCCCCTGGTAAGTTCCACTAACAGATGGCATATATCACATAAGACCATGGAAAGATCTATCTATCCCAAACCAGATAAATGAACCCAAACCTTTGGTGATAGAAACAAAATTCATGCAGACATCTTATATTACATCAACCAAGCTGAGGACAAATATTATTGTAATTAACATAAGTAAAATAAGGATTCACAGCTCAGCAGTAAACAATTAAAACATATACAGTGTTTGGTCTGAATCCTAAATCTAAAGCAAGTATTTTAGTGGCAAAATCAAATTAAGGGAATTTAAAGCTAGCCATTGCAAGCAAATTTGACCCTTAAGTCATGTAAGACTACATAATTGAGTAGTAGGCCTGGAAGTCTTATCCAAGCAGACAGATTTACTATTTTCCTATGCAGCACACATTTTAGATATGGTCAAGAGTGAAAGTAAAAAAGCTAAAAGAAAAAAAAAGGGTGAAAGGAAAAAAACTAGAGAAATGAGAAAGCAGGAAAAAATAGAGCTGGTCTCTAATAGGCATTCTAAATTTTCTCAGAACTGTGGCTATCAACAGTAGATCTGGTCTATGAGGGTACCTGGAGAACCAGTCCATCCAGCAGCACTTGGTACCTGGTTGTATCTTTTACCACCTTGCTGAGTCTCTGTTTTGCTTCATTTAGTAGGTCCTACAAAGATTAGAAAAGATAAAAGTTATCTACACATCTGGGCAGTCGGCTCAGAACCCACTGTGAGGCTGATCCTGGCTCATGCCCAGCTGCCTCACATTTTATTGCTGGATTTTCATTCAACACACATTCCCTGAGATCTGAGATAAAGCAGGGGCTGTGCTGGGTACAAGGAAGCATGTAACACCGTCTCTGCTCCCAGGGAGTCCACGGCCTAGCAGAGAATAGCTCAGGTAACCATCAGTTCAGAAACCGACACAAGTGACTGACATGGAAAGATGCGCGCGATGTAACTTTGAAAAGCAAGCTATTAAACGGTTATACAAGATTACCCCATTTTTTTTAAGGAAAAAAACCAGATGTCTGGCTATGGATCGAAATACGAACAGTCTACCTTTGGAAGGCCAGATTACGAATAATTTCAATTTTGTTTGTTTGTTTTTGAGATGGAGTTTCACTCTTCTAACCCAGGCTGGAGTGCAATGGTGCAATCTCGGCTCACTGCAACCTCCACCCATGGGTTCAAGCAATTCTCCTGCCTCAGCCTCCTGAGTAGATGAGACTACAGGCGCCCACCACCACGCCCAGCTAATTCTTGTATTTTTAGTAGAGACAAGGTTTCACCATGTTGGCCAGGCTCGTCTCTAACTCCTGACCTCAGGTGATCCGCCTGCCTTGGCCTCCCAAAGTGCTGGGATTACAGGCATGAGCCACCGCCCTCAGCCCTCTTTGTTTGTTTTTGAGACAGGGTCTTGCTCTGTTGCCCAGGCTGCAGTGCAGTGATACAATCATGGCTCTCTACAGCCTTGACCATCCAGGCTCAAGTGATCTTCCCGCTTCAACCTCCTCAATATCTGGGACCACAGGCGTGTACCACTATACCCAGCTCATATTATTTTATTTTTTATAGAGATGGAGTCTTGCTATATTACCCAGGCTGCTCTTGAACTCCTGGCCTCAAGCAATCTTCCCACCTCGATCTCCCAAAGTGCTGGGATTACAGGAGTGTGCCAACATATCCAGCCTCAATTTTCTTGGTTAGTTTGTATTTTCTAATCTGTCTCCAATAAACACTGGCTTCTATAATAAAAATAACTAAAATAGGAATACTATCAGGAAACAAATCTCATATGGCTGAGAACACACTGGATATCATTTGTTAAGTAATAAGGCTTAAGGGCTAAAAGAAAACTCAAGGCTTTTTTTTTTCTTTGAGACAGTCTCGCTCTGTTGCCCAGGCTGGAGTGCAGTGGCACGATCTCAGCTCACTGTAACCTCTGCCTCCCGGGTTCAAGCAATTCTTCTGCCTCAGCCTCCCAAGTGGCTGGGACTACAGGCGCACGCCACCACACCCAGTTAATTTTTTTGTATTTTTAGTAGAGATGGGGTTGCACCGTGTTAGCCAGGATGGTCTCAATCTCCTAACCTCGTGATCCGCCTGCCTCAGCCTCCCAAAGTGCTGGGATTACAGGCGTGAGCCACCACGCCTGGCCATTTGACTTTCTTAAGCTCCAAATGCAAAGATTCCAAATACCAAGTGATAAATATAGTTTCTGTCTTTAGAAACTTTTAACACTTAAACATTATTTATTTATTCTAAGATTTTGGTTTATAATACATACTCTGTCCCTAAAACAAACAAGATTTAATGCCATTCATTGGTCAATGAATCATACTTTCACTCATTTATAATTGTAAATAAAGTTAAACAGAGCACACCACTTGTTAAATGGAGAAAAAGTAATCATACTGTATGATAGTTATTTTAAAGAAACATTATTATTATTATTTTGAAGACGGAGTCTCGCTCTGTTGCCCAGGCTGGAGTGCAGTGGCCTGATCTTAACTCACTGCAACCTCCACCTCCCGGGTTCAAGCGATTCTCCCACCTCAGCCTCCTGAGTGTTACAGGCGTGCGCCACCTCACCCAGCTAATTTTTGTATTTTTAGTAGAGACGGAGTTTCACCATGTTGGCCGGGCTGGTCTTGAACTCCTGACCTCAAGTGATCTGCCTGCCTCGGCCTCCCAAAGTGCTGGGATTACAGGTGTGAGCCACCATGCCCAGACTTAAAGAAACTTTAAAATGCAGTCTTTAATGGGAGGCATAGGTGGCAGGACTGCTTGAGCCCAGCAGTTTGAGACCAGCCGGGGCAACAGAGTGAGACCTCGTCTCTGTAAAATTAAAAAAAAAAATCAGGTGGTGAGCACCTGTAGTCCCAGGTACTAGGGAGGCTGAGGTGCAAGAATCCCTTGAGTCCAGGAGTTTGAGGCTGTCGTGAATGATAATCATACCACTGCACTCCAACCTGGGAAACTGTGTTTTTAAGGCTCAAGAGAAAGCACAGCCTCAGCCATGTGCAGTGGCTCACACCTCTGATCCCAGCACTTTGAGAGACCAAGGCGGGCTGATTACTTAAACCCAGAGTTTGAGGCCAGCCTGGGCAACAGAGTGAAACTCCATCTCTACTAAAAATGAATTTCGTATTTAGGCTTGGGTCCCATCTCCAAAATATCTTATTATGTGTAGGCAAATATTCCAAAATCCAAAAAATCTGAAATCCAAAAAACTTCTGGTCCCAAACATTTCAGATAAGGGATACACACCCTGTCTATAAGACATCTGGCTGAAAGAACTCTTAGCTCCTCCCCACCAAAAGAGCCCTCTAACATTTTTCCTCTCTGTGCTGGAATCACCCTATCCACACTGGTCACACAGACAGGGATAGACAGCCTGAGTATGGAGACGAGGCTACTCCAGTAAATTAAGTAATGTCAACTTGTGGAGCGTGCTACTAGCCATTTGCATAAGGAATCTACTATGGAAAACAGGGAAACGGTAATTAAGGAGTTTTAAAAGGCCAATTCGTTGAGTCTAAATAAACTAAACTCTAGCTAAGCAGGCTAGAACCTAATTGACATAAACTGTGTTATCCCTTGTCTGAAGCATGCCTGTCCACTATGTCACCACGGGAGAGAAAGGTAAATTATGATCAATAATTACCATCCGTGTGATAAGCTCCTAACATCCCAGTGACACCCTCTGGTGTGACTCTAACTTCAATTAACTTTCTGGTTATAATCTGGCTCCTCATGTAGCTTTTCCACAGCAACATGTGTCTCTCACTGTAAACTACTGCAGTTCACATGTGGGCTTATTTGTATTTTATGAGTTTGGAAGGGAAAATCTGCCCAACTGAACCTAACTGCCCTGAGGATTCTGAAAATATTTCCTGCTCCTCAAAAGCAGGAAACCAAAACCTGATTATGATGTCAACATCAAAACCATATCTCCCTGGCCCTGCCTAGTCTGAAGAGTCAGTGGGCATTTATTTCTTTGTTTTCTCTTTTTTTTTTTGAGACGGAGTCTCGCTTTGTCGCCCAGGCTGGAGTGCAGTGGTACGATCTCGGCTCACTGCAACCTCCGCCCCCTGGGTTCAAGCGATTCTCCTGCCTCAGCCTCCTGAGTAGCTGAGATTACAGGTGCACACCACCATGCCTGCTAATTTTTTTATTTTTAGTAGAGACAGGGCTTCACCATGTTGATCAGGCTGGTCTCGAACCCCGGACCTCATGATCCGCCCTCCTCGGCCTCCCAAAGTGTTGGGATTACAAGCATGAGCCACCAAACCCGGCCAAAGACATTTATTTCTATTTCATCTCTAACCACAGCAATAGAAATCTCCACTTCAGTACCAATGTCTCAGAATTTAAATGTTAATGCTTATTTATTCTCGTTTAAAAAAGAAAACTTGGCTGGGTGCGGTTGCTCACGCCTGTAATCTCAGCACTTTGGGAGGCTGAAGCAGGTGCATCACCTGAGGTCAGGAGTTTGAGACCGGCTTGGCCAACATGGTGAAACCCTGTCTCTACCTAAAATACAAAAAATTAGTAGGGCATGGTGAATCCCAGCTACTGGGGAGGCTGAGGCAGGAGAATCGCTTGAACCCGGGTGGCGGAGGCTGCAGTGAGTTGAGATCACGCCATTGCACTCCAGCCTGGGGGACAAGAGTGAGACTTCATCTCAAAAAAAAAAAAAAAAAAGAAAAGAAAAGAAAAGAAAACTTATGGCTAGGCATGGTGGCTCACGCCTGTAATCCCAGCACTTTGGCAGGCCGAGGCAGGCAGATCACCTGAGGTCGGGAGTTTGAGACCGGCCTGGCCAACATGGAAAAACCCCATCTCTTCTAAAAATACAAAATTAGCCTGGCATGGTGGCACATGCCTGTAATCCCAGCTACTCGGGAGGCTGAGGCAGGAGAATCACTTGAACCCAGGAGGCGGGGGGTGCAGTGAGCCGAGATTGCACCATTGCACTCCAGGCTGGGCAACAAGAGCGAAACTCCGTCTCAAAAAGAAAAAGAAAAAAGAAAACTTGTAAGTTTTGCGGTTTGGGGAAATGATAATAAAGAACTATCATTCACTCAACACTCATTTTGTTTTAGGCATTATACTAGTCACTCTACCTAGGTGATCTAATTTTTTTCTAAATAAGCTTTAGGTAGATGTTTCTCTTTTTTTTTTTTTTTTTTTTTTGAGACAGGGCATTGCTCTGTCATCCAGGCTGAAGTACAGTGGCACAATCATAGCTCAATCCTCCTGCCTCTGCCTCCAGAGTAGCTGGGACACCACCACGCCTGGCTACATTTTTTTAATTTTTAGTAGAGACAAGGTCTTACTGTGTTGCCTGGGCTGGTCTTGAATGCCTGGGCTCAAGCTATCCTCCTGCCTCAGCCTCCCAAAGTGTGGGGATTATAGGCATGGGGGATGGTGCCTGGCCTTCTCCTACTTTTTATAAGAAATGAAGGGTTCAAAGGAGTAAAGTGGGGTTTAAAAATCTGCCTACTGAGCAGCTGGGAATGGTAAAAACGGAACTTAAACCTCAAAGGAATTCCAAAGCCTGCACTCTTAATCCTGGAAAACACCTGGGCAGGCAAGGAAAAAGGATCAACACAGACAAATATCTATAAAGGATTATGCAACTTAGACCAAAGCACCACACAACTTGCCTATTTTCTTTTAATTTTTACCCCAGTTCTGTATTTTTCCCCTTCCTTCCATCTTTTGTCAATATCCTTTTCTAACTGCATGACAACTTCCTTTCCTTTCACAGCTTCTTATTCTATGGATAAAACTAGAAGTAAAAAGTTTAGAAATAGCAAAATCCACTCAAAGCATGTATGTGTGCTTTTATGCAGATTGAATCCTGTTTGATCGGTATCATTTCACAGTCTGTTTCCTCAACTCTCCACATCTCTTATTTACAGGGTTCAATGACGGCAAGAAGTTAAGACTGTAAGCGGTTAAAAAAGAAACAAGTATCTTTAGAATAACTGAAATTACATAAATGTTTATCTTCTCAAAATTCTCATTATAAGTCAGAGAAATAATATAAAAGCTCAAGCTATATACTGAATTCAAGTTGCATGCAACAGTATACTTGGATTTGTTCCAAAAGAGATTAAAACACACAGCCCAGCTTGTGAACAGGCCACGCACGCTGCCTTCAGCTCCTCACCTCACACGCACTTCTCCCTTCTCATGCCATAACAATCTGGCTTTCTGCCTTCATCAGTCCAATGAAACTGCTCTGGCAAATGTGAAAAACGACATCTTGACTGCCAAATCCAAAGACCACCATGCTCTTCCCACTGTCATTCTCTCAAACATTGAACACTGTATTAGAGACCATTTTGAGTTTGCCGTTCCCTTGGCTTCTCTGTATTCTCCAACATAACTGCTTTCCCCCACATTTCCTTAGCAATTTATTTTCTATTAAATCTGATGCTTCTCAGTTTTTTTGGCCCGCTTCTCTTCTAATTCTCCATCCAAAACCACAGCTCCAGCAGGGACTTCTGTGTTGTCTCCACATAAGCTCCTCTTCTCTCCTAACAGACTCATAGAGCTTCACCTGGAATCCTAAGGCAATTCAAACACAATGATTTTTTTCACCATTCTTTACCTGTTCTTCCTATATTTCTTTTTTTTTTTATTTTTGACATGAAGTCTCACTCTGTCGCCAGGCTGGAGTGCAGTGGCGTGATCCTGGCTCACTGCAACATCTGACTCCCTGGTTCAAGCAATTCTCCTGCCTCAGCCTCCCAAGTAGCTGGGATTACAGGCACCCCCCACCAGGCCCAGCTAATTTTTGTATTTTTAGTAGAGATGGGGTTTCACCATGTTTGCCAGGATGATCTCGATCTCCTGACCTCACGATCTGCCTGCCTCGGCCTCCCAAAGTGCTGGGATTATCTTCCCATATTTCTAATCTTCATTCCATCTACCAGTTGCCTAGACTACAAACTCTTATGTCATTCTTGACTCCTTTGCATTCACTCATCACAACTGTAAGTCACCAAGTCCTACAGATTCCTACCTTTTTAGGATCTCTGGAATAGGCCTGTCTTCTCTTTCTGCTGCCACCATTCTACTTCTCGACCTGGAAGGTAAGCCATACCCTCCTTGTTTCTACTCCACATGGTCACCAGTGGGGTTCCTCTAACACAAATGTAACCATTAAACACTATTTCTCAAAGTGTGGTTCTCAGACTACCTGCACCAAGATTACCCTGAGCTGCTGGTTTAAATGCTGACTCCTGACTAGAATATAAAAGTCTCTGGAAATGGGAATGAACATCTGCATTTTAACAAGGTCCCCCAGGTGATTTTTATGCCCATTAAAGTTAGAGAATTAGCCAAAAGGATGAAGTCCATATTCTTCAGCAGACACTCAAGGCCCTTCTAATTAGACCCTAATATGTGGCCTGTTCTCTGCCCACTCCCCACTCTGCCAGACTACCTCTGTTTCCCGCACATGTCAAATTCAGGTCTCGGTTTTTCACTCACACTGCTCTCTCCATTCTGTATCCTATCCCATGACTAATACTTCAAGTCATGCTCAAACAGCTGTAGTGGAGATGTATTATCTTGTCCAGGTCCTATTAGACTGCAGACTCCTAGAGGGGCCAGCACGATACAGGACACATGGGATAAATGTACTGTTAAATTCAAACAGCTTAGTGCCTCAAGGGAACCCAACTGAGTTATGACATGAAAACAGAAGAGTGACAACTGAGGGATAACATGAGTACCAAAACCAGAATTTTGTTTGCAACAATTTTAAAGTCAGCAGACAAACTCAGAGTGACTAAATCCGGGAAAGACATGTGGTATGAACTGAATGACTGCTTTGTCTTTCAAGGTCATAAAAAGAATTATTTTTCTCTAGCCCATTTCTTTTTGTTTCTATTATTTATTATTTTTAGAGACAGGGTCTCCCTGTGTCATTTATGCTGGAATGCAGTGGCATAATCACAGCTCACTGGAGCCTCAAACTCTTGGGCTCAAGTGATTCTCCCATCTCAGCCTCCAGAGTAGCTGGGACCACAGGCATGCGCTACCACACCTTGCTAATTTTTAAAAATTTTTTGTACAGACAGGGTCTCCCTATATTTATCAGACTGGTCTCAAACTCTTGGCCTCAAGCCACACTCCCACCTTGGCCTCATAAAGTGCTGTGACCACAGGCATGAGCCATGGCACCTGGCTAGCCCATCTCTGAAAGAATATGATGGATTACTGTATTTTGGAAAACTATCCTAAGTTGAAATTAAAACACATTCATTGGCCGGGAGCAGTGGCTCACGCCTGTAATCCCAGCACTTTGGGAGGCCGAGGCGGGCAGATCACGAGGTCAGGAAATCGAGACCATCCTGGCTAACACGGTGAAACCCTGTCTGTACTAAAAATACAAAAAATTAGCCGGGCGCAGTGGCGGGCGTCTGTAGTCCCAGCTACTCAAGGAGGCTGAGGCAGGAGACTGGCGTGAACCCGGGAGGCAGAGTCTGCAGTGAGCTGATATCGCGCCACTGCCACTGCACTCCAGCCTGGGCGATAGAGCGAGACTCCGTCTCAAAAAACAAAACAAAACAAAACAAACAAACAAACAAACAAACAAAAATTCATTCCATACAACTGCACTTCCTTTTTTTTCCTTTTTTGAGCGGAGTCTCACTCTGTCGCCCAGGCTGGAGTGCAATGACGGGATCTCAGCTCATTGCAACCTCCGCCTCCCGGGTTCAAGCAATTCTCCTGCCTCAGCCTCTCGAGTAGCTGGGACTATAGGCGCCCGCCACCACACCCAGCTAATTTTTTTGTATTTTTAGTAGAGACAGGGCACCACATTGGCCGGGCTGGTCTCAAACTCCTGACCTCAAGTGATCCATCCGCCTCATCCTCCCAAAGTGCTGGGATTACAGGCGTGAGCCACCATGCCCATCCTGCTCTTTTTTTTTTTTTTTTTTTTTTGAGACGGAGTCTGGCTCTGTCACCCAGGCTGGAGTGCAGTGGTGCGATCTCAGCTCACTGCAAGCTCGGCCTCCTGGGTTCACGCCTTTCTCCTGCCTCAGCCTCCCGAGTAGCTGGGACTACAGGCGCCCACCACCACGCCCGGCTAATTTTTTGTATTTTTAGTGGAGACGTGGTTTCACCGTTGTTAGCCAGGATGGTCTCAATCTCCTGACCTCGTGATCCGCCCGCCTCGGCCTCCCAAAGTGCTGGGATTACAGGTCTGAGCCACCACGCCCAGCCCCACACTTTCTTTTAATATCCTCCACCTCAAAATTTGAAAACCACTGTGTGTCATGAGAGATGTTACTAAAATGTAAAATAACTGTATGAATATTCCAGAGAGAAGGGAAAAAAGTTGAGAAGCACCGATATTGAAGTATTTGATAAATGAATGAATGATCTGAATTTTAGGTGTCAAGTTTTCTTATCTATGCCACTTCAAATTTTCCCTCTGAGGCCAGGCATGGTGGCTCTTGCCTGTTATCCCAGCTACATAGGAGGCTGAGGTGGGAAGGACTGCTTGAGCCCAGGAGTTTGTGAGCTATGACTGCACCATTGCATTCCAGCCTGGGCAACATAGCCAGACCATGCCTCTTAAAAAAAAATTCCTTCTAAAAGCCAACTAGTAATTATTTATATATTCTAATAGATTTAAGGCAGCTTACAGAAGTATATCTAATGAAAACGTTAATTACGTTTTTTAAAAAGCAAATTAGAAAAAATAACTAATAAAATATAAACAAGTGGATTAAAAAATTAAAGCAAAGAGAAAATAAGGGCAATAAATAACAAGTTAAAATTACAAGTCAAGTCAAATCCACTAGACCTATGGGTTGTTTACATCCAGTTATGAAAGGTCGGTATACCATCTAAGGCAGGACAGCATCAGAGAATGTATCATCAAAACCATTTCTATAATATGTTAGATGATCTTTCTCAGAATCTTTTCCACTCTTAATATTATTAACCTTCAAAAAGGTGGCATAAAAAACAAACCAAATAAAAAACCTAATTATAAAGCCTATTAACTAGCTAAGACTATAATCTTTTGCTATAACCTTGTGTGTTATAGCCCTTGCTACTTATATTTAGGAATGCTGCCAAGACATTAACATTACATGCCTCTAAACTTTTTTGAATTGTACAAATAATAATATCTATGCAGTAGATGTCACAGTTGTCATTTTTTACTTTGGGCATAAATAATGAAAAGACTATAGTCAAGAGGCTTTCTGGGCATTAGCACCCAATAAGCTAAGAATATTTTATCTACACAGGCCTATTATTAGAAGGAAGGGTTATCACTGGTGGAGACGGAGATGGGGTTGGAGAAAGGGAACTAACATTTTTTAAACACGATATGACAAATGTTACATGCCAGAGGACTTAAATGTGTTCTCTCATTCGATTCTCATAAGCACTCTGAACCAAACATCATAATGAATATACATAACATAGATAATGAATACAAGAGAAAACCGAGGGTCAGAAACAGTAATTTAGACAAACGAATATGGCAGAGTTGACATTTAAACTCATAGCTGACTGACTCTTAAGCCCCAAGCCCTTCTACAACAAACTACCTTCCCTAAGACATTATTATTGTAAAAGCCTGTTATAAATTAATTCAGTCAATCCAAGTTGCTAAAGGAATTTGAATCCCCTGGAAGGAAATCAACTCCTGATTATTGACACTTTAGTGAAGACGCAAAATAACAGTTGTCCTGAGCTAGTAACATTTTGCAGGCAACATTTCCCCAGGAAACTCTTGACTCTTTCTTTTGTATTTTAAAGGGGATGAACTAATCCCATGTGGCAAGATAAACTGGCAACAGATTTTGTATTTTCCCACATTCCTGGAGTTTCAAAGCAGATAAAGCACTTAAATTTGGGGCAACTTTTATTATTTGAAGTAATATAGGAGTTATATTAGTAAATCATCTCTATGGTGTCCTAAATATCAGTCCTTTACACTTAACATCCTCACTGACACTTACATCTGGAGGTTTCTTGGTCCCTCAAACATGTCCAAAAGTCCAGCCCACCCAGGGATGCCAAAACAAACAAACAGAAAAAAGAACTAGTTATTTTTCTTAACGAAACATTTCAGCATCTTGACTTCCCATTTTTGTTAATGGATCCACCATTCTCCTAGTCTATCCACACCTGATACTCAGAATTTAGTGATGGACTTGGAAGAAAAGGCAGAGTCAATGAATGTCTGGAAAGTCTTCCTGTAAAATCCATCAACACTAACACTGCTACTCAGTTCTCACTGCCACCATCGATTAATAAGAACTGACAACTTGGAATACTGGTTTGTGTTTCTTTCTCATCTAAGAAAACAGTATGTCTTCCATTTTTTCAAGTTCTATATTTTTAGTTTTATAGCTGTTTTCATATAGGACTTACTCCTAGTAATTTAATAATTTTAGTAGCTATTATAGAGAGATCTACTTTTTATTTTACTTGCAAACTGGTTATTGTTGGCATACAGGAAAACTATTCATTTCCTATTGTGTTTGTAGCCAGTCACATTGCTGGATTAGTTATAGGATCTTATGTTTTTTGAACCTTATATTTTCTGCTTGAATAACCGTATCTGCAAAGATGGTAATTTCGTTTCTTCTATCCCAATATTTATGTAACTCTCATTTCTCCAACTCATAAGGAATCTAGGGCCTCCACAGTCACAATGAGTAACAGTGGAAACAGCAGGCATCCCTGTTTGGCTTATGAATATAATCCAAATAGCTCTACACTTTCTCAATGAAGTGGTATGCTTCTGAAGGTTTCTGCCCTCTTCCTTAGAGGACTATAATACTTTCCATATGGTTTTCTTTTTTCCAGCCTCTTCCCTGTTAAATTTAGCCTGCACGCTTATATCATGAGCCTTATTTATGATATTCTCCACAAAATAATACAAAAGTTTCCACAGCTTTCTGTTGAAAACAGGTGAAGCTCTTCAGCCTCACACTCATGGCCTCTGTATTAACCATCCTATGGTTCTGGTCTCACTGGTCCCTGTACCCTCATGTACTACTGTGCGGTCCACCCATAGTGTGTGCTATAATCCAGGAGAGTCTTACATGCTCTTTAGATCAGAAGGTCCTTCAATACAGGCCTTGGCTCTTATTCACTTTTGTATTTATTATAATAATTGGAATGTTTTCTCTCTAAAGATTATTCAATCAACTCCTTAATTAATGTTAACTAGTAATTTACAACAGGGAAATGAATAAACATGTAATAATTTTATAACTAATAGGGGCTAATTACTCACTGTGATAAGGTCATCTCTTGCTCTGAGGACTTTGAGTCTCGCTTGATTCATCAAATTGGACATCTGACTGCAAAACGGTATTGAAAAATAGCATTAGTAACAACTTAAAACTGTAGAGAAAGAATTCGAACTCCTGGGCTCAAGCAATCCTCCTCCCTTGGCCTCCCCAAAGCACCAGGATTACAAGCGTGAGCCACCTTGCCCAGCCTGCAGTTTAATCTTTGAATAATCCTGTCAGGCTTTAATTTTCACAAATGAAGAAAGAGAAGTTAAACAATTTGTCAGATTAGTAGTAGGTGGTCGAGTTAAGACCTGAATTTATATATGCCTGACTCCAAAGCGCCTGCTCATGACTTCAGAAAACTTCTTAGCTTAATACTGCAACCAGGATCTACTTACATTTTCTTCTGCTGCTCAATCTGTTTCTCTTTCTTCTCATAATATTCCATAATCTTTAGTCTTTGGGTTTGCACAAGCCGACCTTTCTCTATGTTGAACTCTTCTTCTGCCTAGAGGGAAATTAGTCAATATTAATTCATTACATCAAGTTTTGATTAACAGTTTTAAACAGCTGGTGACCTGCGTTACTTGCTTATGAACACTAATTTCATATATAAAACAGAAAATTTATTGTGATTCATTTTCAAGGATTCTAATTTATTCAAAAGGAAAGATCAGCAATTTTCATTATAAATGACGTACTAGGAAACTAAAAATTTCGTCAAGGGTAACAGTAACCGACAAGTTACTAAAGGATATAATTGGGTAGAATATTCTGCTCATGAAAAAAATTACCACACGTTCGAAACTTAATCCATTAGCTTACTGGTGGGCCAATAAATATGACACAGAACTTGAAAGTTTAGAAGATCCTGGCCGGGTGCGGTGGCTCACGCCTATAATCCCAATACTTTGGGAGGCCGAGGCGGGTGGATCACGAGGTCAGGAGATCGAGATCATCCTGGCTAACACGGTGAAACCCTGTCTCTACTAAAAATACAAAAAATTAGCCAGGCGCGGTGGCAGGCGCCTGTAGTCCCAGCTACTCAGGAGGCTGAGGCAGGACAATGGCGTGAACCCGGGAGGCAGAGCTTGCAGCGAGTGGAGATCGTGCCACTGCACTCTAGCCTGGGCGACAGAGCAGAACTCTGTCTCAAAAAAAAACAAAGATCCAGATTACTGCCCATAAAATGTGGTCGAGTAACCTCAGGCTTAGTGTCCTCTCTTGTAAAATGAACTTAAAAAAATTAAAAAGTTGGCTGGGCGCAGTGGCTCACGCCTGTAATCCCAGCACTTTGGGAGGCCAAGGCAGACAGATCACCTAAGGTCAGGAGTTTGAGATCGGCCTGATCAACATAGAGAAACCTCGTCTCTACTAAAAATATAAAACTGGCCAGGCGTGGCGGCGCATGCCTGTAATCCCAGCTAGTCGGAAGGCTGAGGGAGGAGAATCGCTTGAACCTGGGAGGCGGAGGTTGCAGTGAGCCGAGATCGTGCCACTGCACTCTAGCTTAGGGAAGAAGAGGGAAACTCCATCTAAAAAAATAAAAATAAAAAATAAAGGCTAGGCATGGTGGCCTAACGCCTGCCATCCCAGCACTTTGGGGGGCTGAGGCGGGCAGATCACCTGAGGTCGGGAGTTCGAGACCAGCCTGACCAACATGGAGAAATCCCATCTCTACTAAAAATACACACACACACACACAAAAATTAGCCGCGCATGGTGGGCACATGCCTGTAATCCCAGATACTCAAGAGGGAGAGGTAGGAGAAATGCTTGAACCCAGGAGGTGGAGGTTGCAGTGAGCTGAGATCACGCCATTGCACTCCAGCCTGGGCAACAAAAGCGAACTCTTAAAAAAAAAAAAAAAAGTTGCCTGGGCACGGTGGCTCACACCTGTAATCCCAGCACTTTGGGAGGCAGAGGCAGGCGGATCATGAGGTCAGGAGATCGAGACCATCCTGGCTAACATGGTGAAACCCCGTCTCTACTAAAAAATACAAAAAATTAGGCGGGCGTGGTGGCAGTCGCCTGTAGTCCCAGCTACTCGGGAGGCTGAGGCAGGAGAATGGCATGAACCCGGGAGGCGGAACTTGCAGTGAACCGAGATCGCGCCTGGGCAGCAGAGCGAGACACCGTTTCAAAAAAAAAAAAAATTTTTTTTCCCTCATGGGTAAGTGTCGCATATATTTAAAAATATAAATTATGGGCTGGGCGCCATGGCTCACGCCTATAATCTCAGCAGTTTCGGAGGCTGAGGCAGGCGGATCACAAGGTCGGGAGTTCAAGACCAGCCTGGCCAACATAGTGAAACCCCATCTCTACTAAAAATACAAAAATTAGCCAGGCGTGGTGGCGGGCGCCTGTAGTTCAAGATACTTGGGAGGCTGAGGCAGGAGAATTGCTTGAAGCCAGGAGGCAGAGATTACAGTGAGCCGAGATCATGCCACTGCACTCTAGCCTGGGTGACAGAGCAAGACTCCATCCAAAAAAAATATTAATTTTTTTATACATAAATTTTATTATACATTATTTTATTATACGTAAACAGGCCAGGTAGAGTGGCTCAGGCCTATAATCCCAGCACTTTGGGAGGCCGAGGTAGGCGGATCACTTGAGGTCAGGAGTTCCAAGACGAGCCTGGCCAACATGGTGAAAGCCCGTCTCTACTAAAAACACAAAAATTACCTGGGCCTGGGTAGGCGCCTGTAATCCCAGCTACCCAGAAGCTAAGGCAGGAGAATCGCTTGAACCCAGGAGGCAGAGGTTAGAGTGAGCAGAGATTACACTGCTGCACTCCAGCCTGGGCGATAGAGGTGGCTCACGCCTGCAATCCCAGCACTTTGAAAGGCCAAGGCGGGTGGATCATGAGGTCAAGAGTTCGAGACCAGTCTGGCCAACATGGTGAAACCCCATCTCTACTAAGAATACAAAAATTGGCCTGGCGCGGTAGCTAACGCCTGTAATCCCAACACTTTGGGAGGCTGAGGTGGGCAGATCGTGAGGTCAGGAGATCAAGATCACCCTGGCTAACACGGTGAAACCCCATCTCTACTAAAAATACAAAAAATTAGCTGGGCGTGGTGGCAGGTGCCTGTAGTCCCAGGTACTCAGGAGGCTGAGGCAGGAGAATCACTTGAACCTGGGAGGCAGAGGTTGCGGTGTGCTGAGATCGTGCCATTGCACTCCAGCCCGGGCGACAGTGCAAGACTCCATCTCAAAAAACAAACAAACAAACAAACAAACAAACAAAAGCCGGGCGTGGTGGCTCACGCCTGTAATCCCAGCACTTTGGGAGGCTGAAGCTGGAGGATCATGAGGTCAGGAGTTCCACAGCAGCCTGGCCAATATGGTGAAACCCCATCGCTATTAAAAATATAAAAAATTTAGCTGGGCATGGTGGCAGGGACCTGTAATCCCAGCTACTCAGGAGGCTAAAGCAAGAGAATTGCTTGAACCCAGGAGGTGGGGGTTGTGGTGAGCCGACATTGCACCACTGCACTCCAGCCTGGGCAATAGAGGGAGACTCCGTCTCAAAACTAAATAAAATAAATAAATATTTGAGACAGAAATGCATTTACTGAGGCCAGGCGTGGTGGCTCACGCCAGTAATCCTAGCACTTTGGGAGGCCAAGGCAGGTGGACTGCCTGAGTTCAGGAGTTCAAGACCAGCCTGGGCAACACAGTAAAACCCCATCTCTACTAAAATACAAAAAATTAGCTGGGCGTGATGGCATGCGCCTGTAGTCCCAGCTACTTGGGAGGCTGAGGCAGGAGAATCGCTTGAACTCGGGAGGCGGAGGTTGTGGTGAGCTGAGATCGCGCCACTGCACTCCAGTCTGGGCAACAAGAATGAAACTCCGGCTCAAAAAAAAAAAAAAAAAAGAAATGCATTTCCTGAAATAATAGCTGAAATAGGACTTCTGTATTTGATCCAGAAAGAGTCATACAAGAGGCCAGGCGCGGTGGCTCAAGCCTGTAATCCCAGCACTTTGGGAGGCCGAGGCGGGCGGATCACGAGGTCAGGAGATCGAGACCATCCCGGCTAAAACGGTGAAACCCCGTCTCTACTAAAAATACAAAAAATTAGCCGGGTGTAGTGGCGGGCGCCTGTAGTCCCAGCTACTTGGGAGGCTGAGGCAGGAGAATGGCGTGAACCCGGGAGGCGGAGCTTGCAGTGAGCCGAGATCCCGCCACTGCACTCCAGCCTGGGCGACAGAGCGAGACTCCGTCTCAAAAAAAAAAAAAAAAGAGTCATACAAGAAACTATCACCATCAAAACAATATTAAGCAATATCCTATCAGCTGTTATGTATTAGTGAGAGGGAAAATAGTCTTTTCTTCTTCAAATGATAAACTAGTCAAATAGCCCAAGGTTTCAGAGAGTTTTATTTCTAGAGTACCAGGCACATAAAAATTTAAGGCTGTACTAAAAGGACAATGAAAATATTAAACAATATATCTTGGTCATATTTTATTTACTGATTTTTTTCTTGAGACAGAGTCTTACTCTGTCACCCAGGCTAGATGGAGTGCAGTGGTGCGATCTCAGCTCACTGCAACCTCCACCTCCCGGGTTCAAGTGATTCTCCTGCCTCAGCCTCCTGAGTAGCTGAGACTGCAGGCGTGCACCACCACACCCAACCAATTTTTGTATTTTTTGTAGAGATGGGGTTTCAACATGTTGGCCAGGCTGGTCTTGAACTCCTGACCTCAGGTGATCCACTTGTGTCGGCCTCCCAAAGTGCTGGGATTACAGGTGTGAGCCACCGCCCCGGCCATATTTTGGTAATATTTTTAAGGCAAGCTTTAAAAAATGCGTGTTATGATTATACCTTGGGAAAAGAACATTTTGACATACTGTTAAGGAATATAAATTGGCATAAGCAATGTACAACTGGAAATATATATAAAACTTCTAAATGCTGATGGAAGGTCACCTTTGTAATGGGTGGGGTTTTCATTTTATACCCTATATACTTCCAAACTTTTTATTTTTTATTTTTTAATTTTTTGAGACAAGGTCTCACTCTGTCGTCCAGGCTGGAGTGCAGTGGCACGATCTCTGCTGACTGCAACCTCTGCATTCTGGGATCAAGCGATTCTCCCGCCTCAGCCTCCCGAGGAGCTGGGATGACAGGCACACACCACCATGCCCAGCTAATTTTTGTATTTTTAGTAGACACGGGGTTTCACCATGTTGGCCAGGCTGGTCTTGAACTCCTGACCTCAGGTGATCCGCCTGCCTTGGCCTCCCAAAGTGCTGGGATTACAGGCGTGAGCCACCAATCCCAGCCCAAACTTTACTTTTTTGCAATGAGCACAGATTAACAAAAAAGCTAAACAATGAAACACTACAACCTTCTCTAGTCACCTATCACAGTTCGCCACGGTTGTTAAATATCTGAATTTTGGTTTCCATGAGAAAATGAATCATACATTACTTTTCTACCCTCTAACATAAAATTTCAGGACACTTATTGGCATCACAACCATTAGAAAGGAAAATTTATTTTTTAATGTTAAAGATACAGACATTTCCAATGAGGAATTTATTAAGGTAAAATTTAAATTAAAAAGTAAATAAAGGCCGGGTGTGGTGGCTCATGCCTGTAATCCCAGCACTTTGGGAGGCCGAGGCAGGCAGATCACGAGGTCAGGAGATCGAGACCATCCTGGCTAATGTGGTGAAACCTTGTCTCTACTAAAAATACAAAAAATTAGCCAGGCGTGGTGGCGGGTGTCTGTAATCCCAGCTACTCGGGAGGCTCAGGCAAGAGAACGGTGTGAACCTGGGAGGTGGAGCTTGCAGTGAGCCAAGATCTGGCCACTGCACTCCAGCCTGGGCGACAGAGCGAGACTCCATCTCAAAAAAAAAAAAAAAAAAAAAAAAGTAAATAAATAGGGCTGGGCACGGTGTTTCACACCTGTAATCCCAGCACTTTGGGAGGCCCAAGCGGGTGGATCATCTGAGGTCAGGAGTTCAAGACCAGCCTGGCCAACATGGTGAAACCCTGTCTCTACTAAAAATACAAAAATTAGACAGGTGTGACGGTGCCTGCCTGTAGTCCCAGCTACTTGGGAGGCTGAGGCAGGAGAATCACTTGAACCCGGGAGGCAGAGGTTGCAGTGAGCTGAGATCAGGCCACTGCACTGCAGTCCCAGTGACGAAGCGAGACTGTCTCAAAATGAAAGAAGGGGCCAGGCACTGTGGCTCATACCTGTAATCCCAGCACTTGGGGAGGACGAGGTAGGCGGATCACAAGGTCAAGAGATTGAGACCATCCTGGCCAACACGGTGAAACCCCGTCTCTACTAAAAATACAAATATTAGCTGGGTTTGGTGGCACATGCCTGTAATCTCAGCTACTCGGGAGGCTGAGGTAGGAGAATCACTTGAACCTGGGAGGCGGAGTTTGCAGTGAGCCGAGATCGCGCCATTGCACTTCAGCCTGGGCGACAAGAGTGAAACTCGGTCTCCAAAAAAAAAAAAATGAAGGAAGGAAGGAGGGGAAGGAGGGAAGGAAGAGACATTTTTATCAGTCCGATGCAATCTGTTGTTAAGCAGTTTTACTAACAATATTATTTAGCAAAGCAAAACAATATGGAAACCTTGATAACTTCTTAAAACTAGAAAATGAATCTCACCTTTGCATCTATTTCTTCTGCTTTCTCATTGGCTTCTTGTTCAATGAAAGCCATCATATGCTTTATCTATAAGGAAAAAAAGTTTTATTTTTTAGTTCAAAAATATGGAAATATCTTTTCTGATTCATTGAACAAGTAATCATAGGTAGGTGCAGTGGCTCACGCCCGTAATCCTACCACTCTGGGGGGCCAAGGAGGGAGGATTGCTTTAGGCCAGGAGGTGGAGACTAGTCTGGACAACACAGATACCCCGTCTCTACTAAAAATTTAAAAAAGTCAATCACTTACTGAATGCATATTGTGCTAGGCTCTGAGTACAAGGATAAGTGAGATCATTCCTATTCTCAGGAAACTTAGGATCTAAAATTTGTTCAAGAAAATAGACCAGATACAATACTCAATAACACAGATAAATAGGACCTTCATCCTCCTCTCAAGGAACTTGGAATACAAGTTAGCCAGCACCCTCCCTTTCTCTTCTCCACCTGTAAGAAAGTATGCTGAAGAGCTATCTATACTTACTCTTTCAACTTTACTACCTTTCTCTCAACACTGCAGTCTCACTTGCACCCTTCTCTGTACTCCACTGACAGTTCTCTCATAAAGTGACCATCTCCTCGCCCCTTGATCTTGGCCTTTTCTTACTTGATCTTTCAGCATCAGTTGATGTGTTCAGCAACCTTCCCTTTGTTTTTTTTTTTTTTTGAGACAGAGTCTCGCTCTGCCACCCAGGCTGGAGTGCAGTGGCATGATCTCGGCTCACTGCAAGCTCTGCCTCCCAGGTTCAGGCCATTCTCCTGCCTCAGCCTCCCGAGTAGCTGGGACTACAGGCGCCCGCCACCATGCCTGGCTAATTTTTTGTATTTTTAGTAGAGACGGGGTTTCACCATCTTAGCCAGGATGGTCTCGATCTCCTGGCCCTGTGATCCGCCCGCCTCAGCCTCCCAAAGTACTGGGATTACAGACGTGAGCCACCGCGCACGGCGAGCAACCTTCCCTTCTTTAACAATCTTCCCTTTGCGTCCGTGACTTCCTCCTGTTCTCCTTTCCAGTCTCCTTTGGGGCCATACTCTTCCACTCTTTTGGGGCCATACTCTTCCACTCTGCCTCCTAGACAGCTCTTTTTGAACATCCTACTCATAGTAATTTAAATTCAACACATTCAATACTGAACTGCTCACCACTCCTCTCCCCACTTCTCACTTTGAGCTCTCTCTCAGGGATTAGCACCAACACCCAACTGTGACTATTCCTCCTACCTCAGTCCTTATATCCAAGCAATCACCAAGTTCTATTAATTCTCTCTTAATAGTTCTTTACCGGCCGGGCATGGTGGCTCACGCCTGTAATCCCAGAACTTTGGGAGGCCGAGGCGGGCGGATCACGAGGTCAGGAGATCCAGACCATCCTGGCTAACAGGGTGAAACCCCATCTCTACTAAAAATACAAAAAATTAGCCGGCGTGGTGGCGGGCGCCTGTAGTTCCAGCTACTTGGGAGGCTGAGGCAGGAGAATGGCGTGAACCCGGGAGGCGAAGCTTGCAGTGAGCCGAGATCGCGCCACTGCACACCAGCCTGGGCGACAGAGCGAGACTCTGTCTCAAAAAAAAAAATAGTTCTTTACCTTGCCCACCTCGCTCCATCATCGGAGGGACTACCATAGTCCTTGCCATCATCTCCTCTCAGCTAAACTACTACAACAGCTTCCAAATTTGTCTTCCTGCCGCTATTCTTGTTGTTTCTAATCGACTCTACATTGCCACCAGAGAGATGCTTTCAAAATGCCTATCTTATCATGTAACACTCTACCCCCGCTTAAGATAAAGATTTTAGAAGGTACAGGATCTTATCACTGCTTATCTGTCTTTTTTTGAGACAGGGTCTCTGTCTCCCAGGCTAGAGTGCAATGGCACAATCCCGCCTCATTTTGACCTCCGCCTTCTACAGCTCAAGCGATCCCCCCGTAGCTGGGACCATAGGTGCGTGTCACCACGTCCAGCTTAATTTTGTATTTTTTGTAGAGAGGGGTTTTGCCATGTTGCCCAGGCTGGTCTTGAACTACTGGGCTCAAGCGATCCTCCTGCCTTGGCTTCCCGAAGTGCTGGGATTTCAGGTGTGAGTCACCGTACTCAGCCCACTGCTTACCTTTCAAGCATCATATGAAACAACAAACCCTTCACTACTCACCATCTTCAGACTCTTAGTTCCTACCATACTAAACTTATTTCAGTTCCTTGAGCTCACCATTCTTTCTCATCTCCAAGATTTCAAACATGCTGTTCCTTCCATTTGGAACATTCTTCCTTCTAACTTTTTGGGCCTCAGCTTGTATAACTATCACCTCCTTAGGGAAATCTTTCCTGTACCTAGAGTACTTTGTACTTCCTCTATCACGGCACCTAAACTTGTAATTGTTGCTTATTTGTCCCTATCCTCAACTGAACTATGAGGCTAGGAACTTGTTAAAGGTTCCTAGATCACCGGCTACAATTGGAGAATAAAGTCCAATGAAGGCTTCCGAATGGGGCTTGGGGAATAATCCAACTTAGACTCATAAATGAAGTATCATCTCTTGTGGCAGATATAAAATATACCCAAGTAAAAATCCAACCGACACAGCTCATCAAACTCACTGGTTGTGGGATGCAATGGTAGCTTCATTTCCTAAGGGAGTGATGAAATCCAAAAAGGAAAAAAAAGCTAAAAATTGACGTAGGATCTTTAGGTCATTAATTCATTTTGTTTATTAATTATCCCACTAAAAGGTAAGCACCACTGAGTACAGGGATCTTGTCTTTTATGCCAGTGTGAACCCAGAACATGGAACAACCACCACCATAGGAGATGCTCAAAAAAATTTGTGAATGAATGCAAATCTGTTGGGAGTTTCAAGACTTCTAAGGAATACAAGGTATCCCAGGTACTTTTTAGGGTTTAACAATCTGTAAACAATCCCCATAGCAGCTTCTCCATATAACACAAGATATCATAAATCTTAAGTATACATAGGTGTACCAAAACGAATTAAGAAAGCACTACTGGGTGGGGAGCTAGGGGAGGGATAGCATTAGGAGAAATACCTAATGTAGATGATGGGTTGATGGGTGCAGCAAACCACCATGGCACGCGTATCACTATGTAACAAACCTGTGCACATTCTGCACATGTATCTCAGAACTTAAAGTATAATGAAACAAAAAAAAGAAAGAAAAGAAAACACTACTGCCTGGGTATGGTGGCTCATGCCTGTAATCCCAAGACCCTGGGAGGCCAAGGTGGGTAGATCTCCTGAGGTTGGGAGTTTGAGACCAGCCTGGCCAAGATGGAGAAACCCCATCTCTACTAAAAATACAAAAAATTAGCCAGGCGTGGTGGTGCATGCCTGTAATCCCAGTTACTCAGGAGGCTGAGGCAGGAGAATCACTTGAACCTGGAGGCGGAGGTTGTGGTAGGCATAGATTGTGCCACTGCACTCCAGCCTGGGCAAGAAGAGCGAAACTCCGTCTCAAAAAAAACAAAACAAAATGAAACAAAAAACATATAGGAGGATTTTAGAAGGGACAGTTTTTTTGTTTTATCAAAAATCTTGGAGCCACCCTACTTTTCTTTTTTTTCTTATTTTGGCAGGTGAGTTGTTACACACTCAGTGGATTCCAACTTCTGTGGCCACCATCGTGTTTCCAATCCTACTTTTAAGGAGACAAAAAGTTATGATGATCAAACCTATGTTATAGATAACATGGTACTTACAATATCTTGAGCCTTGAAATACTTGGGGTACCTAATCCAGACCTAGATGTGTGGGAAATCACTGACCTTGCTTAAAAGATCAGCTCCACAAATTTGGGAGTATGGAGAGGGGTCATGGTAATGGTGTCTACAAGTTTAGTTTGAAGTCTCACTGAACTTATTCTATCTGGAATTTTAAGTCATTTAACTAGCCGGGCTCACGCCTGTAATCCCAGCACTTTGGGAGGCCAATCCGGGTGGATCACGAGGTCAGGAGTTCAAGACCAGCCTGACCAACATGGTGAAACCTGGTCTCTACTAAAAATACAAAAATTAGCCAGGCGTGGTGGCGGGTGCCTGCAATCCTAGCTACTCAGGAGGCTGATGGAGGAGAATCACTTGAACCTGGGAGGTGGAGGTTGCAGCAAGCCAAGATCACGCCTGGGTGACAGAGCAAGACTCTGTCTCAAAAAAAAAAAAAAAGTCATTTAACTAAATACAGTAATCAAAACCGGTGTTTATAAATGCTACAAGTTTGGCCTCTAAAGGTGAACCCTGATTCGGACCTGGATTATCTGCCTTTAGCACTCTGCTGCACCCTTGGCTACCAGATTTGACCAGACCAGCACAGCCTAGAGCAAACTGCGCTAATTCTAACCCAGGTCAGAAGCCTATTTACAGTTAACATGATCATATTCTTTTAAGAGTTCCAAGAAGAGATATAGTCAACCCTTTAAGGACATTTAACTCCACCCCTAAGGCAGAAAATTTGACCTTTAAAAAAACAGTTTCTTCTTCCTGCTCAGTAATTAAGGTTTTTAGAGTCAGGTTTCTTTGTAAATTTGATGAAATAAATTACCATACTCCCCAGGAAAAAAGCAAATATACACAAATATTTTCATGCAATGGAGAAGTCAGAAAATTCAGGATTTATTAAGCATCTACTATGGGCTTGGTGCTTCATCTATTTACTTATGAGAATACAGTAAACAACACACACTGTCCTCATCGAGCTTTCATGTAGCATGAAGGATTATAGGAAATAGACAAGATTCCTTCTTTCAATTTTACATAAATAAAAAATAGGCCGGGTGCAGTGGCTGACACCTGTAATCCCAATACTTTGGGAGGCTGAGGCGGGCAGATCACGAGGTCAGGAGTTCGAGACCAGCCTGGCCAACATGGTGAAACCCCATCTCTACTAAAAATACAAAAATTAGCTGGGTGTGGTGGCGGGCACCAGTAATCCCAGGTACTCAGGAGGCTGATGCAGGAGGATCGCTTGAACCCGGGAGGCAGAGGCTGCAGTGAGCTGAGATCACGCCATGGCACTCCAGCCTGGGCAAGAGAGCGAGACTGTCTCAAAAAAAAGAAAAAATAACTCATGCGCAGTGGCTCACGCCTATAATCCCACCACTTCGGAGGTTCAAGACCAGCCTGGCCAACGTGGCGAATTCCCATGTGTACTAAAAATACAAAAAAATTATCCGGGTGTGGTGACATACGCCTGTAGTCCCAGCTACTGGAGAGGCTGAGACAGGAGAATCGCTTGAACCCAGGAGGCAGAGGTTGCAGCAAGCTGAGATCGCGCCACTGCACTCCAGCCTAGGCGACAAAGCAAGACTCCATCTCAAAAAAAAAAAATCATTTTGATCTAGATTCCAAGGAACTATAGCTTTATCTTTATACTAGCTTTTCCTATGGAAGCCTTAGTCTTCAATATATTATGACAAGGAGGGAAGAAAGGGAACAAGAGGGAGAGAATTAGCACTGTGGCCACTAAGAGTATATGGAGGGCATTTTACTTTTCCACTGCATCAAGCTTTTCCTATATTGAAAGAAGCAGAAGAAGCAGTGAACAGAAGAAGCAGTGAAAAAGGTTTAAAAAAACCCTTTGGTTCTGTAAGAATATTGTATGATTTCTTAAACTTCTCCATAGATACTAATTTTGTCATCTCTATTTACCCTTTGGCATTAGCAGAACCACAAAATGAAGAAGAAATACCCACTCGTCTTAGTGCATATTAGGTTAAGAATAAAATGAAAAGACACTTTCAAGGAAATGGAAACATCCAACGAAAAACTTTTTTTTTTGAGACCGAGTTTCACTCTTGTTGCCCAGGCTGGAGTACAATGGCATGATCTCGGCTTGCTGCAACCTCTGGGTTCAAGCGATTCTCCTGTCTCAGGCTCCCAAGTTGCTGAGATTACAGGCATGCACCACCTCGCCCGGCTAATTTTGAATTTTAGTAGAGACAGGGTTTCTCCATGTTGGTCAGGCTGGTCTCAAACTCCCAACCTCAGGTGATCTCAAACTCCCAACCTCAGGTGATCTGCCCGCCTCGGCCTCCCAAAGTGCTGGGATTACAGGCGTGAGCCGGCCAGGAAAAAATTTTATTGCTCATCTCAGAAGATTCATAAGACAGTGAGTGTGCTTTAGTAAGAGAATTTTCCTAGCACAGTACTTCAGAAAAAAAAGGACTTAGTTCTCTAAACTATGTGCAAATTAAAACTGCAGCCTTAAACTTCCTTCTCTGAAAAATCTATCGGCAATATGATTACTAAATGCAAGGATTCTGATTTGTTAGTTATAGGCTTATAAACTGCTACTATATTCCCCTGAGAGTCTTTTGCATGACAAAATTCTTAATACCTACAGACTTGAAGGTATGGCACTTAAAAAAAAAAAAAAAGTTTCCCAGGACTGATTACACTTTGAAAACTGATGTGGGTTCACGACTTCCACAACAATTTTTTCCCATAAACTCTGATACATCTACTTGGTGCCAAACACCGTTAGGCATTGAGGCTCCTAAATGTAAGCAAAAGGGGTCCTGGCCAGGCGCGGTAGCTCATGCCTGTAATCCCAGCACTTTGGGAGGCCGAGGTGGGCAGATTACGAGGTCAGGAGATCAAGACCATCCTGGCTAATACAGTGAAACCCCATCTCTAATAAAAAATAGAAAAAATTAGCCAGGCGTGGTGGCGGGCGCCTGTAAGTCCCAGCTTCTCGGGAGGCTGGGGCAGGAGAATGGCATGAACCCAGGAGGTGGAGCTTGCAGTGAGCGGAGACCATGCCACTGCACTCCAGCCTGGGCAACAGAGCGAGACTTCGTCTCAAAAAAAAAAAAAAAAAAAAAGAAAGAAAAGAAAAAGCGGTCTTCCATTTGACACAATTTTGTTTATTTATTTAATATTTTTAGAGACAGGGTCTTTTGCTCTCTCACCCAGGATGGAGCACAGTGGCATGATCATAGCTCACTGCAGCCTCGACCCCTTGGGCTCAAATGATTCTCCCACATCAGCCTCCCTAAGTAGCTAGGAGCACATGTGTGCCCCACCACACCTGGCAATTTTTTTTTTTTTTTGAGACAGTCTCGCTCTGTTGCCCAGGCAGCAATGGTGTGATCTCGCCTCACCATAACCTCCACCTCCCGGGTTCAAGAAATTCTCCTGCCTCAGCCTCCTAGTAGTTGGGATTACAGGCATATGCCAGCACGCCCCACTAATTTTGTATTTTTAGTAGAGACAGGGTTTTGCCACGTTGGCCAGGCTGGTCTGGAACTCCTGACCGCAGGTGATATGCCCACCTCGGCCTTCCAAAGTGCTGGGATTACAGGCATGAGCAACCATGCCCAGACAGCCTGGCTTATTTTTTAAGAAAAAATTTTTTAGAGATAAGGTCTATGTTGCCCAGGCTGGTCTTGAACTCCTGGGATCAAGCGATCCTCCCACCTCAGCCTCCCAAAGTGCTGGGGGCTACAGGTGTGAGCCACCACACCTGGCGTGTATTTGTGTTTATTAATATTAAAATTTTTTGAGATGGAGTCTCACTCTGTCACCCAGGCTGGAGTGCAGTGGCACAATCTTGGCTCACTGCAACCTCCGCCTGCCGGGTTCAAGCGATTCTCCTGCCTCTGCCTCCTGAGTAGCTGGGACTACAGGCGCACCCCACTAGGCCCAGACAATCTTTTTTTTTTTATTTTTTTGAGAGGGAGTCTCGCTCTGCCGCCCAGGGTCGCTCGGCCTCCCGGGTTCACGCCATTCTCCTGCCTCAGCCTCCCGAGTAGCTGGGACTACAGGCGCCCGCCACCATGCCCGGCTAATTTTTTGTATTTTTAATAGAGATGGGGTTTCACCATGCTGGCCAGGCTCGTCTCGAACTCCTGACCTCAGGTGATCCGCCCTCCTCAGCCTCCCAAAGTGCTGGTATTACAGACGTGAGCCACCATGCCCGGCCCCAGCCTGTATCTCACAAATGTTAACACACACATTAGTGGGAGACCAATCATTACAATCCATTATGATAGAGGGGACTTCCCCAAAATGAAGATTAACAGTACATACAGGCCTGGCGCGTTGGCTCATGCCTGTAATCCCAGCACTTTGGGAGGCCCAGGTGGGAAGATCACCTGAGGTCAGGAGTTCAAGACCAGCCAGGCCAATATGGTGAGACCCTGCCTCTACTAAAAAAAATACAAAAATTAGCCGGGCTTGGGGCGCGAGTCTGTAATCCCAGCTTCTAGGGAGGCTGAGGCAGGAGAATCACTTGAACCCGGGGCGGAGGTTGCAGTGAGCCGAGATCGCGCCCTTGCACTCCAGCCTGGGCGACAGAGTGAGACTCCGTCTCAAAAAAAAAAAAAAGAAAAAAAGAAAAAAACACAGTTCATAAAGTGAACGACCTTGTCAAAACACTGGTTGGAAGCAGGTCTCTTCCCTCCGCACTGTTTCCTATCATATAGCCTTAAGCATTTCCCTCAGGGTTAAAAAAAAAAAAAGTGACAAGGCTGGTTTGTTTTTTTTTTTTCTTTTTCCAGAGGGAGTCTCGCCCTGTCGCCCATGCTGGAGTGCAAAGGCGCGATCTCGGCTAACTGCAACCTCCGCCTCCGGGTTCAGCTTCCCGAGTAGCTGGGATTACAGGCGCGCGCCACCACGTCCGGCTAATTTTCTATTTTTAGTAGAGACCGGGGTTTCACCATTTTGGCCAGGCTAGTCTCGGACTCCTGACCTCAGGTGATCCGGCCGCCTCGGCCTCCCAAAATACTGGGATTACAGGCGTGAGCCACTGCCCCTGGCCACAAGGCTGTTTTCAATCCTTGCACAGATCTCTGTCCGACTAGGCACAGTGAATACCCTTGGAAAACAGGGAATGCTGAGGTGGGAGGCAAAGAGCCAGGGCGTTCAAGAAGGCAGCGCGCAGGCAAGCGGGCAGTGCCCAAGACCCGAGCAAAAGTCACATGAGCTGCGGGGCAAATCTCCGTCCTCAGGCCGACCTCTTGGATCTGGTGACTTGGAGCAAGGGACCTTCCTGCGGCATCTGGGCGGCTCAAGGCCCGCGGCCTTCCCTAGGCGGGCTCCAGCCCACTCCCCGGGACTGCCGCCGCGGCTTCGTAAGACCCAACCAAGCCCCTCACCTGCTTTTGCACGTCAGCATCGCTGAGAGCCATGGCGAGAGCAATGCTAGGCCGGTGAACAGTAGGCTCGAGTTTAGGTTTGAAAGGTGAGGTGAGAGAAATCGGCAAAGGGAACCCCTGCGCAGATCTCGGGTTCCTTTACTTTATAACCGCGGGTTCCGGTTCCTGCCAGGTGACTGCACAGTTCATCCTCATGACCCTTCTCAGCCAATGGGAAGAGAGCGACGCCCAGGAAGTCCCGCCCTGTCCCGGCCTGTGGGCGCGTCCTCGGGTCCTTCTACGTCGCTGACTCGTGACCTGACCGGTATTTTTTTCCTAAACTGGGATCTTGGGTAGGAGGAAGAAAAGATAAGGAGTTCCTCTATCTGAAATTAGTCGGGCTGTTTTGAGGAGTACTGGTTAGGTATATTGGAGAATGTGCCTTTATTGGAATTTTTCGCATAATTACACAGGGTTATGGGCTTAGGGGTACATGATTGTTGGCCGGGCGTGGTGGCTCACGCCTGCAATCCGGAGACTTTGGGAGACCAAGGCGGGTGTATCGCTTGACCTCAAGTTCGAGACCAGGCTGGACAACATAGAGGAACCCCGTCTCTACCAAAAGAAAAAAAAAAGGGGGATACATGATTTCTGACTATTCATGTCAACCTTGATTACCTGAATAAAGTGTAGGGTTTGTAGGTTTCTCCACTCTGAAGTTACCTTTTTTAACCCCCTTTCCATACTGTAGTCTTAGGAAGGAAGCCACTATACAAAGCCCACACCTAGGGAGTGGGAAGCTATGCTCAACTTCCTTATTAGGGTGGAGCAGCTACATAATTTATTTGGAACTTTTCTGAGATAGCCTATATATTTTTCAAAAGCCTTCCCAGGTCCCATTTAGAGGAATATTAGGACAGAAATCCCCCCAGGCTCATTTGTTTTTATTTGGATTTACCTCAAGCCCGTTTTTTTCCCCAAAATCCCAAAGGCAAAAACTTTTGAAAATTCCTTTATCTTTAGGATAGACTGACTCCTAATAGTAGAATAAGAGGTCAAATGGTACACCCACTTTTTTCTTTTTACTGTGCTATGGTTACCCACCATTTTTATTAGCTTTTTATCTTGAAGAAATTTGAGATATAGTAACTTGTAAGAATACTGCATTGACCTCCCTTCACCTAGATTCAACAATTGTTAACATTTTGCTACATGTACATTAACACTTTATTTTCATACACACACACACACACACACACACACACACTTCCTATTTTAGTGTGTCATAAGAACGAGGATGTAGCAAATTCAGGAAATTTAGTTTACTAGGCTGAACATTAATTTCCTTTGTCCCGGGCCAGGCGCGGTGTCTCACGCCTGTAATCCCACCACTTTGGGAGGCTGAGGTGGGCAGATCACCTGAGGTCGGGATTTCGAGACCAGCCTGACCAACATGGAGAAACCCCAGTCTCTACTAAAAATACAAAATTAACAGGCGTGGTGGTGTGTGCCTGTAATCCCAGCCACTGGAGAGGCTGAGGCAGGAGAATTGCTTCAACCCAGGAGCAGAGGTTGCGGTGAGCCAAGATCGTGCCACTGCACTCCAGCCTGGGCAATAAGAGTGAGACTCCGTCTCAAAAAAACAAAAAAAAAAAAAACAAATTCCTTTGTCCCATCAATCCATCAATGTACTTTATAACCCTTTCTTTTTTTTTTGAGACAGAGTCTCACTCTGTCGCCCAGGCTGCAGTGCAACGGCATGGTGTCAGCTCACTACAACCTCTGCCTCCCGGGATCAAGTGATTCTCCTCCCTCAGCCTCCCAAGCAGCTGGGATTACAGGTGCCTGCCACCATGCATGGCTAATTTTTGTATTTTTAGTAGAGATGAGGTTTCACTGTGTTGGCCAGGCTGGTCTTGAACTGCTGACCTCGTGATCCACCTGCCTCGGCCTCCGAGAGTGCTGGGATTACAGGTGTGAGCCACTGCACCCGGCCTTCTTTTTCTTTTCTTTTTTTTTTTTTTTTTGAGATGGAGTCTCGCTCTGTTGCCCAGGCTAGAGTGCAGTGGCAGAATCTCGGCTCACCACAACCTCCGCCTCCCGGGTTCAATTGATTCTCCTGCCTCAGCCTCCCCAGTAGCTGAGATTACAGGCATCTGCCACCACGCCCAGCTAATTTTTGCATTTTTAGTAGAGATGGGGTTTCAACACATTGGCCAGGGTGGTCTTGAACTCCCGACCTCAGGTGATCTGCCTGCCTCCACCTCCCAAAGTGCTGGGATTACAGACGTGAGCCACCGCGCCCAGCCATAACCTTTTTTTAATAACCTTACTTTTTAACCTTTTATAACCTTCTTATAACCTTACTTTATAACCTTTATAACCTGGATTGGATCCAGGGTCACTTACTGCATTAGTGATCATGTCTTTTTAGTCTCCTTTAATATGGAAGAGTTTCCTCAGACTTATCTTTCTTGATAGTGACATTTTGAAGAATATAGGCCAGTTGTAGAAAATCACTCAATTTTTTTTTTTTTTGAGACAGAAGAGTGTCGCTCATGCTGGAGTGCAGTGGTGCAAACTCGGCTCACTGCAACCTCCACCTCCTGGGTTCAAGAGATTTTCCTGCCTCAGCCTCTCCAGTAGCTGGGATTACAAGCGCCCGCCACCACGCCCCGCTAATTTTTTCTTTTTGGTAGAAACAGGGTTTTGCCACATTGGCCAGGCTGTTCTTGGAACTCCTGAGCTCAGATGATCTGCCTGCCTTGGCATCCCAAAGTGCTGGGATGACAGGTGTGAGCCACCACGCCCAGCCTCAATTGGGTTTTGACAGTTTCCTCATAATTAGATTCAGGTTACGCATTATAGCAGGAGTACTACATGTGTGATATTGTGTCCTCTTTGCAACACATCAGAAAGTACATGATGTCCGTTTGTCCCTTTTTTTCAATTTTATTTTTAAAATTGAGACAGAGTCCTACAGTGTTTGTCAGGCTAGTCTCGAACTCCTGGGCTCAGGGGATCCTCCCACCTCAGCTCTTTGTCCTTTTAGTAGGAATGGTACGTGTGTGTATGTATGTGTGTGTGTGTATATATATATATATATATATATATATATATATATATTTTTTTTTTTTTTTTTTTTTTTTTTTTTTTTGAGATGGAGTTTCGCTATTGTTGCCCAGGCTGGAGTGCAGTGGCGCAGTCTCAGCTCACTGCAACTTCCACCTCCCGGGTTCAAGTGATTCTTCTGCCTCAGCCTCCTGTGTAGCTGGGACTATAGGCGCGTGCCACCACACTCAGCTAATTTTTGTATTTTTAGTAGAGATGGGGTTTCACCATATTGGCCAGGCTGATCTCGAACTCCTGACCTCGTGATCTGCCCGCCTTGGCATCCCAAAGTCTTGGGATTACAGGCGTGAGCCACGGCGCCTGGCCGGTACACATATTTTGAAGGCTGTTAATACATGCTGCCATTTTTTCCCCATTTGTACTAGTGTACAATGTTCCTTGTACTGTATGACAGATTGGTATACATATTTGGTATACATATTTGAGAATACTGATAATGCTGGATAAAGGAAAGATTTACCCACAGGACAATAAACGTTGCCATTTATTAATATATTTATTAATACATGCTGCCATTTTTTCCATTTGTACTAGTGCACAGTGTTCCTTGTAGGACAGATTGGTGTACATATTGGTATATATATTTGAGAGTACTGATAATGCTGGATAAAGGAAGGATTTAGTCACAGAACAATAACACAGGGCAAGAGAAACTGATGCAATTGACCTTAACTTGATCACTATTGAGCTAAACTAGATTGGATTATTTGTCTAATTTTGTTCATCTTTTGCATTAATAGCCTCATTCTTCATTGTCCTAAAAAACAGATTGCAGGAGTATGGAATATGCTAGAGGACTATTCTACCCTCTAGCATCCCTAGGTCAGGTTGAGGTGGAATTAACACATTTTGATTACAATCTCTCCTGTATTTTTACAGTGTTCTGCAAATGACAGGATTTGGGGAGTAGAAACAGCAGTCTAATTCTACATGTCAAATTGTTTCTGAAATTAATATCTGGAATGGATGTAGCACTGTCTAGATCAACCGTGCTTTTGTTTTTTGGAAAACAGTGTGATAATCTTTATGATTCTTCTTCTTTTTTTTTTTTTTTTTTGGAGATGGGAGTCTTGCTCTGTCACCAGGCTGGAGTGCAGTGGTGCAATCTTGGCTCACTGCAACCTCTGCCTCCCGGGTTCAAGCAATTCTCCTGCCTCAGCCTCCCGAGTAGCTGAGACTACAGGCATGTGCCACCATGCCCAGCTAATTTTTGTATTTTTAGTAGAGACAAGGTTTCACCATGTTGGCCAGGTTGGTCTCGAACTCCTGGCCTCAGGTGATCCACCCGCCTCAGCCTCCCAGAGTGCTAGGATTACAGGCATGAGCCACTGCGCCTGACCACGATTTACTTATTTTTATTTTGAGACATTAGAAAATACAAAAAAGTACAAAGAATAATTTATTCCCATACCATGCACCACTACCCAAAATTAACAATTAACATTTGTCACATTTACTTCAAGACTTCACTTGAAAAACAAATCGTAGGTATAGTTACTATCCCCTTTTGCAGCACCCACTTCTCCCCCATGTTAGTTTCTCTTTAAAACTCAATTTTCTTCAGTTTTGCTGATTCACCAAGGAACAGGCCAGGTCCTGTCTGAAAAGAATGTAAGCTTTACAGAGATAACCTCTGAAGGGAAAAAGTTGTTATGAATACATGCAAAGATGAGCCAGTTGGTAGTTTTCCAAATGTAATTTTCTCCTACATTCTTAGGCCTTGTGGAGACACTTTAAAACATATTTTCAGACAAGTTTCAAAAAACTCCCTCCTAGATAAGCCTATTTGTGGCTTCACCAAAGTCACTGGCCTAGATTCCTGTCAGGTTAGTCAGAAAGGGACGGTTCATGTGCTCTCACCTACTCCCAGGCAGGTTTACTAGATACTGAATCAGCAGGATAAATAAGCTAACTCTGGAGTTTGCTCAGGAGGACAAAGCGCGAAAGACTAGAAGTAAATGTAAATCATCTGTCTTTAAATGTTGAGCAAATAATTTGAAAAGGAAAAAACAAAGTGTAGCCAAAAAATAGTAACTCTAACTTAGGTGTCTGCACTTTTTGCCTCTTTCCAGCCAAATTTCTATGCTACAGTGATTTAAAACCTAGATGGCAGATGGCATCAAGTCACTCCCCAATTTACAACTCTGTCATGGCTTCTGCTTGCTCCTGAAGCCTTCCGCTGGCTCTAGTAGATGAGACCACTGGATCTGGCCCTGTATGCTTGCCTGCCCTCATTACCCCTCCTCCCTTTGCACACCACCTCAAAGCTTTACTGGTTGCCTTTCAGTTTTTTTGAAAACATCTATTTTTCTGCTTGAGAAGTTATTTTCCTCCACTTACCACTTAACTTGTTTTTCATCCTTTAGGTCTCAAAATCTCTTTGAGGAGAGCTTATCCTGGTCACTCTCTCACCTTCTTCTCTATTCCAGTCCCTTGTCTGTTTCAGGACATGCCACCACCTTTTTTTTGTTTGTCTTGTTTTGTTTTTTTGAGACGGAGTCTCACTCTGTTGCCCAGGCTGGAGTGCAGTGGAGTGATCTCGGCTCAACACAACCTCCACCTCCCAGGTTCAAGCCATTCACCTGCCTCAGTCTCCCGAGTAGCTGGGACCACAGGCATGAGCCACCATGCCCGGCTAATTTTTTGTATTTTTAGTAGAGACGAGGTTTCACTATGTTAGCCAGGCTGGTCTGGAACTTCTGACCTTATGATCCACCTGCCTCAGGCTCCCAAAGTGTTGGGACTACAGGCGTGAGCCATCGCACCCAGCCCATGCCATCATCTTAAATTATTTTTACTTTTTTCTGTTTCAATGTTTTTCTTTTCTGGTTTTCCAACTAAGATGTTAGCTTCACAAGAGGGACCGCGTCTGATGTACTCATCATTGCTTTTGCTAGCACCCAGCACCCTGCCTGGTTAATGGCAGGGATTCAATAAACAATTGATTGGCCAGGCGTGGTGGCTGGCACCTGTAATCCTAGCACTTTGGGAGGCTGAGGCAGGCGGATCACTTGAGCCCAGGAGTTTGAGACCAGCCTGGGCAACATAGTGGGACACCTGCCTCTACAAAAAAAAATTAAATAAATTAGCCAGGCTTTCTGGTGCATGCCTGTAGTCCTTGCTACTTGGGAGGATGAGGCCAGAGGATTGCTTGAGCCTGGGAAGTCAAGGCTAGAGTAAGTCATGATCACATCACTGTACTCTAGCCTGGGTAACAGAGTGGAAGTGGAGACTCTGTCTCAAAAGGAAAAAAAAAAAAAAAGCAACAAACAACTGATGAATGCAAATGAATAAAATGAGTAGAGTCTAGTTTAGAGTCGATAACCACATTAGCCTGTAGGCTAGAGATCTGTAGCGCCTATTAAAATCTGTCCAAAACTCCCCCGAAAACTGACCAGGTGCAGTGGCTCATGCCTATAATCCCAGCACTTCAGGAGGCCAAGGCAGGTGGATCACTTGAGGCCACAAGTTCAAGACCAGCCTGGACAACACAGCAAGACGCTATCTCTACAAAAAAAAAACTAAAAAATTAAATAAAAAAGGGCCGGGTGTGGTAGCTCACACCTGTAATCCCAGCACTTTGGGAGACTCAGGCGGGCGGATCACAAGGTCAGGAGTTTGAGACCAGCCTAGCCAACATGGTGAAACCCCATCTCTACTAAAACAAAAGCAAATTAAATAAAAAAACTCCAAATACCATAAACTGCTGTGATTAAAGTCAAATGATTTCTATAAAAGGGCTATATTATTTTATGCAATTTGCTGAAAAGACAATCTCTTTCCTCATTGAAATGCCTTAGCACTTCTGTTGAAAATTAGTTAACAATTCTAGGTTTTCTGTTCTGTTCCATTGACCTGTATGTCTAGTCTCAAAATATATATTCAAAAAATAAAATTAAAAAGGGAAGGCCAGGAACTTTAGGAGGCCAAGATGGGAGAATTGCTTGAGGCTAGGAGTTTCTGAGCAGCCTGGGGAACATACCCATTTCCACAAAAACAATCTTTTTTTTTTTTTAGACAGAGTCTCACTCTGTCGCCCAGGCTGGAGTGCAGTGGTGCGATCTCGGCTCACTGCAACCTCCGCCTCCCGGGTTCAAGTGATTCTTCTGCCTCAGCCTCCCCAGTAGCTGGGACTGAAGGTGCGCGCCACCATGCCCAGCTAATTTTTTGTATTTTTAGTAGAGACGGGGTTTCACTGTGTTGGCCAGGATGGTCTCCATCTCCTGACCTCGTGATCCGTCCCCCTTGGCCTCCCAAAGTGCTGGGATTATAGGCGTGAACCACCACGCCCGGCCTACAAAAACATCTTTTAAAAAGTAGCCATGTGTGGCCTGGGGCGGTGGCTCACGCCTGTAATCCCACCACTTTGGGAGTCTGAGGTGGGTGGATCACTTGGGGTCAGGAGTTCGAGAGCAGCCTGGCCAACACACTGAAACCCCGTCTCTACTAAAAATACAAAATGTAGCCAGGCATAGTGGTGCACACCTGTAGTCCCAGCTACTTTGGAGGCTGAGGCAGGAGAATCACTTGAGCCCAGGAGGCTGAGGTTGCAGTGAGCCAAGATCTGCCACTGCACTCCAGCCCAGGCAACAGAGGGAGACTCCGTCTCAAAAAAAAGAAAAAAAAAAAAAAAAGCTACATGTGGTGGCACAAGCCTGTGGTCCTTGATACTTGGGAGGCTGAGGTGGAACAATTGTGAGCCCAGGAGGTCCATGATGCAGTGAGGTATGATTGTACCACTGCACTCCAGGCTGGGTAACAGAAGCGACACCTTGTCTCTAAAAAAATAAATAAGACCAGGCATGGTGGCTCACGACTGTAATCCCAGCACTTTGGGAGGCCGAGAGGGGTGATCACCCAAGGCCAAGAGTTGGAGACCAGCCTGGCCAACATGGCGAAACCCTATCTCTACTAAGAATACAAAAAAAAAATATTAGCCAGGTGTGGTGGTGGGTGCCTGTAATCCCAGCTACTCAGGAGGCTGAAGCAGGAGAATCGCTTGAACCCAGGAGGTGAGGTTCAGTGAGCTGAGATCGCGCCATTGCACTACAGCCTGGGTGACAGAGCAAGACTCTGTCTCGAGAAAATAATAATAAAAAATAAATAAATAAATAAAGGAAAAGACTGAGAGCAATGTGAAAGAAATGAACTTAAGTATGTACCAAATTGGTAACATAAGTACCTCCCAAAATAAATTATTGCATGTTACATTTTTGAAAGTTTTTTTAGGTAAAGTGTACATACAGTGAACTGCACAGACCTTAAAAGTAAAATTAGGGCCGGGCGCGGTGGCGCACCCCTGTAATCCCAGCACTTTGGGAGGCTGAGGCAGGCGGATCTCTTGAGGTCAGGAGTAGGAGACTAGCCTGGCCAACATGGTGAGACCCCGTCTCTATTAAAAATTTTTAAAAAGCCAGGCACGGTGGCTCACGTCTGTAATCCCAGCACTTTGGGAGGCCAAGGCGAGTGGATCACCTGAAGTCAGGAGTTCAAGACCAGCCTAACCAACGTGGAGAAACTCTGCCTCTACTAAAAATACAAAAATTAGCTGGGCATGGTGGTGGGTGCCTGTAATCCCAGCTACTTGGGAGGCTGAGGCAGGAGAATCGCTTGAACCCGAAAGGCAGAGGTTGCAGTGAGCTGAGATCGCGCCCCTGCACTCCAGCCTGGGCGACAGAGTGAGACTCTGCCTCAAAAAAAAAAAAAAAAAGTCTTCATTTTTGGTTACCCATTTCACTGCAACCTTTGCCTCCCAGGCTCAAGCGATTCTCCTGCATCGGCCTCCCAAGTAGCTGGGATTACAGGCGCGTGACACCATACCTGGCTAATTTTTTGTGTTTTTAGTACAGATGGGGAGTTTCACCATGTTGGCCAGGCAGGTCTGAAACTCCTGACCTCAAGTGATCCGCCCACCTTGGCTTCTCAAAGTGCTGGGATTACAGGAGTGATCCACCACACCCGGCCTGTACTATTAGTTTTCCAAGGTCACTAAGCCTTTCCTTTGCAAAACTTTATGTCCCTATTAATGGCACCATCCTTTCCTCAGTCACTCGGGCTTAAAAAGCATCCTGTGGCACCAGCCCCACAATAGCAGTTCAACTCTTTTATCACTTCCTTTAGAATAGCCTTGTTGAGATATAGATCTCATAACATAGAATTCACCTATAGTGTACAATTCAGTAGTTTTCAGTATTTCAAAGAGTCGTGCCACCATCACCCCAAAAAGAAACTCTGTATCCACTGGCAGTCACTCCCCATCAGGATTTTATCACTTCTGATCTGGCTCAGTCTTCTAACTCCTTATTGTCAATGCCCTCCTTGTTCCAATTCAGTACACACACCACGGGCAATTTGATCTCCCTAAAACACACTGTATCCTCTCTCCTAGATACCTTCCGATACTCCTCCAAAGAACTCTCGGATTCAAGTAAACAAACATCCATTAATACAAGTTAAGTATGTTCCAGGCGCTGTGTGTTCCAGGTACTGTTAACAAAAGCGGGTTACTAGTTAAGACTTCCTTCATGCCCTGGCGCCTCTGCTCAGCCAGTTCCCTTCGCCTAGGAGGACCTCTCTACACCACCCCGCTATATTCCCTCCCCGGAATTCCTTCCCAACCTTCAAGGACCATCTGCCCCAACTAGTGGCGAACATCGAGGCTGTCGTGACTGTGTAGATACTTATTTGACCTGCTCCCTTGGCAAACACTTGAAACGCAATACATGTTTGTGGAACTGAACATAGCCTGTGCATGCAGCAAGGCTTCTTTCCCTGGAATCGCCTGCCCTTCCTCCAACACAGCGACCAGCCGGTCAGAATCCCAACCCCTCGACTCCGGAAATGATCTGAGAGACGGAACTTCCGAACGTCGCAATCAGATTTGGGCGGGCTAGGAGGGTTTGGGTCTTCAGGTCACATCTGGACGGAGAGACCTCCGGGGCCTCCGTTGGTCGGTCCTTCCGCTCCGGATACCGTTCCGGATGTCAGGTAGTTCAGGTCCCGCCCCGACGCCGGCCGTGACGAAGGCACGCCGGGGTGACCTCACCCTCCAACATGGCGGCGGCGGTAGATTAGGGCCGCGGGTCGGAGCACTCACCGCCGCTGGGGGACCCTGTCGGAAGCAACTGCCGCCGCCGCCTCTTTCATCTCTTCTGGGGCAGGGGCCAGGGCCAGGTGAGGGGAGTGGGGTTCCGGGAAGGCTGAGCTGGGTGAGGAGGTGGTTTTCACCTGGGTAGGAAAGTGCCCAGAGACCGTATCGAGCCACCGACTCCCCAGTGGTTCCGACGACGCGTGAGTTTGAGTGTGTGTGTCTACACCGGCGCTCCTTCGCCCGAAGGTGCTCGGAGCTTAGGGGTCCGCTTCACCGTGACCGGACCTGGCCGCGCGGCCCCGCCGCTGAGCAGGCTTCTTCCGGCGTGGGGTGCCGGAGGCGGAGGAGCTCGGCCCTGGCTCCACGCCGCTGTCCTTCCCCACAGACAGCTTCACGTGGAAAACCCGGGTCCATTTTTAGGGCTAAACTGGGGAACGGCGACTTCTTTTTGGTTGAGGGAAAGGTTTTCCTGCGATTCACTTAGAACACTGGAAGATTAGCTTTGCCAGTCTTAGTCGTTTCTTCTCAGAGATTGTTAGAAGTCTTGTTTCTTAACCTTAATTCACTGCTGTTCTGACACCTATTTTTTCAGAAAAAAACTGCCTTCTTGCCCTTGGAGGCAGTACAGTTCACACGGAGTCATTTTCCCCCTTTGATTTATCCTCCCAACATTCTGTAAAGATCCTATTTCTTGCCTTCATAACCGACTTTCTGAGTGGAGGCTCTAACCTAGCGTTGAAAATCGGACGGATCTGGCCAGTTGTTCACATGCTGTTGACTGCTGGCTTTGGTTAGCTCTTAGCCACTCCCTGCACAAGTGTTTGTTTATTCAAAATAGCTATCTCACTGTCTCTGTTTAGAAGTTTGAACTAAGCTGAGAGCCCTCCCTCCTTACTTTTATTTTTTTGTTGTTGTTGCGTAAAACAAAACAAAAACTTCTTTGGCGAAATTATAAGATTTCCTCTGGAGGTTTAGTATAAAGCAGAATGTTGCTCTCTGCCCTGACTAGTGTGACCTTGGATGAGTTGCCACACCCTTCAGATACCTTCTTTCTTTTTTTTTTTTTTTGAGACAGAGTTTCCCTCTTGTTGCCTAGGCTGGAGTGCAATGGCGCGATCTCAGCTTACCGCAACCTCCGCCTCCTGGGTTCAAGCCATTCTCCTGCCTCAGCCTCCCGAGTAGCTGGGATTACAGGCATGCGCCACCACGCGGGGCTAATTTTGTATTTTTAGTAGAGACGGGGTTTCATCATGTTGGTCAGGATGGTCTCGAACTCCCAATCTCTGGTCATCCCCCCGCCTCAGCCTCCCAAAGTGTTGGGATTACAGGCGTGAGCCACCGCGCACGGTGATACCTTTTTTTCAACCACCCCCGCGCCACCGCATGAAGTATTATTTTCATTTTTAACACCCTCTCTCCCCCAAGTGAAGTATTCTTCATTTGGTAATAGGCAGTTAAGGGTATTGAAAATCTTTTTACTAGGAATGGTCAGGTACTGTTCTGTATTTTTTTTCCAATGGCTCATTTTTTATGTGGAAGAGTATATTCAGTAGTTGGATTCACTTTTTATTTTATTTTTAGTTGTCTCCTACAGCAAGGACCAGTAGTTGAATTCAATTGAAAGATGCCTAAGGCTATATCTAACCAGTCTTGTAAAAAAACAGACTTGTGTTTACTAGCACATAATCTAATCAACATGTATTAAATATCACACACATTAAGCTTTTAGGACAAGTGGTTTGCAACAGTAATAATCATTAACAACATTTCATTTGGCTGTTTGCGATGGCTCACTGTAATCCCAGCACTTTGGGAGGCTCAGGCAGGAGCATTGCTTGAGCCCGGGAGTTCGAGACCAGCCTGGGCAACATAAGGAGACCTTGTCTTCACAAAAAATTAAAAAAAAAAAAAATTAGCCAGGCATAGGTCCCAGCTACTTGGAAGACTGAGGCGAGAGGGAGGACTGCTTGAGCCCGGGAGATCAAGGCTGCTGTGAGCTGTGATTGCTCCACTGTACTTCAGTCTGGATGACAGAGACCCTGACTCAAAAAATATATATATGTTTGTTTATTAATTTTTTATATATATATATATATTTTTTTTTTGAGGCGGAGTGTCGCTCTGTCGCCCAGGCTGGAGTGCAATGACACGATCTCGGCTCACTGCAAGCTCTGCCTCCTGAGTTCACACCATTCTCCTGCCTCAGCCTCCCGAGTAGCTGGGACTACAGGTGCCCGCCACCGCGACAGGCTAATTTTTTGTATTTTTAGTAGAGACGGGGTTTCACCGTGTTAGCCAGGATGGTCTCGATCTCCTGACCTCGCGATCTGCCCGCCTCGGCCTCCCAAAGTGCTGGGATTACAGGCATGAGCCACTGCGCCCGGCCTAAATAGATATGTATTTTATTGTGAAATACTTCAGGCATACAAAACACAAGTGTTAAACATTCACTTAGTTCCAGTCTGCATTTATCATTTTTTAGACAGGATTTTGATTTGTATCTTATTCCAAATAAATGTTCACCAAGAGTTCTTGTTTAATATATATACAAAGTGGGGGTGGGTGGTATTTTCAGATTGGTTTATTTTTTTTTCTTGTTCTTCCTCAGACGGTAATGTGCCAATAAGCCCATGAGGCAACATGATTTGAGGGAGGCACATGTCATGCATTAGCATGAAACCCAGTCATCTTGGTTCTTTATGAACCGCAAAAGGATTGGAGTAGCTGATTTTTTTTAACAACTTTATTGACATATAATTAACGTACCATACAACTCACCATTGTACAATTCAGTACTTTTTAGTATATTCACAGAGTTGTGCACCCACCACCACAATCATTTTCATCACCTCAAAAAGAGACTCCCATACCCATTAGCAGTCATTCTTTATTACTGGTCCTCCTACCCCCACCCTTGGGCAACCACTGATCTACTTTCTGTCTATGGATTTGCCTATTCTGGAGATTTCACAAAAATGGGATCACATAATATGTGTTTTTTTTTTTTTTTTTTTGAGAATGAGTCTCACTCTGTCGCCCAGGCTGGAGTGCAGTGGTGCCATCTCGACTCACTGCAAGCTCCGCCTCCCGGGTTGACGCCATTCTCTTGCCTCAGCCTCCTGAGTAGCTGGGACTACAGGCGCCCGCCACCACGCCCGGCTGATTTTTTGTATTTTTAGTAAAGACGGGGTTTCACTGTGTTAGCCAGGATGGTCTCCATCTCCTGACCTTATTATCTGCCCATGTCGGCCTCCCAAAGTGCTGGGATTACAGGTGTGTGCCACCGCGCCTGACCAATATGTGGTCTTTTGTGTCTGGCTTCTCTCTTTTTTTTTTTTTTTTTTTTTGAGACGGAGTCTCACTGTCGCCAGGCTGGAGTGCAGTGGCATGATCCCACTGCAACCTCGGACTCCCAGGTTGAACCTAACTCAGTCCCAAAGTAGACTGAGACTGTAACTCAGTCTCAGTAACTGTAACTCAGAGTAGCTGGGATTACAGGTGCGTGCCACCACACCCAGCTAATTTTTGTATTTTTAGTAGAGACGGGGTTTTGCCATGTTGGCTAGGCTGGTCTCCAGCTCCTGATCTCAGGTGATCCACCTACCTTGGCCTCCCAAAGTGCTGGGATTACTGGCGTGAGCCACCACGCCCGGCCTGTCTGGCTTCTTTCACTTAGCATAATGTTTTCAGAGTTTATCCAAGATGTAGTGTGTATCAGTACTTTATTCCTTTTTATTGCTGCATTCTATTCCATTGTGTGGACATACCACATTTTAAAAATAAGTTGATGGGCATTTTTTTTTTTTTGAGATGGCATTTCACTCTTGTTGCCCAGGCTGGAGTGCAATAGTGCCATCTCAGCTCACCTCAACCTCTGCCTCCTGGGTTTAAGCGATTCTCCTGCCTCAGCCTTCCAAGTAGCTGGGATTATGGGCACACACCACCATACCCAGCTAATTTTTTTTGTATTTTTTGTAGAGATGGGGTTTTTCCATGTTGCTGAGGCTGGTCTCAAATTCTTTGACTCAAGTGATCCTCTTGCCTCTGCCTCCCAAAGTGCTGGGATTATAGGCATGAACCACCACACCTGGTCTGTAATGCTGCTTTGAGCATTCATGTGCAAATTTTTGTGCAGATGCGTTTTCATTTTTCTCTGGTATATATCTGGAAGTGGAACAGAGTAACTGAATTTTATGTCCTCCATTTACACAAGCCATATACAGGAAGCCTAATTATTGTGAAAGTCAGATTATCTAGGACGGGATGAAAGTAAGGCAGTTCTCTGAATTATCTGCAAATGCCAACTGCTGAGTGAAAATATTTTTGGGTAGCTCTAACACAAGATTGAACAATTAGGCCTGTTTTAATTGGAAAGGGGGTAGTGTCTACACTAGAGTTTTAGTGTCTGCTGAGTTTTAAAAATGATACTTGTCCAGTTGCATTTTTCAGATGGGTGGGGTGAATTTTTTACCATTTGATAATTTTTTTTTTTGAGATGCAGTTTCACTCTTGTGAGGTCTTCACTCCCGACCTCAGGTGATCCGCCCGCCTTAGCCTCCCAAAGTGCTGGGATTACAGGTGTGAGCCACCGCGCCCGGCCATTTCATAATTTTTATTAGAATTATTTTACTCTCTTTCAGAGAAAGTCTTACAATTCAATAGGAGCTGGCAAAGCATGGATTAGAAAATAGCTTTGGACTCCATGTTAACTTGTGGAACTTAAAAAAAATTCCCTGTTCAAGCCACCAGTGAGTCATGAGACTAAAGAGCTGATAGCCAAGAAACTTAATGTTTTGTTGTTGTTGTTTGCTTTTTTATTTTTATTTTATTTATTTATTTTTTGAGATGGAGTCTCACTCTGTCGCCCAGACTGGAGTGCAGTGGTGCGATCTCGGCTCACTGCACGCCCCGCCTCCTGGGTTCATGCCAGGAGGTGTGTAGCTGGGACTACAGGCACTCGCCACCATGCCCGGCTAATTTTTTGTATTTTTAGTAGAGATGGGGTTTCACCGTGTTAGCCAGGATGGTCTCGATCTCCTGATCTTGTGATCCGCCCTCCTTGGCTTCCCAAAGTGCTGGGATTACAGGCGTGAGCCACGGCGCCCGGCCAACTTTTTTATTTTGAGACAGAATCTCACTCTGTTGTCCAGGCTGGAGTGCAGTGGTGCAATCTCGGCTCACTGCAAACTCCGCTTCCTGGGCTCAAGCCTGATTCTCCTGGCTCAGCCTCCTGAGTAGCTGGGAATACAGATGCACACCGCCACACCCAGCTAATTTTTGTATTTTTGGTAGAGATGGGATTTCACCATGTTGGCCAGGCTGGTCTCGAACTCCCGACCTTAGGTGATCTGCCCATCTGGTCTCCCAAAGTGCTAGGATTACAGGCATGAGCAACTTTGCCTGGTCTTTTAATGTTTAAAATTACAGCTTTTTGATTTGTGATGGATTTATCTGTGAATTTTTATTTTTCTCTTTATAAACTGGGATTATAGTTGTGTTCAACTCTGTATTACTGGAGCATTTAATAATTCTTTTTTTTTTTTTTTGAGACAGATTCTTGCTCTGTCACAAGGCTGAAGTGCAGTGGCACTATCTCGGCTCACTGCAATCTTTGCCTCCTGGGTTCACGCCATTCTCCTCTCTCAGCCCCCTGAAGTAACTGGGACTACAAGTGCGTGCCACCACGCCCAGCTAATTTTTGTATTTTTAGTAGAGACAGGGTTTCACCACGTTGGCCAGGATGGTCTCAATCTCTTGACCTCGTGATCCGCCTGCCTTGGCCTTCCAAAGTGCTGGGATTATAGGTATGAGCCACCACGCCCGACTGCATTTAATAATCTTATAATATTTTAGTGGAAGGAAATTTAGAAACAGGTTTTTGAAATAATTTATTAAAATGTGTTAAACTATAGGGTGTTTTGGTTTTCGTTCTGTGAGGTTAGAGAATACAGTATAAGTGTGATACTCTAAATTAGTATATCTAATGTGAGTGCTAGGAATTTCTTTTTTTTTTTTTTTTCTTTTTGAGACGGAGTCTTGCTCTGTCATCAGGCTGGAGTGCAGTGGCACAATCTCAGCTCACTGCAACCTCTGACTCCCTGGTTCAAGGGATTCTCCCACCTCAGCCTCCTGAGTAGCTGGGATTATAGGCACACGCCACCATGCCTGGCTAATTTTTTGTATTTTTAGTAGAGACGAGGTTTCACCATGTTGGCCAGGATGGTCTCGATCTCCTAACCTCGTGATCCACCCACCTCGGCTTCCCAAAGTGCTGGGATTACAGGCATGAGTCACCACACCCAGCCTAGGAATTTCTTTTTAAATAGGCATCCAAAGTAATTTGATGGGACAAGTTTGGGAAACAAATACAAAAGACTGTCATGTTGCTGCATATTTGCTTTACATAAGAACTAATAGTAGGATTTTTTTTTTTTTTTTTTTTTGGAGGCAGAGTCTCACTCTGTCACACAGGCTGGAGTGCAATCTAGGCTCACCGCAACCTCTGCTTTCTCGGTTCAAGCGATTCTCATGCCTCAGCCTCCTGAGTAGCTGGGATTACAGGCACACACCATCACGCCTGGCTAATTTTTTTATTTTTAGTAGAGACAGGGTTTCACCATGTTGGCCAGGCTGGTCTCTAACTCCTGGCCTCAAGTAATCCACCCACCTTGGCTTCCCAAAGTGCTGGGAAGTATAGGCGTGAGCCACCATGCCTGGTTTATAGTAGGATTTAATAGCTGCTGTGTACCTTCTGATTATGTTTCATAAAATGTGTCTAATTCCTACAATATAATCAGCACTGGTAGCATTCTGGAACTTGGACTGGTACTTGTAATAGAAATCTGGTTTAGAAAAGAAAATGAACCATATATTGTAGAATTGTGGATATACATTTGTTGTTAAAGGTTCATGGATGTTTTATTTGTGGCTGGTTTTGGAGATGACACCAAATGAATACATAAACACAGCATGAAGTTAGTCTAGGTTTCCTTAGGCTGTTTGGCTAGCAACCACAGTTGGCCCTCTTTATCCAGTTTCCATATCTCTGCAGATTCCACCAGTCTTGATTGGAGAATATTTAGGGAAAAAAACACAAATAACAATAAAAACAATACAAATGATACCAATACAGTATAACAGCTATTTAATGGCATTTACATTGTCTTAGGTATTATAAGTAATCTAGAAATGACTTAAAAGTATATGAGAGGGAGGAAGTGAGTAGGTTATATACAAATACCACACCATTTTGTATAAGGAACTTGAGCATCTGAGGATTTTGGTATCCACAGGTATCCTGGAACCAATCCCACATGGGTACCAAGGGACAATTCTACTTGAAACTTAATAGAGGAACAAAGTAAAAAGATTAAGGCACAGAAAGAAACAGGTGGGTTACATATTATGTTTAATAGTTTGAATCGTACAAATTATAGCAGGTTTTTTGTTTGTTTGTTTGAGACAGAGTTTCTCGCTCTTGTTGCCCAGGCTGGAGTGCAATGGCACGATCTCAGCTCACTGCAACCTCCACCTCCTGGGTTCAGGCGATTCACCTGTCTCAGCCTCCTGAGTAGCTGGGATTACAGGTGTGCATGCCACCACGCCAGGCTAATTTTTGTATTTTTAGTAGTGACGGTGTTTCATCATATTGGTCAAGCTGGTCTCAAACTCCTGACCTCAGGTGATCCGCCCACCGCACCCTCCCAAAGTGCTGGGATTACAGGCATGAGCCACTGCGCCTGGCCAAGATAGCAATTTTTATAGTTAAGATCATCTATGTATTTACTCACTTCTGGATACCAAGAACACTTGTACTAACTTGAATTTTAAGAGGTCCTATTAGATAAAATTCAATGAGTAAAGGTAACTATATGTCCCTCTCATCATTTGAAAAGAATCTTGAAATATCTGTCTTTTTTTTTTTTTTTTTTTTTGAGATAGAGTCTAGCTCTGTCGCCTAGGCTGGAGTGCAGTTGTGCAATCTCAGCTCACTGCAGCCTCTGCCTCCCAGGTTCAAGTGATTCTCCTGCCTCAGCCTCCAGAGTAGATGGGATTACAGGTGCCTGCCACCACGCCCAGCTAATTTGTGTGTGTGTGTGTGTGTGTGTGTGTGTGTGTGTATAAACTACATATATATATATATATATATATATTTTTTTTTTTTTTTTTTTTTTTTCTTTTTCTTTTTGGGATGGAGTCTTGCTCTGTCACCCAGGCTGGAATGCAGTGGCACAATCTTGGCTAACTGCAAGCTCCGCCTCCCGGGTTCACACCATTCTCCTGTCTCAGCCTCCCAAGTAGCTGGGACTACAGGCACCTGCCACCACGCCTGGCTAATTTTTTTGTATTTCTAGTAGAGACGGGGTTTCACCGTGTTAGCCAGGCTGGTTTCGATCTCCTGACCTTGTGATCCGCTCGCCTTGGCCTCCCAAAGTTCTGGGGTTACAGGCATGAGCCACTGCACCTGGCCTAATTTTTGTATTTTTAGTGGAGACGGGGTTTCACTGTGTTGGCCAGACTGGTCTCGAACTCCTGACCTCGTGATCCGCCTGCCTTGGCCTCCCAAAGTGCTTCTACAAAAGCTTTAGGTGATGGTCCCGCGTCATAATTACCTTTCATCCAATCTAGCTTTTTTTTCCCCCCGTCCATTCTCAAAACTGACAAATTTGCTTCTTTCAGTACTCTGGATCTGTGATACTACAAAAACCACCTTGTTTTGCTACCGTATCCTTCCGTATTACTAGTGTTAGTGTTTTCACCTCTGCATTCCTCTCACCTAGTACATTACCTGGCATATAGTAAATATGTGTTGAATAAATACAGTTAAGGTCTAAGAGGAAGTGAAGACGGTGTACCCAATTAAGTGGTTGTGCTGTTACCTAGCTGTATGATTTTAGGCAAATAAATTGTTCTTGTTTCTCCATCTATAAAATTTTCATTCAAGTATAGAGGATTACTGTGACAACACATAGAAAAATGCTTTAGAAACAGATGTCACGAAGATGTAATTTATATATGATGTTTATTAGAAATGCCAAAGTCCCTCCGGGCGCAGTGGCTCACGCCTGTAATCCTAGCACTTTGGGAGGCCAAGGTGGGCGGATCGGGAGATAAGGAGATCGAGACCATCCTGGCTAACACGGTGAAACCCCCGTCTCTACTAAAAAATACAAAAAATTATCCGGGCTTGGTGGCACACCCCTGTAGTCCGAGCTGCTTGGGAGGCTGAGGTAGGAGAATCGCTTGAACCCAGGAGGCGAAGGTTGCAGTGAGCCGAGGTCATGCCACTGCACTCCTGGCGACAGAGACTCTGTCTCAAAAAAAAAAAAAGAAATGCAAAAGTTCATTGTGCAATATACTTATTAGACACTGCAGAATGTTGCAAAGGAAGTGGGTGTCCTCTCCCATTTTGTGCTTAGAGACATAACCCTGTAGTAGTGCTGTGGAGTTTACACTTGGCCTGTTATCAATACCTTTGTCCTATAATTTAATATAAATGTGCTAGTTACATAATAGTGTTCTTGGGATCTGACTTTTCCCCATTTAACCATAGTCCTGAAGGAGCTGCTGCATTGCTACACAACTGGAAGCTCAAGCTAAATTAGAAGTTGGGGCCAGATATGGTGGCTCACGCTTGTAATCCCAGCAATTTGGGACGCCAAGGTTGGAGGATCACTTGGGGCCTGGAGTTTGACACCAGCTGGGGCAACATAGTGAGACTCCATCGCTACAAAAAATTTAAAAATTAAAAAAAAAAGTTGCATGGCTGTTTTATACTGTAGGTCTGTTATGTTTATAACCAGAATAACAAATATGCATTTAAAGTCTGAAAACTGTATACTAGATTTAAATGAATAAATATAATCCTTCACCAAATATATAGATATATGGGCTTTAGCATATATACTAGAGTTAAAGGTGGAAGATGATGAAATTCATGATTAAGATTGCATTTATAATTACACAATCAGGTTTTATAAGAAAATTTGAGGAACATTAGGCTAAAAATCAAATTTGGAAACTTAGTGATTTGTAGTTTGTCTCTGGCTTTTGGGTTGGCAAACGACTTCAGTGATGTGGATTCTTGATAAATACAACAAATTTGAATACAACAAATTAGAGAATATCAATTTTTTTTTCTTTTAATTAGAGGCAGGGTGTTACCCTGTCGCTCAGGCTGGAGTGCAGTGGTATTATCACAGGCTCACTGCAGCCTCAATCTCCTGGGGTCAAGCTTGCTTCCTGCCTCAGCCCCCCACATTGTTGGGATTATGGGCATGAACTTGTGCCCGGCTCAATTTTTTTTTTTTTTGGGAGACGGAGTCTAGCTCTGTCACGCAGGCTGGAGTGCAGGTATGATTTCGGCTCACTGCAACTTCTGCCTCCCAGGCTCAATCAATTCTCTTGCCTCAGCCTCCGGAGTGGCTGGTATTATAGGCGCACGCCACCATGCCTGGCTAATTTTTGTATTTTAGTAGGGACGGGGTTTCACCAGGTTGCCCAGGCTGGTCTGGAACTCCTGACCTCAGGTGATCCGCCTGCCTCGGCCTCCCAAAGTGTTGGGATTACAGGCGTGAGCCATCACGCCGGGCCAATTTTTTAATTTAAAGCATTTATTCAAAATGTAAATACTTTCTTCTTCCTGCTACCAAAGAAATACTGAGACTTTTTTATTTTCTAGCAAAAGAGGGTTGTTGCTAAAGAGACTTTTTTTTTTGAGACGAAGTCTTGCTCTGTCGCCCAGGCTGTAGGGCAGTGGCACGATCTTGGCTCACTGCAACCTCTGCCTCCCGGGTTCAAGTGATTCTCCTGCCTCAGCCTCCTGAGTAGCTGGGATTACAGGCACCTGCCACCATGTCTGGCTAATTTTTGTATTTTTAGTAGAGACCGGGTTTCACCATGTTGGCCAGGCTGGTCTTAAACTCCTGACCTTAGGTGATGCACCCGCCTCGGCCTCCCAAAGTGCTGGGATTACAGGCGTGAGCCACTGTGCCTGGCCGCTGAAGAGACTTCCAAAAGCTTAGATTGTTATTAATTTTATCTATTCTCCCCTCTTTTTTTTCTTTTCTTTTTTTTTTTTTTTTTTGAGATGGAGCTTTGCTCTGTCGTCCAAGTTGGAGTGCAATGCGTAATCTTGGCCCACTGCAGCCTCCGCCTCCCTGCTCTGAGCGATTCTCCTGCCTCAGCCTCCTGAGTAGCTGGGATTACAGGCGCCTGCCATCATGCCCAGCTAATTTTCATAGTTTTGAAGAGATGGGGTTTCACCATGTTGGCCAGGCTGGTCTCGAACTCCTGACCTCAGGTGATCTGCCCGTCTCAGCCTCCCAAAGTGCTGGGATTACAGGCATGAGCCACTGCGCCCGGCTGACTCTTCTTATTTTCATTCTTCTTGACATGTTACTACGTTTGACACAGTTGTTCACTGCCTTCTTATTGAAGTGCCTCCCTGACTTCTGTGATTACAGTCTTTCCTGGTTTTCTTTCTACCTTTCTGTTTCAATCTGGACTGAAAGGGTTCCTCTTCCAGCTTCTCATCTTTTGACTACCCCTTAAATGTTAGTGGATTCTAATGTGTTCTTTTTAAGATTATACCAGTATTTTTGAACATGTTTTGTAGCCTATGTCTCCTTTATTAAAAATAAGGTAAATAAAAATTTCTGTGGCTCCTATTCTGGTGGCATTGGCGGTGGGAGGCACGTTATTTTTCCTTCTTGTCCCAGCACTGAGAATCACTGCTGCAAAGAAGACTGAAAATTTACTGAGCCTTACCTTCTATAGTCTGTAGTCTAAAAATAATAGGTGATTTTCCTTTTCCAAGTCTGAAAGTATATTGAATATTCTTTTACAAACTATAGTCCCTCTGACATTTTGACACACCCCTCCCATTGAAAATCACTGTTCATTCACATTGGTTTTTTTTAAAAGATAGGATCTTGCTCTGTCACCCAGGCTGGAGTGCAGTGGTGCAGTCCAGGCTCACTGCAGCCTCAACTTCCTGGGCTCAAGCTATCCTCCCATCTCGGCCTCCCAAGTAACTGGGACTACAGGCATGTGCCACCATGCCCAGTTAATTTTATTTTCTTTCAGGCTATCTTGAACCCCTGGCCTCAAGCAGTCCTCTTGCCTCTGCTTCCCAAAGTGTTGGGATTACAGGTGTGAGCCACCGCACCTCGTCGTCCATTCACTCCTTTTTTTTTTTTTTTTTTTTGAGACGGAGTCTTGCTCTGTAACTCAGGCTGGAGTGCAGTGGCGCGATCTCGGCTCACTGCAACCTCTGCCTCCCAAGTCCCGGTTCAAGCAATTCTCCTGCCTCAGTCTTCCGAGTAGCTGGGATTACAGGCATGCGCTACCATGCCCAGCTAATTTTTGTATTTTTAGTAGAGACAGGGTTTCACCATGTTGGCCAGGATGGTCTTGAACTCCTGACCTCGTGATCTACCCGCCTTGGCCTCCCAAAGTGCTAGGATTATAGGCGTGAGCCATGGCGCTGGGCCATTCAGTCTTCTTAGGTAATTTGATTGACTTATACAGAATACTTAGAATTTTGTATCTCCAGCCTAGACCTATTTATTTATTTATTTATTTATTTATTTATTTGAGACGGAGTCTTACTCTGTTGCCCAGGCTGGAGTGCAATGACCGATCTCAGCTTACTGCAAGCTCCGCCTCCCAGGTTCAATTGATTTTCCTGCCTCCGCCTCCCGAGTAGCTGGGATTACAGGTGCCTGCCACTGTGCCCGGCTAATTTTTGTATTTTTAGTAGAGACGGGTTTTCACCATGTTGGCCAGGCTGGTCTCGAACTCCTGACCTCATATGATCTACCTGCCTCAGGCTCCCCAAAGTGCTGGGATTACAGGCGTGAGCCACTGCGTCCAGCCTAGACCTTTCTTAAAGACTTTTTTTTGAGACGGAGTCTCACTCTGTCGCCCAGGCTGGAGTGCAGTGGCGCGATCTCGGCTCACTGCAAGCTCCGCCTCCCGGGTTCAAGTGATTCTCCTGCCTCAGCCTCCTGAGCAGCTGGGACTACAGGCGCCTGCCACCACGCCCGGCTAATTTTTTCTGTTTTTAGTAGAGACAGGGCTTCACTGTGCTAGCCAGGATGGTCTGGATTTCCTGATTGCGTGATCCACCTGCCTTGGCCTCCCAAAATGCTGGGATTACAGGTGTGAGCCACCACCCCTGACTTCTTAAAGACCTTTATATCCAACTGCTTGTTCTGTATCACTACCTGGATGACCTGTAGGTACTTGAAAATTCAGTGCAGATGCTCCTCAACTTATGGTGGGGTTACATTCTGAGAAACTCATCATAGGTGGAAAATATCATATGTTGAAAATGCATTTAATACACCTACCAAACATAGCTTAGCCTGTGCTTAAAACACATTAAGCAAAAAATTTTTTTTAAATTTTTTGTAGAAATGGGATTTCGCCATGTTGCCCAGGCTTGTCTCAAACTCCTAAGCTCAAGTGATCCCTCTGCCTTGACCTCCCAAAGTGCTAGGATTACAGATGTGAACCACTGTTCCCAGCCACACATTAAGCACATTTAAGTGTGCTTAAAACACATTAGCCTGCAGTTGTGTAAAATCATGAAATATAACAACTATTTTATGTAAAGTGTTGACTATCTTATCAAATTTCTTTTTTTTGAGACTGAGTCTTGTTCTTGTTGCCCAAGCTGGAGTGCAGTGGTGTGATCTCGGCTCATTTCAACCTCTTCCTCCTGGGTTCAAGCAATTCTCCTGTCTCAGCCTCCCAAGTAGCTGGGACTACAGGTGCATGTCACCATGACTGGCTAATTTTTGTATTTTTAGTAGAGATGGGGTTTTGCCATGTTGGCCAGGCTGATCTTGAACTCCTGGCCTCAGGTAATCCACCCGCCTCAGCCTCCAAAAGTGTGGAGTTACAGACATGAGCCATCGTGCCCGGCCATCAGATTTCTTGAATACCATATTGAAAGTGAAAAAACAGAGTGAGGCCAGGCGCGGTGGCTCAAGCCTGTAATCCCAGCACTTTGGGAGGCCGAGGTGGGTGAATCACGAGGTCAGGAGATCGAGACCATCCTGGCTAACACGGTGAAACCCTGTCTCTACTAAAAAATACAAAAAATTAGCCGGGCGTGGTGGCGGGCACCTGTAGTCCCAGCTACTCGGGAGGCTGAGGCAGGAGAATGGCGTGAACCCAGGAGGCGGAGCTTGCAGTGAGCCGAGATCGCGCCACTGCACTCCAGCCTGGGGGACAGAGTGAGACTCAGTCTCAAAAAAAAGAGAAAAAACAGAGTGGTCGTATGGATACTTGAAGTTCAGTTTCTACTGAATGCATATTCTGTTTGCACTGCCATCATAAAGTGAAAAAATTGTAAGCCAAACTGTCGTTAAGTCGGGGACTGTCTGTATACCCTAAAGTGATTTCCTTATCCTTCCCAAAACCGACTCTTCCTATATTATCTGATTTAAGAAATAGGAGTAATACCACTTACCTTACAGCTTCCTGGGTCACTCTCTCATTGAGTTAACCAATAGATCTTTGAATTCCTAACCTTTTTCCTATCCATCCTTCCCTTTTCAGTGTTCTGTTCCTATGCTAGTTCATGCCTTCTTACATCTCTTGCTGAGGTTTTTCCATATTCTCGTAACTTGTCTCCTTGCGTCTACTCTTCAGTCTGTCTTCCTTACCACCTCCAGTATGATTTTTTTTTTTTTTTTTTTTTTGAGACAGGGTCTTGCTTTGTCACTCAGGCTGCAGTGCATTGGTATGTGATCATAGCTCCTTGTAACCTCAAGCTCCTGGGCTCAAGTGATCCTCCTGCCTTATCAGCCTCCCAAGTAACTAGGACTACAGGCGCATGCCACCACACCCAGGGCTAATTTCATTTTTTGTAGAGACAGGGTCTCACTGTGTTGTCCAGTCTGGTCTTGAATTCCTGGTGTCAAGTGATCCTCCTCCCTTGTCCTTCCAAAGTGTTGGAATTATAAGCATGAGCCACTGTGCCAACCACTTATATCTATAGCCATTTTATTTTGTATATTTGAAATTCTTTTTCTATTTTTAAAAATTGTTTATCATTCTAGGATATTTATCTTAGTTTGCTTATCACAGATGTTAAATTTTGCCGACATTGCCTCTTTTTCCAGTCTGTATTTTTGTTATAAGTATTTTTGGTTTCCTATGAAAACTCCTGAGGTCTGGTGATTTATCATGTTTGTCTTCATGTCTAATGCCTATAGAGTACCTTGCAGCTTAATAAATGTGTGTTGAATGAACACAAAAAAATTATCAGAAAACTTTATCTTCTATTTCTTTTTGTTTTTGTTATTGAGACAGGGTCTTGCTCTGTCACCCAGGCTGGAGTGCAGTGGCGTGATCATGGCTCACTGCAGCCTCTACCTCCTGGGCTCAAGCAGTTATCCCATCTCAGCTTCTGAGTAGCTGGCATTATAGGTGTGCACCAGATGCCTGGCTAATTTTTAACATTTATTTAGAGACAAGGTTTTACCATGTTACCATGTTGTCAGGCCGGTTTCAAGCAATCAACCTGCCTCTGCCTCCGCCTCCCAAAGTGCTGGGATTATGGGTATGAGCCAGCACACCTAGCTTTTTGTCTTCTCTCTTTTTTTTTCTTCTGTTTTTTTTTGAGATGGAGTCTCGCTCTGTCGCCCAGGCTGGAGTGCAGTGGCGTGATCTCGGCTCATTGTAAACTCCGCCTTCCGGGTTTATGCCATTCTCCTGCCTCAGCCTCCCGAGTAGCTGGGACTACAGGTGCCCGCCATCACGCCCGGCTAATTTTTTTTGTATTTTTAGTAGAGACGGGGTTTCACTCTGTTAGCCAGGATGGTCTCGATCTCCTGACCTCGTGATCCGCCCGCCTCGGCCTCCCAAAGTGCTAGGATTACAGGTGTGAGCCACCGCACCTGGCCTGTCTTCTCTTTTTTTAAGACAGGGTCTTGCCCTGTTTCCCAGGCTGGTGTGCAGTGGTGCAATTATAACTCACTGCAGTCTTGACCTCCTGGGCTCAAGCAATCCTCCCGCCTCAGCTTCCTGAGTAACTGGGACCATAGGCAGGCCCTACCACGCCCAGCTAATGTTTTAAATTTTTTTGTAGAGATGGAGTCTTGCTATATTGCCCAGGCTGGTCTTGAACTGCTGGACTCAAGCAGTCCTCCCACCTCGGCCTTCTAAAGTTCTGGGATTACATGCGTGAGCCACCATGCATTGCCTGTATCCTTATTTTATAAGCTTTTTTCTGTTTTTAAATTTTCTTTTTTTTTTCCTTTTCCTTTTAAACTGTTTTCCTAAAAACTAAGACACAAACAGACTCATTAGCCCAGGCCTACACAGAGTCAGGATTATTAATATCACTGTCTTCTACCTCCACATCTTGTCCCACTGGACAGTCTTCAGAGGCAGTAACACCCATGGAGTTGACATTTCCAGTAACAATGCCTTCTGGAATCCCTCCTGGAGGACCACCTGCCCTGAGGCTTTACAGTTCACTTTTTTTTTTTTTTTAAATAAGCAGGAGTATACTCTAACAATAAAAAGTGTAGTAAATACATAAACCAGTAAGTCATCTAGTATTATCAAGTATTATGTACTGCATGTAATTGTATGTGCAGTACTTTTTTTTTTTTTTCTTTGAGAGGGAGTCTTGCTCTGTCGCCAGGCTGGAGTGCAGTGGCTTGAACCCAGGAGGCAGAGGTTGTGGTGAGCTGAGATTGCGCCACTGCACTCCTGCCTGAGCGACAAGAGCAAGACTCTACCTCAAAAGAGTTGCACAAGACATTTTGGTGTGAAACAACTGTTAAAGTGGCATGTAATAAACTTTAAACTGAAAAAATTACTTTTTTGTTCTTAGGTTTTACACATCCATAAGTAGACCTTTTTGGAGCCTCACCAGCCAATTCAATGGCGTCCTCTTCTACTGTGCCTCTGGGATTTCACTATGAAACAAAGTATGTTGTTCTCAGCTACTTGGGACTCCTCTCTCAAGAGAAGCTGCAAGAGCAACATCTTTCCTCACCCCAAGGTATTATCTTTGGCTTATGGTGGTTATAGTAAATTGTAATAAGGACTTTATATATAAAAGTATATGTATCTAATTTATATGTGTGGTTATCAAATAGTACTAATAAGCCTGTAAGAATAACCTGTTAGGGCTGGGCGCGGTGGCTCACACCTGTTATGCCAGCACTTTGGGAGGCTGATGTGAGCAGATCACGAAGTCAGGAGTTCGAGACTAGCCTGGCCAACATGGTGAAACCCTGCCTCTACTAATAATACAAAAATTATTTGGGCATGGTGGCATGCGCCTGTAGTCCAGCTACTCAGGAGGCTGAGGCAGGAGAATCGCTTGAACCCGGGAGGCAGAGGTTGCAGTGAGCTGAGATCGCACCACTGCGCTCCAGCTTGGGCAATAGAGTGAGACTCCATCTCAAAAAAAAAAAAATATACACAAAAAAGAATAACCCGTTATGCCATTCTTTCCATTTCCAGAAGCAAAAAACAAAAGTATTTTTTTTCATTTTATTCTTTTTTTTTTTTTTTTTTTTTTTTTTTTTTTTTGGGACAGAGTCTCACTCTCTCTCTAAGGCTGGAGTGCAGTGGCATGATCTTGGCTCACTGCAACCTCCACCTTCCCGGTTCAAGCGATTCTGCCTCAGCCTCCCGAGTAGCTGGGATTACAGGTGCACACCACCATGCCCGGCTAATTTTTGTATTTTTAGTAGAGATGAGGTTTTGCCGTGTTGGCCAGGCTGGTCTCAAACTCTGGACCTCAGGTGATCGCCCGCCTCGGCCTCCCAAAGTGCTGGGATTATGGGTGTGAGCCACGGCGCCCAACTCATTTTATTCTATTTGAAAGATATTTCCAAAGCACCTGCAGCCCTCTATTGGCAGTTACATTTTTTCGATACTTCACAAATATTAGTCTATTGTGTTATACTTTCACTTACAATTGTTGAGCAGTCTGTTGTCATTCTACTAAGTGTTCCATCATAATGATACAGTTTATTTTGGCTGCCTTATTTTTTTGAGATGGAGTCTCACTCTGTTGCCCAGGCTGGAGTGTAATGGCATGATTTTGGCTCACTGTAACCTCTGCCTCCCGGGTTCAAGCAATTCTCCTGCCTCAGCCTCTCAAGGAGCTGGGACTATAGGCGCACGCTGCCACGCCCGGCTAGTTTTTTGTATTTTAGTAGAGACGGGGTTTCACCCTGTTTCCCAGGCTGATCTCAAACTCCTGAGCTCAGGCAATCTGCCCGCCTTGGCCTCTCAAAGTGCTGGGATTACAGGCGTGAGCCCCAGGCCGGCTTGGCTGCTTTTTAGAGATTCTCCGTCTTTGGTGGTGTTTCAAACTTAAACACATCTTAGTGAAACAGCCACCAAGCCAGAGAAATTCTAAAAAGCAGCCAAAATAAGTGTTTTGCACATCCAAAACAAATAAAATTTATGTTTTACACATCCACAATGGGGATTGTTTGGCTTCCTGAATTTAATAATTCATTTGTTTACTCTGGAAAAATTATTTAATATTTTATCTTTGAATACTCTCCTCATCTTCTCTACTTAACTCTACTTTGTGCTACAATCAATTGCACATTATGCTGTTTATAGAAGACGTACATGATCCTGTCTGTTCCTCCATATCTCACTATCATTTTCCTAGTTTATCTCCATTTATCTGTCTGTGAAGCCCTCTGTGACATTTCTTTTTTTCTTTTTTTTTTTTGAGACGGAGTCTCGCTCTGTCCAGGCTAGAGTGCAGCGGCACGATCTCGGCTACTGCAACCTCCGCCTCCTGGGTTCAAGCGATTCTTCTGTCTCAGCCTTCCGAGTAGCTGGGACTAGAGGCACGTGCCACCATGCCTGGCTAACTTTTTTTTTCGTATTTTTAGTAGAGATGGGGTTTCACTCTGTTAGCCAGGATGGTCTTGATCATCTGACCTCATGATCCGCCTGCCTCGGCCTCCCAAAGTGCTAGGATTACAGGCGTGAGCCACCACACCTGGTTGACATTTCTTTTTTTTTTTTTTTTTTTTTGAGATGAGTCTTGTTCTGTCACCAGGCTGGAGTTCAATGGCGATCTTGGCTCACTGCAACCTCCGACTGCCGGGTTCAAGCAATTCTTCTGCTTCAGCCTCCCGAGTAGCTGGGATTACAGGCGCATGCCACCAGCCCGGCTAATTTTTGAAATTTTAGTAGAGACAGGGTTTCACCATGTTGGCCAGGATGGTCTCGATCTCCTGACCTCGTGATCCGCCCTCCTCAGCCTCCCAAAGTGCTGGGATTACGGGCATGAGCCACCACGCCCGGCCGACATTTCTTTATCGTCCAATTCACCCTTTCTTCATCTCTCTTTAAGCTGCTAAATAAACTTTTCACCAGATAGCAAATTTTAATTCATTTTTTATCTGTGTATATTCTGTTTTTTAATTTTCAACAACTGGCAAATGTGAAAGAATACATGAATATGTATGTATGTATTATATACACATAGACATTAACAAAAGCCTTCAGTGTATTTCATATTTGTATTGGTAATGGTCGTTTTCTTAGAGGTCTATAATTACCAGAGGTTTTTCTTAGCTTTAAGATTTAATATTCCTGGCTGGGTGGGGTGCCTCATGCCTGTAATCCCAGCACTTTGGGAAGCCAAGGCGGGCGGATCGCCTGAGGTCAGGAGTTGGAGACCATTCTGGCCAACATGATGAAACCCTGTCTCTGCTAAAAAATACAAAAATTAGCCGGGCATGGTGGCACACGCCTGTAATCCCAGCTACTTGGGAGACTGAGGCAGGAGCATTGCTTGAACCCAGGAGGCGGAGGTTGCAGTGAGCAGAGATTCCACCATTTGCACTCCAGCTCTGGGCAACAGAGCAAGACTCTGTCACCAAAAAAAAAAAAAAAAAATATTTTCTATTCTTAATTTATAATAAAGATAACTATAATGCTTGTATAAAAAACATTAATTGGGCCAGGCACGGTGGCTCACACCTGTAATCCCAGCACTTTGGGAGGCTGAGGCAGTTCACTCACAAGGTCAGAAGTTCAAGACCAGCCTGGCCAAGATGGTGAAACCCCATCTCTACTAAAAATACAAAAAAATTAGTTGGGCATGGTGGCAGGCACCTGTAATCCCAGCTACTTGGGAGGCTGAGGCAGAGAATTGCTTGAACCCAGGAGGCGGAGGTTGCAGTGAGCTGGGATCGCCCCGCTGCACTCCAGCCTGGACGACAGAGCAAGACTCCATCTAAAAAAAAAAAAAAAAAAAAAAAAAAAGGCCAGGCACGGTGGCTCACGCCTGTAATCCCAGCACTTTGGAAGGCCAAGGTGGGTGGATCATGAGGTCAGGAGTTCAAGATCAGCCTGACCAATATGGTGAAACCCTGGTTCTACTAAAAATACAAAAATTAGCTAGGTATGTTGGCGGATGCCTGTAGTCCCAGCTACTCTGGAGGCTGAGGTGGCAGAATTGCTTGAACCTGGGAAGCAGAGGTTGCAGTGAGCCGAGATTGTGCCATTGCACTTCAGCCTGGGTGACAGAGCGAGACTTCGTCTCAAAAAACAAACAAACTGGCTGGGTTGGGTGGCTCACGTCTGTAATCCCAGCATTTCGGGAGGCTGAGGCGGGTGGATCACGAGGTCAGGAGATCGAGCCCATCCTGGCTAACATGGTGAAACCCCATCTCTGCTAAAAATACAAAATATTAGCTGGGTGTGGTGGCGGGTGCCTGTAGTCCCAGCTACTTAGGAGGCTGAGGCAGGGGAATGGCGTGAACTCAGGAGGTGGAGCTTGCAGTGAACCGAGATCATGCCACTGCACTCCAGCCTGGGCGACAGAACGAGACTCCGTCAAAAAACAAAACAAAACAAAACAAAAAAACAAGAAACAAACCTGAAATGATGACAAGCAACAACAAAGTGGATTTCCAGTCTAGTTCTGAGAAGAGGTGAGCATGATAATAATGATACTCCACTACAGCTTTATATGAAAATTAAAATCCCTTAGATATCTTCATTTATACAAACATTTAATTTATTTATTCTTATTTTTATTTATTTATTTTTGAGACAAGAATCTTGCTGTGTCACCCAGGCTGGAGTGTAGTGGTCCCATTTTGGCTCACTGCATCCTCCACCTCCTGGGTTCAAGCATTTCTTGAGTCTCAGCCTCCCGAGTAGCTGGGACTACAGGCACGCGCCACTGCGCCGAGCTCATTTTTATACTTTTAGTGGAGATGGGTTTTCACCATGTTGGCCAGGCTGGTCTCGAACTCTTGTTCTCAGGTGATCCACCCCACCTTGGCCTCCCAAAGTGCTGGGATTACAGGCACGAGCCATGGCGCCTGGCCTATATATAAACATTTTAAAGGAACTGTTAAGTGAAGATCCACTAGTTGTGGGATGGAAAATACTGTTTTTTTAACAGTGGTTTATTTCCGGATTTTTTTCCCCAAAGAAATGTGCAGTTATGCATTTTCAAGAATGTTCGAAGAAACAAGAATTGATTTTTTGATAAACTGACTAAAGACAATCCATTGTACCAGTTGAGGAACTTATTTTTGGAATGTATTTTTATAAATTGATCAGATTGGTTTATTTCTACACTTACTGATTGATTGATTGATTGATTGAGGCAGAGCCTTGCTCTTCTGCCCAGGCTGGAGTGTAGTGATATGATCTTGGCTCACTGCAACCTTCACCTTCTGGGCTCAGTCGATTCTCCTGCCTCAGCCTCCGAGGAGCTGGAAGTACTCGAACAGGCCCGCGCCACCATACCTGGCTAATTTTTTTATTTTTCGTAGAGATCAGGATTTGCCACATTGGCCAGGCTGGTCTTGAACTCCGGACCTCAAGTGATCCGCTCACCTTGGCCTCCCAAAGTGTTGGGATTACAGGTGTGAGCCACCACACCCAGTCTACACCTCATTTATTTAATTTAACTATTTCAACTTTTGTAATGTTTTTTATTATTCCATTTCTTTATTTGTTTGCTTTTCTTTGAGACAGTCTCGCTCTCGTCAGGTGGGAGTGCAGTGGCACCATCTTGGCTCATTGCAACCTCCACCTCCTGGGTTCAAGCAATTCTCCTGCCTCAGCCTCCCAAGTAGCTGGGACTACAGACGCATGCCACCACACCCAGCTAATTTTTTTAGTAGAGACGGGGCTTCACCATGTTGCCCAGGCTGGTCTTGAACTCCTGAGCTCAGGCAATCTGCCTGCTTTGGCCTCCCAAGTGCTAAGATTACAGGCATGAGCTTCTGCACCTGGCTCCATTTCTTTTTTCTTAACTTCTCTGGAGATAATGCTGGACATTTCATTTTGTCACCCAGGTTAGAGTGCAGTGGCACGTTCTCAGCTCACTGCAACCTCTGCCTCCCGGGTTCAAGCAATTCTCCTGCCTCAGCCTCCCAAGTAGCTGGGATTACAGGCGCCCGCCACTGCCCCTGGCTAATTTTTGTATTTTTAGTAGAGACAGGGTTTCACTGTCTTGGCCAGGCTGGTCTCGAACTCCTAACCTCGTGTTCCACCTGCCTCAGCCTCCCAAAGTGCTGGGATTACAGGTGTGAGCCACCGTGCCTGGCCAACATTTTATTTTTTAAGTGGTACTTTTTAAAAAACTTTAAGCTAGTGTTGTAAACTTTTCTTTTTATAATAAAATTTCTCTAGGTGAAGGATAAAGGTTGAACCTCTGTCCCGGAGGTTCTTGAAGTGGCTGACAGTCAAAGGGCTGAACTTTTCCCATCAGAAGCAATTGCTTTTAATGCTTTTTGAGAGCTTGCTATTTTAAATGATTGCCATTAGTACAAGTAAAAATGTACTGTGTACACGTAAATAAATAGAAATCCATCTGTCCTTAGAGATTTCACACTTACTATGACATGATTAGAATTGCATAATTATGTGCCGGGTGTGGTGGCTCACACCTGTGATCCCAGCACTTTGGGAGGCCAAGGCAGCCAGACCACCTGAGGTCGGGAGTTAGAGACCAGCTTGACCCACATGGAGAAACCCTGTCTCTACTAAAAATACAAAATTAGGTGGGTGTGGTGGCGCACACCTGTAATCCCAGCTACTGGGGAGGCTGAGGCAGGAGAATCTCTTGAACCCGGGAGGTGGAGGTTGTGGTGAGCCAAAATTGCACCATTGCACTCCAGCCTGGGCAACGAGAGTGAAACTCCATCTCAAAAAAAAAAAAAAATTGCATAATTATTTTAAAATTTACAGTATAATTGTTACTTTAATTGACATTTTTTCAGGGATATTAGATTTACACAATGAATTTATATTTCTGATAGAGTTTTTAGCACAATTCTTTGTATTGTGAAGTTGTATATTTCCTTTAAACAAATAATTTGCTTCCTAAATCATGCTTAAAACAGTTACTGAGGGGCTGCGCGTGGTGGCTCACGCCTGTAATCCCAGCATTTTGGGAGGCCAAGGCGGGCGGATCACGAGGTCAGGAGATCGAGACCATCCTGGCTAACACAGTGAAACCTCGTCTCTACTGAAAAAAACAAAAATTAGCCAGGCATGGTGGCAGGTGCCTGTAGTCCCAGCTACTTGAGAGGCTGAGGCAGGAGAATGGCGTGAACCCGGGAGGCAGAGGTTGCAGTGAGCTGAGATCGTGCCACTGCACTCCAGCCTAGGCGACAGAGTGAGACTCCATCTCAAAAAACAAACAAAAAATTTACTGAAACCTGAATTAGTCTTCTTCATTAAAATATAACGTCAGGCTGGGTGTCATGGCTCACACCTGTAATCCCAACACTTTAGGAGGCCGAGGTGGGCCAATCACTTGAGCCCAGGAATTCGAGACCAGCCTACATGGCGAAACCCCGCCTCTACAAAAAATAAAAATAAATTAGCTGGGTATGGTAGTGCGCACCCATAATCCCAGCTACTCAGGAGGCTGAGGTGGAAGGATTACTTGAGCCCAGTCTGCTGAGGCTGCAGTGAACTGAGATCATGCCACTGTACTCCTAGGCGACAGAGCGAGACTTTCAAAAAAAATAAAAATAAAAATAAAATAAATAAAATGTAATATCACCTTGTTAAATATTCTTTTCATTTGTTTTTGTTTTTTGACACAGAGTCTCTCTCTTGCCCAGGCTGGTGTGCAGTGTTGAGAACACAGCTCCCTACAGCCTCTACCTGTTGGGCTCAAGCAATTCTCCCATCTCAGCTTCCTGAGTAGCTGGACCACAGGTGCGCACCACCATGCCCAGCTAATTTTTAAACTTTTTGTAAAGACAGGGTCTTGCAGTGTTGCCCAGGCTGGTCTCAAACTCGTGGGCTCAAGTGATCTTCCTGCCTTGGCCTTTCAAAGTGCTGGGATTACAGGCGTGAGGTATTGCATCTGTCCTTCTTAAATGTTCTTATCCATAAATTTCTACCACAGCAATGGAGGTATCTATTATTTGTCTGCTGCCATTCTAGCTTAAGAGTGAGTAGTAGTAAGAATTCAGAAATGATGGAATTCAGTAGTATGGATTACAGATGGTGTCCTAAGAAAGCTAGTGTAAATAATTAAATGTAACTAGTTGGTGTGTCCTACTTTTGAAAATTGAATCATATTTTAATGCCCTGACATAGGTGGCTATCTAAACAAAATTATATCAAAATGACTAAAAGGTCATAAAACATCATGCGATACCAAATATTTATAATCTCATCAAACTCCCAGAGGAACTGTTTTTCTTTTATTGTTTTCTAATCTTTATCAGTATATACAGTTTTATGTAGTTGTAATCAATTGTGATTTTTACTTTTCATTCAATTTTAATTTGGAACATTTCATATTTACATGTTCTATATTTCATCTTCCTTATTGTGTGTTTGAATGATTTCCTTTTATTATTATCTTTTACATTTTTCCTTTTTTTTTTTTTTTTTTGAGATGGAGTCTCGCTCTGTTGCCCAGGCTGGAGTGGTGCAGTGGTGCGATCTTGGCTCACTGCAACCTCCACCCGCCTAGTTCAAGCGATTCTCCTGCCTCAGCCTCCTGAGTAGCTGGGATTACAGATGCTTGCCACCACGCCTGGCTAATTTTTTTTTTTTTGAGATGGAGTCTCGCTCTGTTGCCCAGGCTGGAGTGCAGTGGCACGATCTTGGCTCACTGCAACCTCCGCCTCCCGGGTCCAAGTGATCCTCCTGGCTCAGCTCCTTTAGTAGGTGGGATTACAGGCACGCGCCACCATGCCTGGCTAATTTTTGTATTTTTAGTAGAGACAGGGTTTTGCCATGTTGGCCAGCCTGGTCTTGGACTCCTGACCTCAGGTGACCCACCTGTCTCAGCCTCCTGAAGTGCTGGGATTACAGGTGTGAGCCACCGCGCCCAGCCATTTTTTTGTGTTTTTAGTAGAGTTGGGGGTTTCACCATCTTGGCCGGCTGGTCTCGAACTCCTGACCTCAGGTGATCCAGCTGCCTCGGCCTCCCAAAGTGCTGGGATTACAGGTGTGAGCCACCGTGCCCAGCTGGCAGTCAAATCTTAAAGCTCCAAAATGACCTTTGACTCCATGTCTCACATCCAGGTTGTGCTGATGCAAGAGGTGGGTTCCCATGGCCTTGGAGAGCTCCACCTGTGTGGCTTTGCAGCATATATAGCCACCCCCCCCCGGCTCCTTTCACAGACTGGCATTGAGTGTCTGTGGCTCTTCCCGGTGCACAGTGCAAGCTGTCAGTGGATCTACCATTCTGGGGTCTGGCGAACAGTGGCCTTCTTCTCACAGCTCCACTAGGCAGTGCCTCAGTGGGGACTCTGTGTGTGGGTTCCCACCCCACATTTCCCTTCTGCACTGCCCTAGCAGAGGTTTTCCATGAGGGCTCCACCCCTATAGCACACCTCTGCCTGGACATCCAGGCATTTCCATACATCTTCTGAAATCTAGGCAGAGGTTCCCAAACCTCGGTTCTTGACTTGTGTGCACCTGCAGGCCCAACACCATGTGGAAGCTGCCAAGGCTTAGGACTTTCACCCCCTGAAGCCATTTCCCGAGCTGTACCTTGGCCCCTTTAGCCACGACTGGAGTGGCTGGGATGCAGGGCACCAAGTCCAGAGGCTGCACACAGCAGGAGGGGGCCCTGGCCCTGGTCCAGGAAACTATGTTTCCCTCCTAGGACTGTGATGGGAGGAGCTGCTTGGAAGGTTTCTGACATGCTTTGGAGACATTTTCTCCATTGTTTTGGCAATTAGCATTTGGCTTCTTGTTACTGGTGCAAATTTCTGTATCAGGCTTGAATTTCTCCCTAGAAAATGGAGTTTTCTTTTCTACTGCATCATCAGACTGCACATTTTTCAAACTTTTATGCTTTGCTTCCTCTTGAAGCTTTGTTGCTCAGAGATTTCTTCTGCCAGATACCCTAAATCATCTGTCTCAGGTTTAAAGTTCCACAGATCTCTAGGGCAGGGGCAAAACGCCACCAGTCTCTTTGCTAAAACATAGCAAGAGTCACCTTTGTTCCAGTTCCCAATAAGTTCCTTATCTCCATCTGAGACCACCTCAACTTGGACTTTATCGCCCATATCACTGTCAGCATTTTGGTCAAAACCATTCAATAAGTCTCTAGGAAGTTCCAGACTCTCCCACATTTTTCCTGTTGTTTCCTGAGCCTTCCACACTGTTCCAACTTCTGCCTGTTTGTTACCCATTTCCAAAGTTGCTTCACATTTTCGGGTATGTTTAAGCAGTGCCCCACTCCCAGTACCAATTTTCTGTATGAGAACAGTATGGGGGAAATCACCCCCATGATTTGTTTCCACCTGGCCCCGCCCTTGACACATGGGGATTATTACAATTCAAGGTGAGATTTGGGTTGGGACACAGCCAAACCATATTTGCACAATGTTTTCAAGATTCATCTATGTTATAGCATAAATAATCTTCCTATCACCAGTGTACAGAGGTTCTGATTTCTCCATATTCTTACCAACATTTGTTTTCTGTTTTTTTAATATTAACCATCCTAAAGGTTGTGAAGTGGTGCCTTATTGTGGTAGCTTATTTCTTTTTATTGTTGAATAATATGCCGTTGTATGAATATACCATAGTTTGTTTATCGAGTCACCTTTCAAGAACATCTCAGTTCCTTCCAAATTTTGGCAATTATGAATAAACGTTTGTGTGTAGGTTTTTGTGTGTATGTAAGTTTTTAACTCATTTGGGTTAATACCAGGGAGCACAGCTGCTGGGTCGTATGGTGAAAAGAATATATTTTGTTTTATAAGGAATTGCTAAACTGTCTTATGAAGTGATTATGTCATTTTGCTTCCTGCCAACAATATGTAAGAGTTTCTCCATCTCTTTGCCAACATAGCTATTCTAGGGGATGTGCTGTAATCTCATTGAGTGTATCTCATTGTGGTTTTATTTTTAATTTTAATTTTTAAATGTATTTTTATTTTTTATTTTTTTAAATTTTTTGAGTACATAGTAGGTGTATATATATATTTATGGGGTACATAAGATGTTTTAATACAGGCATGCAATGACAAATAAACACATCATAGGGAATGGGGTATCCGTCCCCTCAACATTTATCCTTTGAATTACAAACAATTCAGTTACTCTTTAAGTTATTTTAAAATGTACAATTAATGGGCTGTTGAATAGTAGGTCTTAGTCATTATTTATTTATTTATTTATTTTAACCCATTAACCATCCCCACCTCCTGCTGTCCCCAGACCCCCATTACCCTTCTTAGTTCTGGTAACCATCCTTATATTCTCTGTGTCCATGAGTTCAGTTGTTTCTTTACATCTCAGAAATAAGTGAGAATATGCAATGTTTGTCTTTCTGTGCCTGGCTTATTTAACTTAACACAATGACTTCCAGTTCTATCCATGTTGTTGCAAATGACAGGACCTCATTCTTTTTTTTTTTTTTTTTTTTTAAGACAGGGTCTTGCTTTGTAGCACAGGCTGGAGTGCAGTGGCATGACCTCAGCTCACTGAAACCTTTGCCTCCCGGGTCCCGGTTCAAACAATTCTCCTGCCTCAGCCTCCTGAGTAGCTGGGTTTACAGGCATGCGCCACCATGCCCAGCTAATTTTTGTATATTTAGTAGAGACGGGGTTTCACCAGTTGGCCAGGCTGGTCTTGAACTCCTGACCTAGTGATCCTCCTGCCTCAGCCTCCCAAAGTGCTGGGATTACAGGTGATCTCATTGTTTTTATGCCTGAATAGTACTCCGTTGTCTATATGTACCACATTTTCTTTATCCATTCATCTGTTCATGGACACTTAGGTTGCTTCCAAACCTTGGCTGTTGTAAACAGTGTGCAGCAAACATAGGAGTGCAGATAGCTCTTTGATATACTGATTCCTTTTTTTGGGTATATACCTAGCAGTGGGATTGCTGGATCATATGGTAGCTCAATTTTTAGTTAGTTTCCCCCCCAACCCCACCAGGGTGGAGTGCAATGGCACAGTCTTGGCTCACTGCAACCTACGCCTCCTGGGTTCAAGCGATTCTCCTGCCTAAGCCTCCTGAGTAGTTGGGATTACAGGTGCCCACCACTACGCCTGGCTAATTTTTGTATTTTTAGTACAGATGGGTTTCGCCATGTTGGTCAGGCTAGTCTCGAACTCCTGACCTCATGTGATCTGCCCGCCTTGGCCTCCCAAAGTGCTGGAATTACAGGCGTGAGCCACCGCACTTGGCCTACTTGAGTTTTTTTAAATTGAGTTGTAAGAAGTCTTTGTTGTTATTGTTGTTTTTGAGACAGAGTCTATCTCTGTTGCCCAGGCTGGAATATAGTGGTGTGGTCTCAGCTCACTGCAACCTCAGCCTCCCAGGTTCAAGCGATTCTCCTGCCCCCACCTCCTGAGTAGCCGGGATTATGGGTGTCTGCCACCATACCTGGCTAATTTTTGTATTTTTAGTAGAGACGGAGTTTTACCATGTTGGCGAGGCTGGTCTGGAACTCCTGACCTCTAGTGATCTGCCCGCCTTGGCCTCCCAAAGTGTTGGGATTACAGGCGTGAGCCACCGCGGGCAGTTGTAAGAATTCTTTATATGTTTTGGTCACCAGATTCTTATCAGATACATGATTGCTAGATATTTTCATTCATGCTATAGTTTGTCTTTTTACTTACTTTCTTGGCAGTATCCTTTGACATACAAACATTTTTAATTTTGGTGAATTCCAGTTTGTCTTTTTTTTTTTTTTTTTTTTTGAGAGCATGAGGAAGGGCTTGTAGTTGCCTATTCTTTTTTTTTTTTGAGACAGTCTCGCTCTGTCGCCCAGGCTGGAGTGCAGTGGCACTATCTTGGCTCATTGTAACCTCCGTCTCCCAGCTTCAAGCAATTCTTCCACCTCACCCTCCCAAGTAGCTGGGATTACAGGCGCACACCACGATGCCAGGCTAATTTTTTGTGTTTTTAGTAGAGATGGGGGTCTCACCATGTTGGCCAGACTGGTCTTGAACTCCTGACCTCAGATGATTTGCCCACCTCAGCCTCCCAAAGTGCTGGGATTACAGGCGTGAGCCACCGTGCCCTACCTGTCTTAACGTTTTTTTATTATGCTTTGAGTGTCTTATCTAAGAAACCATTGGCTAATACAAGGTCATGTACATTTTCACCTGTGTTTCCTTCTGAGAATTTTATAGTTTTAGCTTTTAAATTTAGGTCTTTGATCTGTGTTTTTTTTTTTTTCTCCTGAGATGGAGTCTCGCTCTGTCGCCCAGGCTGGAGTGCAGTGGTGCTGTCTCAGCTCACTGCAACCTCCACCTTCCTGGGTTCAAGCAATTCTCCTGCCTCAGCCTCCCAAGTAGCTGGGATTACAGGCATGCACCACAGGCGTGCACCACGATGCCTGGCTAATTTTTGTATTTTTAGTAGAGATGGGGTTTCACCATGTTGGCCAGGCTGGTCTCGAACTCCTGACCTCGTGATCCACCTGCCTTGGCCTCCCAAAGTGCTGGGATTACAGACGTGAGCCACTGCGCTTGGCCTGATCTGTTTTGAGTTAATTTTTACATATGGTTTGAAGTAGGGATTCAGATAAGTTCTTCTGCATAGTACTGTGGTTTCAGTGTCCCCTCAAATTCATATTGTAACTTAGCTCCCAATGTGGCAGTATTAGGAGATGAGGGCTTTTAGAGGTAATTGCATCTTGAGCACGTTGTCCTTGTCTTAGTTCATTTATATTGCTATAAAGGTACACCCGAGGCTGGGTAATTTATAAAGAAAAGAAGTTTATTTGGCTCCTGTTTCTTTCTTTTTTTTTTTTTTTTTTTTGAGACGGAGTCTCGCTCTGTCGCCCAGGCTGGAGTGCAGTGGTGCGATCTCAGCTCACTGCAAGCTCCGCCTCCCAGGTTCACGCCTTTCTCCTGCCTCAGCCTCCTGAGTAGCTGGGACTACAGGTGCTTGCCACCACACCCGGCTAGTTTTTTGTATTTTTAGTAGAGACGGGGTTTCACCATGTTAGCCAGGATGGTCTCAATCTCCTGACCTCGTGATCTGCCCGCCTCGGCCTCCCACAGTGCTGGGATTACAGGCGTGAGCCACCGCACCTGGCCTGGCTCTTGGTTCTTCAGGCTGTTTAAGAAGCATGGCACTGGCGTCTGCATCTGGTGAGGGCCTCAAACTGCTTCCACTCATGGTGAAAAGGGGAAGCTCATGTGTGCAGAGATCACATGACAAGAACAGAGGCCAGTGAGAATAGGAAGGGAGGTGCCATGCTCTTTTTAACAACTAGTTCTGGCAGAAAGGAACTGAGCAAGAACTCACTGAGAACCTTGAAGATGGTACCAGGTCATCCATGAGGGATGCACTCCCGTGACCCAAACACCTCCCATTAATCCCCACTTCCAGCATTTGGGATCAACTCTCAACATGAGATTTGGAGGGTTTAAACAAAGCAAAATATAGTAGCCGTTACAAATGGATTAATCCATTCGTGGGTTAATGGATTAATGAGTTATGTGAGTGGAACCAGTGGCTTTATTAGAAGAGGAAGAGAGACCTGGAGCTCACACATTAGCATGCTCAGCCCCCTCGCCATGTAATACTCTGTGCTGCCTCGGGACTCTGTTTGAGGTCAAAGGCAGCCCCTCAACCTTGGACTTCTCAGCCTCCAGAACTGTGAGAAATAAATTCCTTTTCTTTATAAACTATCCAGTTTCAGGTATTCTTTCATAAACAAAAGAAAATGGACTAATACACATGGGGATCTCTTGTTGTTGTCTCAGCACCATTTGTTGAAAAGTTATTCTTTCTCCCATTGGTTGACCTTGGTACCTTTCTCAAAAATCAATTGACCATATATGTATGGATTTATTTTTCCCTTCTCAATTCAATTCCATTGGTCTGTATACCTGTTGTTATACCATACTATTTTTATTGCTGTAGCTTTGTAGTAAATTTTGAAATTATGAAGTGTGAGCCCTTCAACTTTGTTCTTCCTTTTCCAAGATTGCTTTGACTATTCTGTGTCTCTTGCATTTCCATATTAATTTTAGGATTGGCTTGTCTATTTCTGGAAAAAACAGAGTTGGAATTTTGATGGGGATTACATTAATGTGTAGATCAATTTGGGGAGTCCTGCTATCTCAAATCAGCTTTTTTTTTTTTTTTTTTAAGACAGAGTTTCGCTCTTGTTGCCCAGGTTGGAGTGCAATGGCGTGATCTTGGCTCACCGCAACCTCTGCCTCCCAGGTTCAAGTGATTCTCCTGCCTCAGCCTCCCAAGTAGCTGGGATTACAGGCATGCGCCATCATGCCTGGCTTATTTTGTGTTCTTAGTAGAGATGGGGTTTCTCCATGTTGGTCAGGCTGGTCTCAAGCCCCCGACCTCGGCTGCTTCGGCCTCCCAAAGTGCTGGGATTACAGGCATGAGCCACTGCGCCCGGCTTACATCAGCTTTTCAAGGCAGATTTGTATAACCCAATTTGAAATTGAGCCATAATATATTATTTCCAGAGATGTGTACTGTTTCATTCTTATCTTAGCTTTTCTATCAGGAACAGAAGATGGTTGATCTCGACCACTGTGAAGCCAGACCTTGGGTGGTGCATGGTGGAATTCTGCATTCTTTTCCCTCAGATCTGTCCTCCATCAGTCTGTCTCCCAATCTGCAAGATGCTTAGGGGGTATGATAACGCTAGAACCTGAAAACTGCAATCATGATTGGCTGTCTGGAATTTGGTTGTTTAAAACAAAACAAAAGACTGGGCATAGTGGCTCACACCTGTAATGCCAGCACTTTGGGAGGCCGAGGTGGGCAGATCATGAGGTCAAGAGATCGAGACCATCCTGGCTAACATGGTGAAACCCTGTCTCTATTAAAAATACAAAAAATTGGCCGGGCACGGTGGTTCACACCTGTAATGCCAACACTTTGGGAGGCCGAGGTGGGTAGATCATGAGGTCAAGAGATCGAGACCATCCTGGCTAAGACGGTGAAACCCCTTCTCTACTAAAAATACAAAAAATTAGGTGGGTGTGATGGTGGGTGCCTGTAGTCCCAGCTACTGGGAAGGCCGAGGCAGGAGAATGGCGTGTACCCGGGAGACAGAGCTTGCAGTGAGCCAAGATCACGCCACTGCACTCCAGCCTGGGTGACAGAGCGAGACTCCATCTCAAAAAAAAAAAAAAAAAAAAAAAATTAGCCAGGAGTTGTGGCGGGCGCCTGTAGTCCCAGCTACTCAGGAGGCTGAGGCAGGGGAATCGCTTGAACCTGGGCAGCAGAGGTTGAAGTGAGTTGAGATCGCGCCATGCACTCCATTCTGGGCAACAGAGTGAGGCTACATCTCAAAAAAAAAAAAAAATCTTGCTCCTTTATTTATTTATTTTTTTTGTAGAGACATTTGTTTCGCCATGTTCCTCAGGCTGGTCTCAAACTTCTGAGCTCAGGCGATCTTTATGCCTTAGCCTCCCAAAGTGCCACTCTGCCCCAAACATCTGTTTTCTTTTTCAGACAGAGTCTCACACTCTTTCCCAGGCTGGAGTGGAGTGCAGTGGTGCAATCTCTGCTCACTGCAACCTCTGCCTTCTGGGTTCAAGCAATTCTCATGCCTCAGCCTCCTGAGTAGCTGGGATTAAAGGAGCGCGCCATCACGCCCAGCCAATTTTTGTATTTTTAGTAGAGATGTCATTTCACCATGTTGGCCAGGCTGGTGTCAAACTCCTGACCTCAGGTGATCCGCTCGCCTTGGCCTCCCAGAATGCTGGGATTACAGGCATGAGCCACTGTGCCCGGCCAACATCTGGTTTCTTAATTGCTGGTCCAGTAAGGTATATTTTGAGGTATTTGTTTTTGCTATTTAATGAACAATTGAACCATTCTGTCTATATGTTCAATGGACCTTTTTGATTTGATTGTAATTATTTGGACTGCCTAGAGTGTTATCGCAAGGCTAATTGCCTGAATACTTGCTAAAACAAAGATCATGGAGCTCTACCCTAGACCTACAGGACCAGATACTGCATGCTAGGACTTGGGAATCTATAATTTAATGTGTTTTATAGGTAATTTAAATGTGTTTCCAGTTTGGGGAACCATAGATTTCGAAAGTATTTTGCTCTGGGAGCTCTAGTCCATTCAACTTGGCTAAACTTGTTAATCTTCTATTCACTTTGATAGCTCTGAATGAATTTTAGGGCTGGAATATAATGATTACTGACTCACTTGACTTCATTTGAAACAAGTGGGTGGGACTTAGTGTGCTAAAGTCTGTTTATCTTTGAAATATTTGTATCTTGGTTTATAGTCCAGAATTTATGCAGCATTGGCCCCACTGCGTAGCTCTGTGCTTTAGAAAAACTAGGTGGAGAGGATTAATTAAATGCAAATCACTGAATCTCTCTGTGTCACTGGTCAGCTAAATAAATAGCCTTTGTGTCCTAACAGCAGCAGACATTTTCTGGTTTAGGTTTTCCACATGGTTTATTATGAAGTATGACAACTTGTCATGTGTAATCAGCATCACATTAGTCTCAAGAGAATAAGCTCTCCTTTAATCAGCTGCTTTTCTTTAATCTGGTGGGGTGAGGCATATGGTAACCATGACATTTTTGTCATTTGCTTTGTGGGATGGTGGTGGTATTGATGGTGGTGTGATTGGATGTGTGTGGGTGTATGTATGTTTTGGGTATGTAGATTTTCCAAAAAGGGGCAGATGACAGATGGCAGATAAAGCATTCATGTATTCCTTGTCACTGTGCGTCAAAAATTATAGTCGTATGTCCTGGGAGTCAATAATAATTCTATTTACCAGAATATGTAGTTTCTAATGTTATTTCTCTGTTATTTATTAGAACTTGGGCTAGTCATTAAATTCTCTGAAGTCTCATATTCTTTATGTAATGAGGATAGACTTGACAGCCTTTACAGACTATAAACCTGTAAAGTTCTATGATTCAGTCACTGATTAAACTCTCATAAGTATGCAAGTAATAGTGGAGGTCTTATTCTTTCCATTCCTAGTTCTCAGTATCTCCATCGTGACTCATCGCCATAAATAAATGCTCTATTTATCTTCCTATCTATGCAGTTGGTCTGTTGTCATATTTGCCTGATGCAATATGACTTCTCATTTTCTTTTCTTTCTTTTTTTTTTTTTTTTTTGAGACAGAGCCTCACTCCGTCACTGTCACCCAGGCTGGAGTGCAGTGGTGCGATCTCGGCTCACTGCAAGCTCTGCCTCCCAGATTCATGCCATTCACCTGCCTCAGGCTCCTGAGTAGCTGGAACTACAGTCGCCCACTACCATGCCTGGCAATTTTTTTTTTTTTTTTTGTATTTTTAGTAGAGATGGGGTTTCACTGTGTTAGCCAGACTGGTCTCGATCTCCTGACCTCGTGATCCGCCTGCCTCGGCCTCCCAAAGTGCTGGGATTACAGGCATGAGCCACTGCGCCCGGCCTTATTTCTTTTACCTTTTGTCATTTGAGCTGTCCTCAAAATATACTGATAACTTTGTATTTTTTATTTATTTGTATTTTTAAGCTACACCTGCTGGAATGGGAACTTTGTATTTTTTTAATTCCTTTGAATTTATTTATAATTCTTATTTTATTGTGTTTTTTTAAGTGTCTCCTCTCCCTAGCGAGGTTGCCATGTATACATAGAGAATACAGTGAGCTTTTCATCTGTACATATAAATCTTTACGTTGTAACTCTAAGTTTTTATCATAGTAGATAGTGGTAGCTGTCAAGTATTTGAATATTTTTTTAGTCCATATTTCACACAAGTCTAGGACAAAGGAAGTATATCCCAAAGTGTTTGTAATCTGTTTAGAATGATGATAATAAAGTACAAAATCATCAAACAGCATAGGATAGTGTATTTTTAAGTGTTAAACTTTGTGACACAGACTAAATGTATAAATGTTTAAGGTCAGTGATAGACCTGTAAACATAATAGTCAGTGAAGACATTTTGAAGTAGAGAGTTACATTGGTTTTTCAAGGATAGACAGAATTTGAATTATCAGGAAACAGAAGGACAGTTTATGTTGAGCAAAAATGTAGAATAATATGTTTGAGGTTTTTGTTTGTTTTGTTTTTTAGAGATAGGTTCTTGCTGGCGGGGCACAGTGGCTTACGCACTTTGGGAGGCTGAGGCGGGCGGATCACAAGGTCAGGAGTTCAAGACCAGCCTGGCCAACATAGTGAAACCCTGTCTCTACTAAAAATATAGGAAATTAGCCAGGCATGGTTCCGGGCGCCTGTAATCCCAGCTACTAGGGAGGCTGAGGTGGGAAAATCATTTGAACCCAGGAGGCGGAGGTTGCAGTGAGTAGAGATCGTGCCACTGCACTCCAGCCTGGGCAACCGTGTGAGACTCTGTCTCAAAAAAAAAAAAAAAAAGAAAGAAAGAAATGAGTTCTTGCTATGTTGCCCAGGCTGGAGTGCAGTGGCTACTCACAGGCATGATTATAGCACACTATGGCCTCAAACTCCTGAGCTCAAGGGGTCTTCCTGCCTAGGCCTCCCAAGTAGCTGGGACTGTAACATGCTACTGCATCTGGCTTGTTTTGTTAGATAGTGAGAAATTGGCAGTGAGTTCATACTGGATGCAAATAGTAATACTTTTTTAAAAAATTCCTTACCACATATAATTTAATGTGGCTTATGATGCATAATGGAAAAATCCAAATAGTAAATAAAAAAATCAGGAGTAGGAAAATTGTACATGTCTATAGTAGGAATAACAGATCATAGATAGGTAAGTAGTCTGTGAGATCCTCTACAATTATACTAGTGCTGAGCTGTGAATTTGGTTCTTGGGAAAGCCAAATACATACATACATACATATGTATACACACACACACACACATATATATACTATAAAACAGAGGGTATATTTAGTTCCAGGAATCTTTTACCCCTATAATTTAGAAGCTATACTAGTTCCTTTTGGTTGGAAAATAGTTTTTTAAAAGATTTCTTTTTTCCCACTAAGAGCTTTATAACATAGGACACAGAAATGCAGTAGAAAATGTTGTCAATATCGGCCAGACGCGGTGGCTCACTCCTGTAATCCCAGCACTTTGGGAGACCAGGGTGGGCAAATCATGAGGTCTACAATTCAAACCTTGTAGAAAAATGGATCCAATAGGTTATATTATCTGCAAGAAGTCTAAAACGTGTAGGTGTTCTGAGTTTCTGATTAAGGGGAGGTCAAGAGTAGAATGATAGATATTAAGTTAGAAATGTTTTTGTGGAATAGAGGGCTAACTTTTTTCAGCCTGGTTGTTATTTCTGTTTCTGTCATTGAAGTATGTTTGAAGGAGTGTTAGTAGCTACAAGAAGGATTGATTTCTCTTAAAAGCACGTTCATTCACTGTAGCTTATGACAGTGATTGATCAAAATTCTTACATTGTTGAGTATGACAGAGATTACCTTAGCCTGGAAAAAAATTGAAGGCAAGTCCATTAGAGGCAAGCCACCCTTGGAAACAGGTTGCAGAACATCTGGTATTCAGGAATACAGCTTTTTAGTAAAACTTCCCCAATCAATTTGTTGTGCAATGTCCAACAAATTTAAGCAACACATATTAAGCCATTCTCTCTAGCAGCAATTGAAGAGCAAGAATAACTGCCTGTCAAGATTTCTCCTAGTTTGTGTTAAAACAGCCTTATTTTATATTACATGGCATTATCTAAACTGACAGAGGTTGTCCTGCTATTCCTACCTTTCACAGTGTGGAAAGCAGGTTCTGTATAAGCATCTTTGATTAAAAATCTGTGATGAGCTAATTTCTGTTCACAGAGATAAGGGGCCAGGAAAGATAATTATCTAATAATACAATTTTAGAGCATGAAAAGAATTGGTGAGTGGGAGCACCTGTCGATTGGGCATTTATCTCATTACTCTTCACAACTACCCTTTGTGGTGGGTATTATTTTCCCATTTTATATAAGAGGAGAGACGGTGGCTCACGCCTGTAATCCCAGCACTTCGGGAGGCTGAGGCAGGCGGATCACTTCAGGTCAGGAGTTCGAGACCAGCCTGGCCAACATGGCAGAACCCTATCTCTACTAAAAACAAAAAAAAATAGGCAGGTGTGGTGGCACACGCCTGTACTCCCAGCTACTTGGGAGGCTGAGGTGGGAGAATTGCTTGAACCCAGGAGGTGGAGGTTGCAGTGAGCCGAGACTGCACCACTGCACTCCAGCCTGGGTGACAGAGCGAGACTCTGTCTCAATTAAAAAAATAATCATAAAGAGGAGAGGGTCAAGAAGATTATTTTCCTTGCCCAAGTGAAGAGTTAGAAGGCCTGACTCCAAAGCTTATCAACCACTTTACGGCTGTTTTCCAGGAAGCTGGAAGGGAAAGAGAGAATTTTATTGCAAGAAATAGCATGGGCCGTGAATTAATTTCTGAGCTTGTGTTTGATTTCACTTAATAATGTCATGATGTATTCTGGAGATCACTGTATCTTGTGCAGTTATATTAATCAGTGCTGTTGCAGAGCCATCTAACACTACAAATTACTTCTAAAGGGAAAACCTGTTATAATTATAAACAGTAATGGAGATTTAGTAGAAGCTTATCTGTAAAGGTAGACTTTTATGCTTTATGAGAATTTATAAAGATTAGGATAAATTGGCATAGGATCTTTCTAGGATAAATTGGCCTCAAATTTTTGCATAATAGATTGTTTTATGTAACATTTTCAAGTTTTTATGAATGTAGTTTATCAAAGTTATTTACTTAGGCAGAAGTAAGTGAAATGTCATTAAGCAAAGTATATGCTATTGGTGACATTGAGGAGATCCTTTGTGTTACATTTCAACTTTTAAGGATTCTGGCACTTAGGGAGGCAGAGGCAGGAGGATGGCTTGAGCCCAGGAGTTTGAGACCTGCCTAGGCAATATAGTGAGACCCTATTCTCAAAAAATAAAAAAATAAAAAAATAAAAGGATTTGAATTTTATTTTGGTTAGTCTCATCTCATAAGGAAAGTGTTTTATGTCGCTTAAAGCCATGTTATTTTTGTCAGCTTTAAAAGTAGAAAATGAATCAGAATCTGTGATACGTAAAAATGTTTAACCTTTTGTTTTTTAAAGGTATTTTAAATACCTGTGGATGATAGAATAATCAAGTTTCTTGACCTTAATAGAATTAATTAATTCAAAGCCCATCTGAGAATTTGGGATTCTTTAATTTGGTTGCAAAAAATGAAAACATAGGCAGAGCCTGGTGGCTCATGCCTGTAATCCCAGCGTGAGGGAGGCCAAGGTGGGCGGCCTGCTTGAGCCCAGGAATTTGAGACCAGCCTGGCCAACAAGGCAAAACTTTGTCTCTACCAAAAAAAAGAAAAACCCCACACAGCTGGGCGCGGTGGCTCACACCTGTAATCCCAGCACTTTGGGAGTCTGAGGCAGGTGGATCATGAGGTCAGGAGATCGAGACCATCCTGGCCAACATGGTGAAACCCTGTCTCTACCAAAAATACAAAAATTAGCTGGGTGTGGTGGTGTGCACCTGTAGTTCTAGCTACTCAGGAGGCTGAGGCAGGAGAATCACTTGAACCCAGGAGGCAGAGGTTGCAGTGAGGCGAGATCGCGCCATTGCATGATCTGGCGACAGAGCGAGACTCTGTCTCAAAAAAAAAACAAAAAAACCCCACAAAAATTAGCTGGGCATGGTGGTGTGTACCTGTAGTGCCAGCTACTTGAGAGGCTGAGGTGGGAAGATCGCTTGAGCCTAAGAGGTTGAGGCTCTTGTGAGCCATGATAGTGCCACTGCACTCCAGCCTGGGCAACAGGGTGAGACCCTGTCTAGAAACATAAAATATATAGAAGTGCTGAAGTGCAGTGGTGCAGTCATGGCTCACAGCAGCCTCGACCTCCCAGGCTCAAGTGATCTTCACACATCAGGCTCCCGAGTATCTTGGACGATGGGAACATGCCACTGTGCTCAGCTAGTTTTTTTTATTTTTCGTAGAAACAAGGTCTAGCTATGTTGCGCAGGCTGTTCTTGAACTCCTAAACTTAAACAATCCTTCTGCCTCGGCCTCCCAAAGTGCTGAGATTACAGGCATGAGCACCACACCCAACTGAAGTGAAGATTAAATAAGGGGACATGAAAGTCCCTGTCAGAAGACAGTATCACCGATATAGACAGCCTTTCTGCTCTCTGTTAACTATTTAATCATGTCAGAAATGTTTCTGAGATCTTTCATTCCTAGCCACCCAACCAGAAGATGACGAGAGCACAGCCTGGATTAACGATTTTGTAGTCAGACTCACCAGAGTTCCAATTATAACTTCTTTATGGTAGTGGTAGAACCTATCCAAGCTTCAGTTTCCTCATCTTCAAATGGAACTATTATTTCATCCCTCATAAGGTTGACTTGGAAATTAAATGAAATAACACATAGGAAATGTTTACTACCGTGCCTGTTAAGTAACAGGTACTTTGTAAATGCTTGCTGTTGTCCTGCCCTTCCTGAACTTCCCCAGTCTATATAAATAGTTTCATGTGCTGGACAAATCTTACTCATTTTTGTGCTGCGTAGATGCTTCAGGACATACCTGATAAATAGCAGGTAGTCAATGTTTCTTCAGTGGATAAATGAATAGTAGGTAGACCTGCAACTTAGTGGCCCAGTTCATGCTGCTTTTTGTTAGCTTGTTTGGTTTTTCTGCTGAAATTCTTGCATGGTGGAGTATAGTTGATTGCAGGGCCCTTCCCCCACACCCAGGTAGGGGCTTCATTGTCCCCACAAGTTACTTATCTCAAGTCTTTAGGGAAATGAAAAACCACTCTCCTCTAACAGAAGGTTAGTTGCTAAGTATACAATTCAGCATCCTCTGGGTGTTCAGGTAAGTCTGAATTTAAGTTCCAGAAATGAGTGAGATTCCTAGGATGACTCTGAATTATCTTGACTTCCCTGAATGCTTCTGGCTAAAAACCAAGCTGGGATTATTGATGTGATTGTGAATCTGGCCCATGTCCTGGGAATGTGGATTCTGCTGCATATGTCAATTGGTTTGGCTCTTTTTTTTTTTTTTTTTTTTTTTTGAGACAGTTTCACCCTTGTGGCCCAGGCTGGAGTGCAATGGTGCGATCTCTGCTCACCACAGCCTCCAACTCCTGGGTTCAAGTGATTCTCCCACCTCAGCCTACCGAGTAGCTGTGATTACAGGCGCCTGCCACCATGCCTAGCAAATTTTTGTATTTTTAGTAGAGACGGGATTTCACCATGTTGGCCAGGCTGGTCTTGAACTCCTGACCTCAGGTGATCCGCCCGCCTTGGCCTCCTGAAGTGCTGGGATTACAGGCGTGAGCCACTGTGCCTGGCTGGTTTGGCTCTTTTTATCCTAAATTTTTTGTTTAAATGTTCTGTAGTACTGAAATCACCTGAAAGTAGAAGAAAAAAAAATTATTCAAGAAAGAATATTTTTGCAATGTAGGGAGAGCTTGAGCTTTTTATATAAGCTTTTAAAGCTTTAAAAGGAACTGTGCTGTTTTACCCCCAAATTTGCCCACTTTGAATTCAGGAGAAACGTTTTGGTCTCCTTTATGTTCTAGTCTCTGGATACAAATGTTTTCTTTGTTCGTTTTTTCCCCTTATTACCAACCACAGGTTCTTAGGCTCCTGTGTAATAGAAATTGACACAAGGCCAAGCAAGTTTCCCAGACAAGGCTATATTAAGACTTATGGGCCAGGCACGGTGGCTCACGCCTGTAATCCCAGCACTTTGGGAGGCTGGGGCGGGCGGATTACCTGAGGTCAGGAGTTCGAGATCAGCCTGGCCAACATGATGAAGCACCATCTCTACTAAAAATACAAAAAATTAGCCGGGCGTGTTGGCAGGCACTTGTAATTCCAGCTACTCGGGAGGGTGAGGCAGGAGAATTGCTTGAACCCCGGGGGGCGGAGGTTGCAGTCAGCCGAGATTGTGCTATTGCACTCCAGCCTGGGCAGCAAGGGCGTAACTCTCTCTCAAAAAAAAAAAAAAGCTGGGCACGGTGGCTCACGCCTGTAATCCCAACACTTTGGGAGGCCGAGGTGGGCGCATCACGAGGTCAGGAGATCAAGACCATCCTGGCTAACACGGTGAAACCCCATCTCTACTAAAAATACAAAAAATTAGCGGGGAATGGTGTCGGGCGCCTTAGTCCCAGCTACTCGGGAGGTTGAGGCAGGAGAATGGCATGAACCTGGGAGGTGGAGCTTGCAGTGAGCCGAGATCAAGCCACTGCACTGCACTCCAGCCTGGGAGAGAGCGAGACTCTGTCTCAAAAAAAAAAAAAAAAAAAAAAAAAAAAAAGAAAAAAAGACTCATACCTAGAAAGGTTGGACATAAGGGAGACAGCACAGGAGGAAGGGTTCTCCAGCTGGCTCTCCGAGGGGAGTGCATTGCGGTGTCTTAAGGAGGGTGGCATGCATGATTCACGAGGTAAGTGAGCATCACTACGTGTGTGGGGTGGAGTGCAGACACGGTAAGGAATCGTGCTAACACATGATCAGAAAGTGGCAGATAAGCGTCTTTCTGGGTGGTGATTTTAGTATTATAATGAGGCTGGTGATTAGGATTGGTCATTGTCCTTGAGCTCGTGTGAGTGGTAGAGCTCACTCCCTTGAGTAAGATTTATGGCAGGCTGCTGCCTATAGTTTCTTCATACCATACCTGCGAGGTCTGGTCAGCAGGTATGGTGCCAGTTGGGATGGCGCTGTAGGGTGTGGCGGTCACTGAGAACGTATGGAAAAACACATTAGTGGGGTGGGGCCAAGTCCCATTTCCTACTCTGTCGCACCTCCATGCCCCGCGATTACTCGTCTTGATCTGTCTCCTGGAGCCTTTTAGTGGTTGGTGATCATTGGCCCTGCTCATTAAGTCAGGTTACCCAATAGTACAAAACTGTAGTACATTAGCCAAATGAAAGAGGACTATATTATGCAGTGGGTGTGAGTATGTGAATTCAGGGACGGGGAAAGAAGGAGAATTAGATGGGCTGGGCGCAGTGGCTCACACCTGTAATCCCAGCACTTTGGGAGGCCGAGGCAGGTGGATCACGGGGCCAGGAGATCGAGACCATCCTGGCTAACACGCTGAAACCCTGTCTCTACTAAAAATACAAAAAATTAGGCGGGTGTGGTGGCGGGCGCCTGTAGTCCCAGCTACTTGGGAGCAGGAGAATGGCGTGAACCTGGGAGGCGGAGCTTACAGTGAGCAGAGCTTGCGCCACTGTACTCCAGCCTGGGGGACAGAGCGAGACTCCGTCTGAAAAAAAAAAAAAGGAAAATTAGATGGTAATTAGTAAAGAGTTTAAACCAAGGCTTATAGAGGTCCTGAGAGGGTCCATGAATGCCCTAAAATTGCTTGCCAAACATTGTGGGAGGAGGGGCCATTATTTTATTGACATTCTCTTAAGAGCCTGAAATCTCAAAAAGCCCAAGAACAAGAACTGCTGTGCTGTGATCACTGTCATAGAGGCAGGCTTGGACTTTGGGGTGTTTGATTTAATATAGTCCATGCTTGCAAGAATGGCGAGAGGCGACATTGTGCAGGGGTTAGGGCCCAGACCCTGAAAGTTGACTGCCTGGGTTTGTATCTGAGCTCTGCTGTTGGTGCACCCTTGGTCACATTTCTTCCCTGTGTCTTGGTTTTTCACCTGCAAACTGAGGATAATAGTAATACCTATCTCAAAGGGTTGTTATGAGCATTTTATGAGCATATGTGTATATACACATACATACATACGTACGTACATGTACATACAAAGTGCTTAGTATAGTGCCCCCAGCACTTGATATTAGCCATTATTGTGTATTGTTATCACTAAAACTAACTTGGGTGAAATTGGACTGTCAAATGACAGAGGTACTGCTTTCAGGCTTCAGCAGTATCTTTTTTTGTACCTTAGTACTTGCAAAGATATATAATTATCTTGCTGTATTTAGAAAACTTAGTAGCAAAATAGAATTAACCAGTAATAAGCATGAGAGACTGGTGATGAGCATAACTCATAAATCTAATGTGATTGGTACAAAGAAATCGTTATGCCCACAGTGGTGGAATTTTAGCCTCAGTTGTGTGCTTTGTGGACTTAAGCAGCAGTCAACTAACTGTTGTGGGCAGGGTTGGGGGAAGAAAAGAAAGAAAATTACAAAGCATGTATAAAATGCTAGAAGTATATCATCTAAAAATGTGTCCAAAAGTGAGATACAATTAGGGATCTATATAATTTGAAGTGGGGGGAATGGACATCTCCCACCACCACTGAAATATTAATAGCATGAATTCTTTTTGTTTTTATCATATTCCATCTTCATACTTTTTAAAAAGGATACATTGTCTACAAAAAGAGAGGACTGGCCCGACTTATTGATACATCTTTCCCAACCTCCTCTTGAGTTAATGTGTTTCTGAAGATTCAGCTCAATTTCCCTGTTTCTGGCAGAAACATCTGGAAAGGTGGAGACTTACTCACTCTCAATCCATAGGCCCAAATATTTCTACTAAAGGTTGTTTTTGATTTTTGTTTTTTAATTATTGCAAAAAGGATTTCCTCCCGTCCCTAATTTTGATAATGAATTTTGATTTTGCATTTTTTGGCTTAACAAATTGCTATTGTAGGGCTGGGTGCAGTGGCTTACGCCTGAAATCCCAGCACTTTGGGAGGCCGAGGCAGGCGGATCACAAGGTCAGGAGTTCGAGACCAGCCTGGCCAACATAGTGAAACCTGTCTCTACTAAAAATACAAAAAAATTAGCCAGGCGTGGTGGCAGGCGCCTATAATCCCAGTTACTTGGGAGGCTGAGGCAGGAGAATCGCTTGAACCTAGGAGGCAGAGGTTGCAGTGAGCGGAGATCATGCCATTGCACTCCAGCCCCAGTGACAGTGCGAGACTCCGTCTCAAAAAAAAAAAAAAAAGTGCTATTATATTCTAATGGTTTCTCTCTCCCTCTTTCAATAATAACCTTTTTTGTTGCTTTCAGGGGTTCAACTAGATATAGCTTCACAATCTCTGGATCAAGAAATTTTATTAAAAGTTAAAACTGAAATTGAAGAAGAGCTAAAATCTCTGGACAAAGAAATTTCTGAAGGTCTGTTTATTCTTATTTTTCTAGTTAATAAGCAGATTGTGTTTGTTATGGTTTACTGTTGGTTTAATTTGATTTTTACAGTGGGGTATTCTCAACAGTTAACAACTTACACCAATTATACATTGGTAGAAGTTTATAAGGGTAAAACTAGAAGGTAGCCTTTTTTCTTTCCTGGAGGATATGTTGATGGAAGTTCCCCAACTATACCTAACAGGTTAGATGTAGCAGTTTCTCATGTTAAGTATCGGATAAATGATCATGTTAAGGTTCTTTCCATTCACTATGGTTTGATTTGTATTTAGTATTACCTTTATAAGTAATAACGACATAAAAAGGAAAAAGTAAGCATACGCTTTTATTTTTGCATACATATATACTATAGATAACTGTAATTATAATGTACATTCAACTTTATAGCCATTTTATTTTGCACTTAACATTACAACATAAACTTTAAAAATAGTTACTCTACTAACTGCGTGAAATTTCATTCACTGAATAAATGTTTTTACTCAGTCATTCCATTATTATTATTATTATTATTATTATTATTATTATTATTACTATTTCAGAGACAGGGTCTTGCTCTGTTGCCCAGGCTGGAGTGCAGTAGTGAGCACTGGGATTACAGGTGTAAGCCACCATGCCTGGCCTGTTCCCTTGTTATTGAGGGGAGCATTTGGATTATTATTCCTTTTTTCACTGGACGACGACTACACAGCATTTGCATTATTTCCGGTTTTGTCTTCCATAGGTAATGCTGCACTGAACATCTTACCCAATGATATAAATATATTTTTACAGCTTTATTGAGATATATTTTACATACCATAAAATTCACCCATTTAAAAGGTCCAGTTCAGTCTGGGCACAGGGACTCATGCCTGTAATTCTAGCACTGTGGGAGGCCAAGGCCTCAGGAGGGTTGCTTGAGCCCCTGAGTTCAAAACCACACTGGGCAACATAGGGAGACCATGTCTCTATTTATTAAATAAATAATAATAATAATAAAGTACAATTCAGTGGTTGTAGTGTATTCACAGAATTTATCACCATGATCTAAATTTAGAACACTTTCGGTTCTCCTTAAAGAAACACAATACACATTAGCAGCCACTTCCCATTCCCACTAGCCCCAGGCCCCAACCCCACCCCACACCAGGCACCCACTGATCTCCATTCTGTTTTTATTGATTTGCCTATTCTGGAAATATACATAAATAGAATAGTTCACTATGTGGTGGTGGTGGTGGTGTTTTGAGATGCAGTTTCGCTCTCATTGCCCAGGCTGGAGTGCAGTGGCACCATCTCGGCCCACCACAACCTCCATCTCCCAGGTTCAAATGATTCTCCTGTCTCAGCCTCCTGAGTAGCCAGGATTACAGGTATGTGCCACCAAACCTGGCTAATTTTTTGTATTTTTTTTTTTTTTGACAGAGTCTGGCTCTTTGCCCAGGCTGGAGTGCGGTGGCGGGATCTTGGCTCACTGCAAGCTCCGCCTCCTGGGTTCAGGCCATTCTCCTGCCTCAGCCTCCCGAGTAGCTGGGACTACAGGCGCCTGCCACCACACCCGACTAATTTTTTGTATTTTTAGTAGAGACGGGGTTTCAGCGTGTTAGCCAGGATGGTCTCGTTGATCTCCTGACCTTGTTTTCTGCCCGCCTTGGCCTCCCAAAGTGCTGGGATTACAGGCATGAGCCACCACGCCCGGCCTGTAATTTTTTGTACGTTTAATAGAGACAAGGTTTCTCCATGTTGCTCAGGCTGGTCTTGAACTCCTGACCTCAGGTGATCCGCCCACCTCGGTCTCCCAAAGTGCTGGGATTAAAGGCGTGATCCACTGCGCCTGGCCACTATGTGGTCTTTTGTGACTGGCATTTTTTACTTAGCATAATGTATTTTTGTTGTTGTTGCTGTTTTTTAAGACATCGCCTTGCTCTGTTGCACAGGCTGGCATGCAGTGGCATGATCTGGGCTCACTGCAACCTCCGACTTTAAGGTTCAAGCAATTCTCCAGCCTCAGCCTCTTGAATAGCTGGGATTACAGGTACCCACCACCACGCCCAGCTAATTTTTGTTTTTAGTAGAGACGGGGTTTCACCATATTGGCCAGGCTGGTCTCCAACTCCTGACCTCAAATGATCCACCTGTCTCGGCCTCCCAGAGTGCTGGGATTACAGGCGTGAACAACTGCACCTGGCCGACTTAGCATAATGTTTTCAAGGGTCATCCATGTTGTAGCATGTATCAGTACTTCATTACTTTTTACAGTCAAATAATATTCCACTGTGTGGATGTGTCATATTTTGTTTATTCATTCATTAGTTAATGGAAATTTAGGTTGTTTCTACTTGTTTACTATTATGTATAATGCTGCTGTGAATATTCTTGTGCAAGTTTTTGTGTGGACATATATTGCCCAATAATTTTTTCTTTTTCTTTTTTTTTTTTTTTTTTTTTTTTTTTTTGAGACAAAGTCTCGCTCTGTTGCCCAGGCTGGAGTGCAGTGGCGGGATCTCGACTCACTGCAAGCTCCGCCTCCCAGCTTCACGCCATTCTCCTGCCTCAGCCTCCTGAGTAGCTGGAGCTACAGTGCCCACCACCACACCCAGCTACTCTTTTGGTAATTTTTAGTAGAGACGGGGTTTCACCGTGTTAGCCAGGATGTTCTTGATCTCCTGACCTCATGACCCGCCCACCTCAGCCTCCCAAAGTGCTGGGATTACAGGCGTGAGCCACCGTACCCAGCCTGCCCAATAATTTTTAATGATCAAAATTATAAATTATGTTCATAACTCATGTTCCTCGTTAGTAGAGAAAAAACACAGATAGAAATGTACAAATAATCCCGAGACCAGGTGCGGTGCCTGTAGTCCCAGCACTTTGGGAGGCTGAAGTGGGTGGATCACTTGAGGCCAGGAGTTTGAGATGACCCCAGCCAACATGGTGAAACCCTGCCTCTATAAAAATACAAAAAAATTAGCCAGGCATGGTGGTGCACACCTGTAATTCCAGCTACCTCGGAGGCTAAGGCATGAGAATCTCTTGAACCCAGGAAGCATAGGTTGTAGTGAGCCAAGATCATGCCACTGTACTCCAGGCTGGGTGACAGAGTGAGACCATTTAAAAAAAATGAAATGTACAAATAATCCTGAAACCTAATGTTAGTCTTGTCTTTTATATTTCTTTTTTTTTCTTTTTTTTTTTGAGACAGAGTCTCGCTCTGTCACCCAGGCTGGAGTGCAGTGGTGCGATCTCAGTTCACTGCAACCTCCGCCTCCCGAGTTTAAGTGATTCTCCTGCCTCAGCCTCCTGAGTAGCTGGGATTATAGGCGCCCGCCACCATGCCTGGCTAATTTTTGTATTTTTAGTAGAGGTGGGGTTTCACCACGTTGGTCAGGCTGGTCTCGATCTCCTGACCTTGTGATCTACCCGCCTCGGCCTCCCAAAGTGCTGGGATTACCGGTGTGAAACACTGTGCCCGACCATTATATTTCTTTATCAACATTTTGAAATGATTAAATTTCTGATTCTCTTCATGTATATTCTGGTAACAGCACTGCTGCATAGTAAAATGGGCAAAAGGTAGAAAGAAGAAGAGAGTAACAAAAGGTTTAAAATACGTTCACTTATTGAACCCCATATTATCTAAGTTAGACCATTAAAATGGATGCTCTCCAGCTTGCTCAAACAACAAAGTATTTGTGAACTTTGCAGCCATTTGCATCTTTCTCGGAGGCAAGCACTTTATAAAGAAACACATACTTTATAGTAAAATTTGCAGCCTTATAGGAGTAAGCGTTAGATTAATGCAATAAATACTTAATGCAGATGACGGCTAAATCTTGGGAGTGGGTGCAAGCGGCCTGCTTTCCTGGTAGCTGATGCCTTGCATCGCATTTGTACTCTGGAACAAGTTACTCTGCTTGCTCTTCCTGCAGTTAGGGAATGGTTAAGTGTCTACAACAAGTTATGACTGCTTTTTCTGGATTCAAGTTTTATTTTATTTTTATTTAATTAATTTGGTTATTTTTTGGGGAGACAGAGTCTCACTTTGTTGCCCAGGTTGGAGTGTAGTGTCATGATCAGGGCTCACTGCAGTCTTGACTTCCTGGACTCAAGTGATCCTCCTACTTCAGCCCCCCAGTAGCTGGGACTATAGGCGTGTGCCACAGCACCCAGCTATTATTATTATTATTATTTTCTTTTTTTTGAGCCAGAGTCTCGCTCTGTCACCCAGGCTGGAGTGCAGTGTCGCAGTCTCGGCCTACTGCAAGTTCTGCCTCCTGGGTTCACACCATTCTCCTGCCTCAGCCTCTCAAGTAGCTGGGATTACAGGCGCCCGCCACCAGGCCCAGCTAATTTTTTTGTATTTTTAGTAGAGACGGGGTTTCACCGTGTTAGCCAGGATGGTCTCGATCTCCTGACCTCGTGATCTGCCCGCTTCAGCCTCCCAAAGTGCTGGGATTACAGGCGTGAGCCACCGCACCCGGCCCCTTTTTTTTTTTTTTTTGAGAAGGAGTTTCACTCTTGTTGCCCAGGCTAGAGTGCAATGGCACAATCTTGGCTCGCTGCAACCTCTATCTCCCAGGTTCAAGCGATTCTCCTGCCTCAGGCTCCTGAGTAGCTGGGGTTACAGGCATGCACCATCACGCCCGGCTAATTTTTGTATTTTTAGTAGAGACGGGGTTTCCCCATGTTGGTCAAGCTGGTCTCGAACTCCTGACCTCAGGTGATCTGCCCAGCCTTGGCCTCCCAAAGTGCTGGGATTACAGGCATGCGCCACCGCGCCCGGCCTTAATATTTTGTATTTTTAGTAGAGATGTGGTTTTGCCATGATGCCCAGGCTGGTCTCGAACTCCTGGACTCAAACCATCTGCACACCTCAGCCTCCCAAAATGCTGGGATTACAGGCATGAGTCACTGTGCTCGGCTTCTGGTTCAACTTTTATACTTGTTTGTATAATCTTCATATAATAGTTTGAAAATTTATCCATGTGTAGTAATATTAAGGTTGAAAGTTCATTTTAATAAGGAAATGAAAGCAATGGACTCATCCTCTGAGGATGATTAGAATCTGATATAAGTGCCAGTTTTATAAATGTAAAACAAAATCTTAAAAACAGAATTTTAAGAGAAGGATAATAGAGCCAGGAATTGCTTCTCATTTATCATTATTATACTTGTTGGTCAGTAATCATAAACTAAATTGATTAGCTTATTATAACATGTCAGTTTAGTTGTTTCTTTTCTCTTAAATCTAAGCTTTTTCATTAAAACCTAAAAGAACCTCTAAATTTATGACCTATCAATGTTTACGTGCCAACAAAGATTAATGTCCACAATGATTATCTGACCTTTTTAAGTGGCTTGTAATGATTAGCTTGTTCCTAATAGTGGGTGTCTTAATCCTGTGGCCTTTTATAGCGCAACTTTTGATATTGTTGTTTTTTTTTTTTTTTTGAGACGGAGTTTCCCTCTTGTTGCCCAGGCTGGAGTGCAGTGGCGTGATCTTGGCTCACCACAACCTCTGCCTCCTGGGTTCAAGTGATTCTCCTGCCTCAGCCTCCTGAGTAGCTGGGATTACAGGCATGTGCCACCACACCCAGCTAATTTTATAGATATTGTTTATTATATTAGGTTTTTCTTTTGTCCTATCTTCAGCCTTCACCAGCACAGGCTTTGACCGTCACACTTCTCCAGTGTTCAGCCCTGCCAATCCAGAAAGCTCAATGGAAGACTGCTTGGCCCATCTTGGAGAAAAAGTGTCCCAGGAACTGAAAGAGCCTCTCCATAAAGCATTGCAAATGCTCCTGAGCCAGTGAGTTACACTGCTGAGTGGGATGTGCTTCTTTAAGTAGTCTCTGGATCTCTCATGCAGCACTGGATTGGTTAGGGCTGTGTTTTAGGTGAACAGTGTCACTTCTTTTCTCACTTTTCTTTACATTTTCTTCATTTTCTTTCCCAAAGCATCTCTGTGTTTTGAATGACAGCTTTGCTTTAAAGGAGTGATTTAGCTATTCCAACATAGATTTGTTAATTTGTATTTATATGTTGAGCTGTCAGGTTTCACCGAATGCTTTTACCAAGTAGTAAATACAAGCTATTTCACTTCCCCAGACCACTTTTTACTGCCATTTCCTCTAGTCGTGACATGAATATAATGGCTAGCGTTTTGTGCGTTGTAATGTGGGATTAACATTATATCTGTATTTTAGAATTCTGTATTTAACATTTTATTGACCGGGCGCGGTGGCTCACGCCTGTAATCCCAGCACTTTGGGAGGCCGAGGTGGGCGGATTATGAGGTCAGGAGTTCAAGACCAGCCTGGCCAATATGGTGAAACCTCGTCTCTACTAAAAATATAAAACTTAGCCGGGCATGGTGGCGCATGCCTCTAGTCCCAGCTACTCGAGAGACTGAGGGAGGACAATCACTTGAACCCGGGAGGCAGAGGTTGCAGTGAGCCGAGATCCTGCCACTGCACTGCAGCCTGGGTGACAGAGCGAGACTCCATCTCAAAAAAAAAAAAAAAAAACCCAAAAAACCGTTATATCTGTATCCCAGAAGTTGCTCAACTTTAGGGTTGCACATCTGCCAATGGAACTGCTTCTACATTCTTATAGAAGGAACTTCTCTCCTAGCTATGGTTCTGACCATATTAAAGCTAAAGGCAAGAAGCTAGTAATAAGGAAAGTATTAAAATAGAACCAAATCATTTATTATAAATATTAAAAATCAGCCTGTAATCCCAGCACTTTGGGAGGACGAGGTGGAGGTATCACTGGAAGTCAGGAGTTGGAGACCAGCCTGGCCAACATGGTGAAACCCCATCTCTAGTAAAAATACAAAAATTAGCTGAGCATGGTGGCAGGTGCCTATAATCCCAGCTACTCGGGAGGCTGAGGCAGGAGTATCGCTTGAACCCAGGAGGCGGAGGTTGCAGTGAGCTGAGATCATGCCATTGCACTCCAGCCTGCATGACAGAGGGAGACTCCATCTGAAAGAAAAAAATTTTTTTTTTATTTTCCTGTAAGCAAAGTATATATCGATTACCGTTTGTTAGAAGAAAGTAATTTGGGTTTTAGGAGAATTTGATTTTTTGTTGCGTAGTATTGTGAAATGAGCAAATGTAAAAATACTAATTATGCTTAAACAGTGAAATGAAATCGTATTTGGTAATCTCAGTACTTTGGGAGGTCCAGGCGGGAGGATTGCTTGAGGCCAGGAGTTAAAGACCAGCCTGGGCAATATAGCCAGACCCTGTCTCTACAAAAAAAATGTTTAGAAAATTAGCCAGTGTGATGGCATGTTCCTGTAGTCCCAGCCACTTGGGAGGCTGAGGTGGGAGGATCACTTGAGCCCAATAGTTTGAGGCTGCAGTAAGCTATGATCACACCACTGTGGCACTCCAACCTGGGCAACAGAGCAAGACCTTGTCTCTAAAAATAAAAATTAAAAAAGTCGTATTTGGATTTTCTTAACCTAATATATAGTAAAATTTAAATATAAATATGGAGAGAAGTATATGGGTGTTGGGAAATAAAACTTACACAGGAAATTTGGATTTACAGCAGTTGTTTTCAAAAAGTGTTCTATGGAGCCTTAGGCATAGAGGTGCTGCAGGGGTCCTGAAGAAGTGAGGGATAGTAAGTGGGTTAAGCTCATTAGGGCCTCTCCACTCTTCTTTCTTTTTTATTTATTTATTTATTTTAAATTTTTTGTAGAGACAGGGTCTCACTATGTTACCCAGACTAGTCTTATAACTCCTGGCCTCAAGCAACTCTCCCACCTCAGCCTCCCCAAAGTGCTAAGATTACAGGTGTGAGCCATTGTACCTAGCCTTATTTATTTATTTTCCCACTTTTCTTAACCAGAGCACGTGTACTTTCATATATTTTATATTCTGAGGTTACATCTAAGACTTGAAGAAAGAAATTTGCTGCTTCACTCCTCTCTCCACAAAAATGTAAAAGTTATCTGGACCAGGAGTAAAATAATGAAGTGAAAGGTGCAGACTTTTAAAATAATCTTTTTGTCCTGGCTGGGCGCGGTGGCTCACGCCTGTAATCCCAGCACTTGGGGAGGCCGAGGCGGGCGTATCACGAGGTCAGGAGATTGAGACCATCCTGGCTAACACAGTGAAACCCCGTCTCTACTAAAAATACAAAAAATTAGCCCAGCATGGTGGTGGGTGCCTGTAGTCCCAGCCACTCAGGAGGCTGAGGCAGGAGAATGGTGTGAACCTGGGAGGCGGAGCTTGCAGTGAGCCGAGATTGCACCACTGCACTCCAGCCTGGGTGACAGAGCAAGACTCTGTCTCAAAAACAAAAAAAAAAGAATCTTTTTCCAAATTTGATACAGACTTTGGCTTGGAGCAAACCATGTCACCCTTAATATTTCAGTTCTCCATGTGTTAATTTTAACTTTATGGTGTAGTATAAGCTCTTCAAAAAACAGTGTTATGTAAGTTTTTAAAAGTATTGTTTCTGAAGTCCTTTTTATGATCTACAGGAAAAATTGATGTCTTCTCACAGCAAATTCTATTTAAAGGAGAATTGGCTTGGACAAATGTTTATTTTTTTCCCAAATCTTGATAGAATTATTTTTGAAATTGGTTATGTATCAAAGTCAGGTCTCTTTCTTTTTTCAGAAATCTGTTTTTAGAAGTTTTAAGCTCTGTTACTAGTACTTTGAAAATAACTAATGGATGATAAACTACATAAACTAGAAGTATTATAAACGTTGAAGGCAGTATCGTAAGGTAGAAAATACCACTGATTCCTCCAAAAGGTTTTGTTAATGTAGGAAGTTATTGCTGAACCCTTCTTACAGAAGAACAACAGCTGTTTCAAAAAGGTATCCTGCCCCGCTCTTTTCTTCTTTGCTCTATTCTAATAGCTCACTAGGTAGGATTGGTTATTTAGCTACTTACTTTTCTATGTATTTGATTTCCTTTGAATGTTTTAATCTGCTGCATTTTTTGTGCATGTATGTCTGTGTATATGATGTTTCAAATCATGTTTCATTCAGAACGATGCTAAAATACTTTAGCCTGGTAGACAAACAACCAGTAAGGACTACTGTGACCCCCAGCAGCACCAAACAGTTCAGGAAAGGAAGTGAGGGGACTGATATATGCAAGTAAAGCTTCAGGGAAACTATAGGTAGGTAGACTGTGTAGTATCTGCTGAAGTTCAAGGTTTACACGAATCTGCTACTTAGCCCAAGGCATCTGAAAAGTACTAGGCTCACTTTAATGGGAAGGTGATGCCAGGAAGATAGCATATGCTGTATACATTTCATCATTACAGAGGCCATCTCTGGTATCTCATTTCCTTTCAGCATCACTGTAGTATTGATTTGATACAGACTTAGGTGAAAGAATGATGCCTGTGTCATCAGGATTCTTTTCTGAAATATCTAGACCAGTGCGATTCAATGCAAGTCACATATAATGTGGTTTTAAAATGTAATTAAAAACTAGCAGCCAAGTAAAAAATAAAATGAAATGTAAAATTTTTAATATTTTATTTAGCCCAGTACATCTAAAATATTTCAACATGTATTCAGTACAAAAAATTATCGAGCTATTTTGGATTGTTTTTTCTTCCTCATTGAAATCTAGTGTGTATATTATACTTTCAGCACACTGGCCACGTTTCTAATGCTCATTAGCCACATGTGACATCGAGACATTGTCATGGCATGTGTCAGAATCTTAACTTGAAATGGGAGTAGTATAATGGCCTTTGATACCAGATCTGAGTGTGAATTCCTGCCTTGCTGCTTTCCGGCTATGTGGGTTTGGGATAATTTCTTAGCTTTTCTGAGCTTTGGTTTCCAAATATGTGATATAATAATATGTAATATAAAATATAAATATATGAAATATTAAAACCTAACATAATAAGCTACCAGTAAGTGGTAGCTATTATCAATCTTAAATATTCTTAAACTAAGGAAGTCATAGGTCACAGTGGACAGAGCAGAAAAATGCCTTTGGGGTAGTTTATTTATTTATTTATTTATTTATTTATTTAGTGTTTGTTTTTTTTTTTTTTTTTTTTTTTTGGAGACGGAGTCTCGCTCTGTCACCCAGGCTGGAGTGCAGTGGTGCAATCTCGGCTCACTACAACTTCCGCCTCCCGGGTTCAAGCAATTCTCCAGCCTCAGTCTCCTGAGTAGCTGGGATTACAGGCATGCGCCAACACGCGCAGCTAATTTTTGTATTTTTAGTAGAGACATGGTTTCACCAGGTTGGCCAGGCTGGTCTTGAACTCCTGACCTCAGGTGATCCACCCACCTCAGCCTCCCAAAGTGCTGGGATTACAGGCGTGAGCCACAGCACCTGGCTGGGGTGGGATTTTAAAACTCTGCAAAAGCAAGACTCCTTCTCTTCTTTCTTTCCTTTTTCTTTTTTTTTAATTTGAGATGGAGTTTCGCTCTTGTTGCCCAGACTGAAGTGCAGTGGCGCAGTCTCGGCTCAACTGCAACCTCCACCTCCTGGGTTCAAGCCATTCTCCTGCCTCAGCCTCCTGAGCAGCTGGGATTAGAGGCGAGTGCCACCACACCAGGCTAATTTTTGTATTTTTTTTTCTAATTTTTGTATTTTTAGTAGAGACGGGTTTCACCATGTTGGTCAGGCTGATCTTGAATTCCTGACTTCAAGCGATCCACCTGCCTTGGCCTCCCAAAGTGTTGGGATTACAGGCGTGAGCCACTGCACCCAGCCCATTCTTTCTTAACATGTTTGTTAATACTTTGCCCAAAAGGAGGGAAGGTAAATTTTTAATCTATTAATTTTTAATTAATAGATTTTTTTAATTTTAAATCTGTTATCTGAACAATTGATGCCTTCATATGTTACTTGGTCCCCAAGTCTTTTGTTTTTAAAATTTATGCATGAAACCGTGCTTTAAATAAAGTACTTGAAGTCACTCAACAAATGAGTGAGTGTTGTTAATGATTCGAGTTTTTGGTATGACTAGGACTTACATAGAAATAATCAGAAAGGCTTATCTCTCTACCCTTGTATCATAACACTCCAAGTTAAAAATAGGACTCCAGCTAGGGGTGGTGGGACAGGCCTGTAATCCCAGCTAGCACTGAGGCTGAGGTAGGAGGCATCAGTTGGGCCCAAGGAGTTTGAGACCATCCTGGGCAACATAGGTGACTCCATTTAAAAAAAAAAATTTTTTTTTAATTTTTAGTCTTGCACTGTCTTGCACTGTCACCAGTGCAAATATTTCAACATGTATTCAGTACAAAAAATTATTGAGCTATTTTAGATTGTTTTTTCTTCCTCATTGAAATCTAGTGTGTATATTATACTTTCAGCACACTGGCTACGTTTCTAATGCTCATTAGCTACATGTGACATCGAGACATTGTCATGGCATGTGTCAGAATCTTAACATCCAACAGGCCAACAACTGTGGTGAGGTGCCATTGATTATCAGATGAAACCTGATTTCAAAATGTTAAAATGCAGGTGGTGGGGAAAATGTGTGTCCCTGAATCTACAACCGTCTTCCCTGATTCTGTTTTCAGTCTGTGGTCAGAGAGATCTGAGTTCAAATCCCAGCCACACCACTTCCCAGCTGTAGGATGTATTAATTGAGGTAGGCTGAGATTTGCTGCAATCCCTCAATCTCAGTGACTTCACGAGAGAAAAGTTCCTTTGGCGTCATGCAAATCTGCTACAGGTGTGGCCACGTAGCAATGCGAGGAACCACTTGGAACTTATGGTTCCAGGACCTCAACACAGCCTCGTCTACCACCATCAGGGCAAGAAAGAGAAAGAGACTGGATAATTACAGAAAGTCTCTTCCTGCTTCAGCCAGGAAGTGGCACCCATCACTTCCACCCACATTTCATTGGCTGGGCTAACCACATGGCCCTGCTTAACTGCAAGGGGCTGGAAAATATACTTTCCTGGATACTCAGGAAGAAGGAAAGACCAAAATATTCATGCCAATAGTTAAATCTAGCATGGTAACGTTCAGCCTTCCCTGAGCCTTCGTTTCTTGTAAACTCCCAACACTGGAGTTCAGTGGTGCGATCTCGGCTCACTGCAATCTCCGCCTCCCTGGTTCAAGCGATTCCCCTGCCTTAGCCTCCCGAGTTGCTGGGACTACAGGCACACACCATCATGCCTGGCTAATTTTTTGTATTTTAGTAGAGACGGGGTTTCACCATGTTGGCCAGGATAGTCTTGATCTCCTGACTTCGTGATCCACCTGCCTCGGCCTCTCAAAGTGCTGGGATTACAGGCATGAGCCACCATGCCCAGCCAAAAAAAATTTTTTTAATTAAAAATTTAAAAAGTGGACTCAATTTATTGCGATATTTATTTCAACTCTTGTCTCCTCAATATGAAAAGTCTTCCAGTGACATGTCTCTTTAGTTTTAAAATATTTTAGATTTTTTACCTTTAAAAAAAGTTAAAATTCTGGTTTTCATTGTGCTAATGAGATCATTTTTGTTATTATTTTATCCTGTATTAATAATTCAGGTATTTCTTTGCAGCATAAAAATCCTATCCTGTAAGTTCCAAGCAGTTACAAAAAAATTACTAGAATATACATTTATCTTGCTATGTTATTAACTATTTCCCAGGCATGCATCACAGCTTATAGAATGCTTGAAAAAAGTGCATACTAGTGTGAAAAGCCACGTCTTGTACAAAACAGTATGTTGAATAATCTTTGTCAGTTTAGCAAAAAGTTCAACAGAGTAGTGACTGTATATGTATTCATCTGGAAATACAGAATTTTCCTTCTTTGTGACACAGACTTTTAAAAAAATCTCTACAGGCCAGTGACATATCAGGCATTTCGGGAATGTACACTGGAGACCACAGTTCATGCCAGCGGCTGGAATAAGGTATCATCACAATGATCTTTTCTCTTAAAAGATTTTAGTGTGTTAATGATAAGACGTAGGAGGAATTGCTAGCATCATCAGCAGAAAACTGTTAGAGCTCATTCTTTAATGCACAAATCTATGTTAAGGGGATATTTTTGGTTAAACTGGTTTTTCGATTAATGCTGCAAGGTCCTGCTTGGCTCAAAATTATGTGTCCTATAGTATGGCCCCTTCCTTTCTGTCCCAATTTTCCCATCATTTCTTCATTTCTCTGTGTTAGACATAACATTTATCTCCAGATGGTTATATATTTATTAACATGTGAGTGTGTCTTGGGGAAAAAGAATACAGACTTTACTTGGGAGGTAGCCTCTTCCTGTTCTCTTAGATGAATAATACCATTTATGTTTTATAACTTACACAGTGTCTCGTGTCACATACCATTTGAGCATCCCAACCATCCTTTGCAGAAGACAGAATGGATTTTATTAGGTCTTCTTTATTACTTAGCTAGTTAGGTAGGTAATCAGAAAGAAAAGTTAAATGACTTGCCTAGAATCCCTTGACCAGTCAATATTGGAACCAACACTAGAGCTAAGATCTGATTCTAGCGTCTGTTTTTTCCACTGTACATGTTGCTTATCTATTATCTTAGACTGTATTATTTACTTAGCACCTTGAGAAGGCAGGGTATAGGGGGATGCAGTATAGGGTGGCTTAGTGCAGTGTGAGAAAGAAGGGCAGCCCTGAGGGATACAGTGCTAGAGATGAGAAAATTCAGGACAGTTACTTTTATAGACACCTACCTCTATTTGGAATTGTTTGTCATGAGTCAGACATGTGACCTTATGTACCTAATTGATGTATATTAGGTACATAACCAAACTTGTTTCAGATTTTAGCTTTGCCATGGACTGGATATATGTCTGTGGGCAGGTTCTCTTTAAAAAAAAAAAAAAATTTCGGCCGGGTGCAGTGGCTCATGCCTGTAATCCCATCACTTTGGGAGGCCGAGGTGGGCGGATCACCTGAGGTTGAGAGTTTGCAACCAGCCTGACCAACGTGGAGAATCGCCGTCTCTACTAAAAATACAAAATTAGCTGGGCATGGTGGCGCATGCCTGTAGTCTCAGCTACTCAGGAGGCTGAGGCAGGAGAATTGCTTAAACCCGGGAGTTGGAGGTTGTGGTGAGCCAAGATTGCGCCATTGCATTCCAGCCTAGGCAACAAAAGTGAAACTCCGTCTCAAAAAAAAATAAAATTTCAACTTTTATTTTAGATTCGGGGGACATGTATGTGCAGGTTTGTTATAGGAAGCTCTCTGAGTCTTAGTTTTCTCATTTGTGAAATGGGAAACAATAATACTAGTCTCATAAGTTTTATTAGAATTAAATGAGATAATACATGTTCAGTACTTATTAAGCATATTATCAGGCACCATAGTAAAGCTCAGTAAACAGCAGCTATTATATTAGCTTTAACACATGGGACCTTATTCTCAAATAGTCACTATTAACAGAGTATTAGTATGTTACCTATCGGTACATAATTTGTTAAGATATCTATTTGCCTCGTTTGTTTTTTTGGAATAAGAGAAAATATTCTCTCTGATATAGACATTTGAAATAGACTTATTTTATTTATTTATTTATTTTGAGACAGAGTCTAACTCTGTCGCCCAGGCCAGAGTGCAGTGGCTTGATCTTGGCTCACTGCAACCTCCGCCTCCCAGGTTCAAGCGATTCTCCCAAATAGCTGGAATTATAGGCACCTGCCACCTTGCCCAGCTAATTTTTGTATTCTTAGTAGAGATGGGGTTTCACTGTGTTGGCCAGGCTGGTCTCCAACCCTGACCTCATGATCCGCTGCTCACCTCAATCTCCCAAATTGCTGGGATTACAAGTGTGAGCCACTGTGCCTGGCCTTTTTTTTTTTCAAGTTGGAGTCTCGCTTTGTTGTCCAGGCCTGGAGTGCATTGGTGCAATCTCGGCTCACTCACTGCAGCCTTTCCCTTCCGGGTTCAAGCAATTCTCCTGCCTCAACCTCCCAAGTAGCTGGGCTTGCAGGTGCCCACCACTATGCCCAGCTAATTTTTGTACTTTTAGTAGAGACAGGGTCTTGCCATGTTGGCCAGGCTGGTCTCAAACTCCTGACCTCAGGTGATCTGCCTCTGTTGGCCTCCCAAAGTGATGGGATTACAGGCATGAGCCACCCTACCTGGCCTGAAATAGATTTTATAAAGGGCTGGATGCAGTACAGTAGCTCACACCTGTAATCCCAGCACTTTAGAAGGCCAAGGCGGGAGGATCACTTACGCCCAGGAGTTTGAGACCAGGCTGGGCAACATAGCAAGACCCTGTCTCTTAAAAAAAAAAAAAAAAAAAAAGCCATACATGGTGGTGTGCACCTGTATTCTGAGCCGAGCTATTTGGGAGGCTGAGGTGAGAGGATGGCTTGAGCCTGGGAGGTGGAGGTTGCAGTGAGCCGAGATCATGCCACTGTATTCCAGCCTGGGCAACAGAGCCAGACTGTCTCAGAAAAAAAAGAAAAGAAAGCCCATACCTATTAGTAGTCACTCCACCTGTTAGTAGTTACTCCCCATTTTCTTTCCTGCTCCTCCCAGCCCCCGACAACAATGACTACTTTCTGTCTTAATGAATTTGTCTTTTCTGGACATTTCAAATAAATGGAGTAATATAATATGTGATTGAAGTCTCTTTTAATATGTAGACTTATCCTCCCTCTTTTTTCCTCTCTTTAATTCAGTTACAAGTTATTTTTCCTGTAAAATGTTCTCATTTCTGGGTTTTATTGACTATATCACTGAGATGTCACTTAACATGTTCTTCTGTGTCTGTATTTCCTTCCTGATCAGATTCAGGTTCAATCTTTTTGGCAAGAATACCTAATGAGTGGTTTTATCTATTTCCTATTGCATCACACTGGGTGACATATAATATCTGGTTGTCTCTTACATTGTATTTTGAAGCACACAAATCAAAGACAAACCTAATCAATGAATTCAGTACAGATAAAATTTGTAGAATATGATTTTTATTAGGACTGTTAAGTCACAGAAGGGTTAAATAGATTGGTAGAGCAAAATATGTCACTGTTATCATAAATATTCATTGTAATGAAAGGGACTCTCAGAACTATAAATTAGTACGCTTCATTTCTACACCAAGCAAGCTCATATATTATTTAATAAAAGGATAATGTCCCTAAATTTAAGTAGGTCTAACCTGTTAAACAAAGAGACCACATAGTGTACGAAGAGATGTCAGGAGATTAAATAAGTGTGTGGATAAAGGTAAGCCAGTGGAGGTAATCTGTTTTGATGGTCAAAAATACTTTAGCATTTCATTGCAAAAACAATTGAAGAAAAAAAATTATATATGATGTGGGGATTACTGTTATCCAGTAAGGAAATGACTTTTGAGAAAGAATCAAAGATAAAACTATTTGCTGACTTTTTAGACCTAGACATGTGAATCGTGGGTTCTTCTAGGAGTGGATGCCTGGGGATCTAGTTTTGTTTTAACATTTAAAAAAAGTAATGTGGGAGATGAGAGTCCAAAAAAAATCAGTTGTGCAGATTATGTAAAATTCTTGTGGATAGTAAAATGTCAAGTTGATGGAGGTCAGTTGTAGAATTAACTCATGGAGCTTTGTGTGTAGGATTATGTGTAAATCCTCTTAGGATTTAGCTGCTTAAAGACAATCTAAACGGTACAGTGGCCTTGGACGTCATCATACAGGTCCCTGAAGATAGCATGCCAAATAGGTAAGCCTGGTATATGGTAGTCATTTAATAACTGTATGAGGAATGAAGGGAAAAAAACGAATCATCTGACATAGCATGTACCACCAAGAAGCGTATTACCAACCGCATAGAAAATGTCCGTCCTGAAAAATGACATTTCTGCTCTGTGGTTACTGCGTTTCAAGAAAGATACTGGAATAGGGAAGATCCAGAAAAGGGAACTTAAGTGATCAAATGGATCACTTTGCATTGCAATGGAGCAATGGCCATATGAAAAACAGAATAAGAGAATAGTGGATTTCAGACTGGAAGTCTAGTGAATGAGGCTTTTCACTCCTCTTCCAGGAGTGAAAGAGAATTGCAGATTTATCACTAGATTCTTACATAGTAAAACTAGGGTGTCTGCTTTTCGATATATGAAAGAGTTAAATTTGGAACAAATAAAACTAAGTGGTATTTTATATAACAAGCATAAAATATTTACAACTCATTTCCCCAAGAGGTAATAGAGCTTAAACATGAATAACTTTAAAATGTTACATTATTGTGGATTATTATGGGAAATTAGAATGTTTTGAAGTCCAGAACATCCCGGGCCTTTAAGTTGATACACAGGTTAGCACCACTGGTTCATAAGCCACTCCTTACCTGCTTCTACCCGAGGCAAAATATAAACAGTTTTTTGTTTGTTTGTTTAATAGTGTAAGTTTTCTTATTGAGGAAATGCCTAATGGATTCTTCTTTATAGCCCTATACTACTCCATCATTGTTAAGAAGGAGTTTTCAATATATTTTGGGCTGGAGTGCCTTTAGAATGTCAAGAAGTAAAGATATTATGTGTTCATTGCATGCTTCCTTTCAGATTTTGATAGAGATTCCCCCAGGGCTGCTTTCTCTTCGTTTCTTTAGAAGCCAAGGAATATTAGTTTGAAATATAAACTCATTGTTTTTTGTTTGTCCTCCTGCAGAAGTATTTTGTCGTCCCTCAGTTATTTCCTTGGCAGTCTACTAACAAGCAAATGGAATTGGTTTCATTTCCTTTTGCATTCCTTTTGCAGGCATATGGACCTCTTGATGTTTTAAACAAAAGAGATTGCATGCAGATGGCTACCTGAATACTTAGTTTTTTTCAATATGCATTTTTTTTTAAGGGAAGACAGGGACTCTAGTTAGTTTCTGTTGTAATTTTTGACGACTTTTAAGTATTGAGCCACATGGTTATTAGGTATAGATTGTAATGGCATCTTTTATGTTTGACTTTTGATGAGTTTTACAAGATAGCTCTTAGTTTTTAAAAGTTCTTATTTTCAAATAATAAAAGCACATGGTACAAAATGCAAAAAAGTACAGAAAGATATGCTTTGAAAAATAAAAGTTTTCTCTCATCCTTGTTGCCAGTCACCTAGTTCCCTTCCTTTTAGGCAACCACTATTACCAATTTCTTGCGTATTTTTCTGGAGACCCTGTAGGATTATATAGACATATATATATGTGTATATGTTTTTATTACACAAATGGTACTGTATGTATTCTTCTATAACTTGCCTTTTTTCACTTAAAGTAAATTGTGGTGATTGGGTAGTAAGCAATTTAACAACTATATATTTTACTGGATGACAATAATTTATTTAACTAGTCCCTGTTGGGTTGTTTTTCTAGTTTTCTGCTGTTATAAATAATGCTTCAGGCTGGGCGTGGTGGCACACGCCTATAATCCCAGCACTTTGGGAGACTGAGGTGGGCAGATCACTTGAGGCCAGGAGTTTGAGACCAGCCTGGCCAACATGGTGAAACCCCGTCTCTACTAAAAATACAAAAATTAGCCAGGCGTCATGGCGTACACTTGTAATCCCAGCTACTCAGGAGGCTGAGCAGAGAATCGCTTGAACCTGGGAGGCGGAGGCTGCAGTGAGCCAAGACTGTGCCACTGCCTGGATGAAAGAGCGAGACTCCATCTCAAAAAAAAAAAAAAAAAAGGAAAAAGAAATTAATTAATTAATAATGCATCAGTGAATTTCCTTCTATATATGTTATTTCTGTCACACACATACATGCACACACATGCCTAATTATTTTCAATAACTATTTCTACCTGCCTATTGTATAAAACCTACATGCAGTATTCAGAAAAATCCTAATAGAAGTTACTGTTTTATTTCCTTTATATAATGAAAATAAAAATACCTTAATGATGCATTTAAATATAATTTTCTAGTAGTTGAACATATAAAACACATTATAAGAATTTCAGTGTGGTTTTTTATTCTCTCATCTTTGCATTGAAGATTTTGGTGCCTCTGGTTTTGCTACGACAAATGCTTTTGGAATTGACAAGACGTGGTCAAGAACCTTTGAGCGCACTGCTGCAGTTTGGCGTGACATACCTGGAGGACTATTCGGCAGAGTACATCATTCAGCAAGGTGGCTGGGTATGAGCTGTTATATATTAAAAATATTTTCTTGAAAAAAAATTAGGTTTGTTGTTTTTCTTAAGAGATGGGTTCTTGCTGTGTTACCCGGGCTGGAGTGCAGTGTCTAATTGCTGGCACTATCATGGCAGGCTTCGGTCTCAAACTCCTGGGCTCAAGTGATCCTGCCTCAGGTCCTGAATAGCCAAGAGCACAGGCTGGGACTATAGGTGCCCACCACTGTGCCGTGCTCTATCCCGTACTTTTTGATATGTAATTATTATTATTATTCAGTTGGTTCAGTTGTTTATAAATTTTCCTTATATGTTCTTTGACCCTTGAATTACTTAGAAATGTATTTTTTAATTTCTAAATACTTACAGGTTTAAAAATTTTGTTTTCAATTACTAATTTAATTCTGTTTCATCAGAAAGCACGACCATCGTGGCATTGAAACTTGAGTTATAGCCTACTATCATGATCAATTTAAAAAATATATATATAGGGCTGGGTGCAGTGGTGCACATCTGTAATCCCAGTGCTTTGGGAGGCTGAGGTGGGTGAATCACCTGAGGTCAGGAGTTCAAGACCAGCCTGGTCAACATGACAAAACCCCATCTGTACAAAAAAATACAAAAAATTAACTGGGCTTGGTGGCATGTGCCTGTAATCCCAGCTACTCAGGAGGCCAAGGCAGGAGAATCACTTGAACCCGGGAGGCAGAGGTTGCAGTGAGCCAAGATGGCACCACTGCATTCCAGCCTGGGCAACAGAGCAACAACAACAACAACAACAAAATATATATATACACACACACACACACATATGTATATGTATATACACACATGTATATTTTTATGTATGTTTCAGAACATGTATTCTCTAATGGTTGGTGCAGAAGTCTGTACGTGTCCATTTACATTTAATCAGTCTTAATAATACGTATTTTAAATCTTTCAGTCATTTCCAATTATTTTGTCTAATTATTTACTAAGAGAGACATGTTCTATTTGCTACTATGGTGGTAGATTTTCCATTTTCCCTTTAGTTCTGTCAATTGTAGGTGACTAAAAGTTGTAATTATTGACCCCTGGACATTTATGCGGACTCTCTTTCTTTCTTTGGGCCTAGAAATGGTTTTTAAGTTTATTTGTTGTAATTTGCCCAACAGTCAGTGATTCTGTAGAGAGAGTACTTTTCATAAAGTATACTACTCATTATTGTTTTTTAGCCACTATGCATCTGAGGGTTTGAGTTAATTTTTAAAATATGTAAATTTAATTACTATGGATACTAATATCGAACATCCTAGGTTTACGTGCTTGGTAAATGCTTACTGAATAAAATCCTGAACATTTGTCTTAGGAAAATAAAAATATTTTTTGAGCTGTTCTTAAAAATAAGAATTGCGACAATTTATTGTTATTGTTGTCTTCCTACTTAAGTACTTTTTAAAACCTTTGGCTATTGTAGTGTATGGTTTGTATGATAGCCAGGAGACATCCCAGGTTAACTGCCATTTATCCCATATGGTGCTTTACAACAAGGGAAGAAAAATGCAGGGAATATTATGCACTCCCTTCTCAACTTTCAGTTTTATGATGATGTAGTACATCAAGGTTTGTTTGGTGATTGTAATTGGTTACAGAGAAAGTAAGTATATTACTCAACTCCAGTATCTGTGCCAAAAGAAAAGATCTACTGCATGGATAACTAGTTCATTAATACTTCTTTTTTTTTTGAAACAGTCTTGCTCTGTCATCCTGGCTTGAGTGCAGTGCGCAATTGCAGCCCACTGCAGCCTCCGCCTCCCAGGTTCAAGCTATTCTTGTGCCTCAGCCTCCTGAGTAGCAGAGATTACAGGTGTGTGCCACCATGACCAGCTACTTTTTGTATTTTTAGTAGAGATAGGGCTTCGCCATGTTGGCAGGCTGGTCTCAAACTCCTGGCCTCAAGTGATCCACCCACTTAGGCCTCCCAAAGTGCTGGGATTACAGGCATGAGCCACTGCACCTGGCCTTCATTAATATTTCAAATGTGTTTTATCTCTAAATTTGAATGTCCAATCTGTATTTCACATTGTTCGGTCTAAGCTCTCCATTTGCTTGTGTTTAAAACTAAGATATTAGGCCGGGTGCAGTGGCTTATGCCTATAATCCCAGCACTTTGGGAGGCCAAGGCAGGCGGATCACCTGAGGTCAGGAGTTTGAGACCATCCTGGCCAACATGGTGAGACCTCATCTCTACTAAAAATACAAAAATCATCTGGGTGTGGCTGAAGATGATGTGGAATGAGAAACAAATGTCAACATAATAAAATCTCAGTTAAAGTATTTTAAAAATTCTTAGTTGAGCAGCTCTGGGGGAATAAGGGCAAATATGCTTGTTATGAACTGCACTGAAATCTACCAAAGTTAATGTTTACTTTGTGTAGATCCATTTGTCTATTTTATTTATTTTTCCCAGTGAAAAGTGTGTTTTGATAGAGAACTTTTCATTCTATAAATACACTGTGAGTTACTAAAATATCATGAATTTTGTTTATTCCTGAAACATAGTTAAACTGTACATATGACATGGCTTATGTTAAAAATACCCAGTGCTCAGTTTTGAAAGATAGGCAAAAAAAAAAAAAAGTATAGGAGAAACTGAAGAATGTACACTTTTTTAGGGGGCACATTTTGCTGTAAATCTGGAAATTTGATAGACTTGATTGTGAAAACTGAGCATTAAAGGTTTTGATTGATTAAAAAAAAAATTATCTGGGTGTGGTGGCAGGCACCTGTAACACCAGCTACTTGGGAGGCTAAGGCAGGAGAATTGCTTAAACCAGGGAGGCAGAAGTTTCAGTGAGCTGAGATCGTGCCATTGCACTCCAGCCTGGGCAACAAGAGCGAAACTCTGTATCAAACAAACAAAAACCCAAGATACTGCATTTTTTTTTTTTTTTCAGATGTAGTCTCCCTGTGTCGCCCAGGCTGGAATGCAGTGGCACTATCTTGGCTCACTGCAAGCTCCGCCTCCCAGGTTCACGCCATTCTCCTGCCTCAGCCTCCCAAGTAGCTGGGACTACAGATGGCTGCCACCACACCCGGCTAATTTTTTGTATTTTTAGTAGAGATGGGTTTTCACTGTGTTAGCCAGGATGGTCTCGATCTCCTGACCTCGTGATCCACCCGCCTCAGCCTCCCAAAGTGCTGGGATTGCAGGCGTGAGCCACCGCGCCCGGCCGATATTGCTTTTTTTTTAATGCCAGTTGGTGAAAATGTATCCTGTGACATAAGCTGTCAACATGAATCTCCTTAAGATACTGTGTGCTGAACATTACATTGACAGCTCTTAAAACCCTTCCAGAAGAGAATCATTTGACCACATGATATCGCATGTCTGTTATATAAAGCCTGTGGTATGATTTCCACGGGGAATGTATTTGTCATTAGTCACTTGAACACAACATCAAGTGAAACAAACTGCCTACCTCTCAAGGTGCAGCTACTTTTGAAAACCTGCAGCAGAGGAGGTGGTGCCAGCAGCCATAATCTGTTGGATGAATGGAGTGATATAGCACATAGTCAGTTAGGAACAGGCAGGCTTTGGACATATAGATTTGAAGGAGAAAAATAATATTTTGTTTTCTGAATTATTAACAGAAATGGCTAGGACTTAGAAACAGGGTCTTGCTTTGTTGCCCTGGCTGGAGTACAGTGGCATGATCATGGCTCATTTGCAGCCTCAACTTCCTGGGCTCAAGTGATCCTCCCACCTCAGCCTCCCTAGTAGCTGGGACCACAGGTGTGCATGCACTACCACACTTGGCTTATTTTTTGCAGAGAGAGGTTTCACTATGTTGCCCAAGCTGGTCTCAAACTCCTGGCCTCAAGCAATCCTCCCCGCTTGGCCTCCCAAAGTGCTGGGATTACAGGCATGCGCCACCTTGCCCAGCCTGTTTTCTCTTTCTACCTTGTTTTTTTTTTTTTTTCACTCTGCCTTTTTACCCGGCGAATGATGAACTGAGAAAAGGATTAGAAATCACAAGATTTGTTTCTTGCCCCAGCTCTGCCAAATACTAGCCCTGTGTTTTGGAAGGATTCATTTAACTTCTCTGAACCTCAGTTTCAACTACAAAAAGGGAAGAATAGCTTCTCTGTCTCACAAAAATAATGATGTGAAAGTGTTTTGTGAAAATGTCACACTTTTACAAATGCCAGGTTTTCACATGCGTCTCTGAAGAGTGTGGTTTTTTTCCCTCTCCTTAAGTCTGATCACCATTTCCTCTTAGTTTCAGTTTTGACTTTTATTTGCCCTGCAGCCCGGTGAGGGCACAGACTGGTTCATGTGCTGTGATTCTCCCTGAGTCATCCTTGCTCCCTCCCTCCTCATTCTCTTTTCATTTCCTGGGCTTGTGTTGCTACGTTAGAAGTCTGTCTGTCTCCTGGAAAGGGCAGAGCAAGTCCACTGTGGTAAGGCTTGTATTTTACTTTCTCCGTCGTCACATGATAAATACTTCTTGTGAAAGATTTACTTTTAGATTCCATAAAAGATTACTGGAGGGAATGTCATCTGTCTATTGTAATATTTAAGTATTTTGAATAAAATTAATCTTTGTCATTTTCTCTTGACATGAAGCTTCTGATTTTAGAATAGGTTTTTGTTTGTTTAATCTAGGATATTTAAAGACTATCTCTTGGAAGCTTTTAGGTTAATAATTTGTTAGAATAGTTTTCATATTGTGGGAGGTGACACACAGGGATGATCTGAAATTAATGAAGTGGGTTGCAGCTAAAATCAATTTAGTAAGAGTAAGTACTGTTTTGGGAAAATCTGCCTGCTGTATATGTGGGTGTGGATGTTTACTGTGTTGTACTCTGAAATGTGTTTTTTGTGGATCTTCCTCATCAAGTTGGGTGGAAAATTACTTCTCTGTAATTTCTTCAGCACTCTCCATTTTCTTATTTTAGGTTAATAATGATCTGAGAGGCGCATTTGGTTATAAGGGTCCAAAGCAGTGATCTGTTTCCATTTTGCGACTTCGAGGCCTCAGAAATATAAAACTAGCTGGTTGATCCCGGCTAGTTTTATATTTTTGAGCCCTCAAAGTTACAAAATGTCAGTGGAGCCTTTGTGTGTTTTGTGTCAGTGGAGCCAAAGAGATGGATACTCCCAACAATACAAATATTTTATATGAAGAATGATTTAGATTGTCAGAATCGTTCTAAGACTACTTGTAGATGTTATTCTAATGTAAGTTGTAACTAACGTATTATCCAAAACAGCTCTTTTTCTTGACAGATATATATATAAAGTCTGAGAAGTAATGATAGAGGTTTGTTGGCATAAATCTTAAGGGAAATGAGTCCTTAGAAAATTTACCAACGTAGATGGGCTTTGGAATTTTGCCAAAGCTTCTTCAGATGGAAAAGTTAAGTTCATAGGAGCTCAGCTCAGCAGCAGCTGTGTCTCAGAAGGTAAAATATTGCTTGAGGGGGCAGAATAATTTGTAACTGATGTGACCCCCTGCCCCCACCAAAAAAAAAGTGAAACAAAAAAATACAATCAATATAGACATCATGATGCAGCCAATTTTTGTAATAGGTCTCTGAGCAATTGTCAACCTGATTTTTACTTAGGTCTACCACCAAAGTAAAGTTATGTTTGTATTTTATTTTACATTTATTTTGATACGTTCCTTTACTTAGTTTTTTACTTAGTTCCTACCACCAAAGCAAAGTTATATTTGTATTTTATTTTACATTTATTTTGTTATATTCCTTTTATCTACTTAGGTTTCTTCTCTACTTCCCTTTTTAATTGAAGAGTTTAATGCATGTATCTGTGTGTTTGCTTGAAAAAAAACACCAAGTATAACATGTTCTATCTATGAATACTTCTGGCCATTAACTCAAAAGGTACTATATTACAGACAGAAAAGCACCAGAAAGCAATCAGGGACTTCATCTAAGAGGTAGGACAGCATAGTTGGTAAAAATACAGACCCTGGAGGCAAACTGCCTGGGCTTGAATCCCAGCTTTATTACTTTGGGAAAACTACTTATCTTCTTTACTTGTTTTGGTATCCATGTCTGTGAAATGGAAGTAATAATAATCCTCTCATAGCATTGTTGTGAGGTTTCAATAGATGAAGTGAAGACTTTAGAAGGGCACATGATAAGAATTATATAAGGGTTACCTATTATTGCTATCCAATTTGTCATAGCAAGCTAAGGGACCTTGGGCAAGTTACTCAAACCCTTTGGCTTCATTTATTTAAAAACAAAAACAAAAAAGACGCAGTTCTCTGCTTCTTTGTGCATATTTAAACTCATGGTTTATCCCATGAGTTTTATATTTTTGAGCCCTCGAAATTACTCCTTTGCATTTTATGTCAGTGAAGCCAAAGAGACAGATACTCTCAACAACACAAATATTTTGTATTAAAAACTATTTAGATTGTTAGAATGGTTCCGAGGCTACTTGTAGATATTATTCTTCTAATATGATAAGTTGTAAGTAATATATTATCCAAAACAGCTCTTTTTCTTTTAGTGAAAGCCTGCTCTTCATTATGACATTAATTATTAAGAGAGGCTCGGCCGAGCATGGTGGCTAACGCCTGTAATACCAGCACTTTGGGAGGCCGAGGTGGGTGACTCACAAGGTCAGGAGATCGAGACCATCCTGACTAACACGGTGAAACCCCGTCTCTACTAAAAAATACAAAAAATTAGCTGGGCGTGGTGGCAGGCACCTGTAGTCCCAGCTACTCGGGAGGCTGAGGCAGGAGAATGGCGTGAACCCAGGAGGCAGAGGTTGCAGTGAGCCAAGACTGCGCCACTGCACTCCAGCCTGGGCGACAGAGTGAGACTCCATCTCAAAAACAAAACAAAACAAAAAAAAGAGGCTCCAGCCCGGTGACATGGCAAAACCCTGTCTCAAAAATATAAAACTGAGGCTGGACGTGGTGGCTCACGCCTGTAATCCCAACACTTTGGGAGGCCAAGGTGGGCAGATCACCTGAAGTCCGGAGTTCGAGACCAGCCTGGCCAACGTGGTGAAACCCCATCTCTATGAAAAATACAAAAATTAGCCAGGCATGGTCGTGCATGCCTGTAGTCCCAGCAACTCGGGAGGCTGAGGCAGGAGAATTGCTTGAACCCAGGAGGCGGAGGTTGCAGTGAACCAGGATTGTGCCTCTGCGCTCCAACCTGGGTGAACAGAGAGAGACTCTGTCTCAGGAAAGATAAATAAATAAATGAAATAAAAAATAGAAAGATTAGCCAGGCATGGTGGTGGGTTCCTGTAATCCCAACTACTCAGGTGGCTGAGGCAGGAGAATCTCTTGAACCCAGGTTGCAGAACCCAGGAGCTGAGATTGTGCTGCTGCACTCCAGCCTAGGCAACAGAGTGCTATTAAAACAAAAGAAAACATTGACCGGGTGCAGTGGCTCACTCCTGTAATCCCAGCACTTTGGGAGGCCGAGGCAGGCAGATTGCCCAAGTCCAGGAGCTCAAGACCAGCCTGGGCAACATGGTGAGTGAGAGCCCATCTCTACAAAAAATATAAAAATTAACTGGAAGTAATCTGTGGTCCCATTTACTCAGGAGGCTGAGGCAGGAGGATCACTTGAGCCTGGGAGGTCAAGGCTGCAGTAAGCCAAGATTGCGCCACTGACCTCCAGCCTGGGTAACAGTAAGACCTTGTCTTAAAAAAAAAAAAAAAAAAAAAAAAAGAGGCTGCTATTTTTATATTTTTGTTTTATGTGAATTGGTCCCCAGGAGTAAAAGCTTAGTAATCTGTTCTTTCTTGTAAGACTTCTTACATAACAGCACAGAATGTTCAGTGAATCTTCATTAAAATGTCACGTCCTAAATACAGAAATACATTGTAAGGTAGGGAGGCCATGACAGCAAGACATAAAGCTATTTAATCTGAATTGGCCGGGTGCAGTGGCTCACACCTGTAATCCCAGCACTTCGGGAGGCCGAGGCAGGCAGATCATTTGAGGTCAGGACTTTGAGACCAGCAACATGGTGAATCCCTGTCTCTACTAAAAATTAAAAAAAAAAATTCTCCGGGCATGGTGGCGCACACCTGTAATCTTAGCTGCTCCGGAGGCTGAGGCAGGGGAATCGCTTGAACTTGGGAGGCGGAGGTTGCGGTGAGCTGAGATCACGCCACTGCACTCCAGCCTGGGTGACAGAGCAAGACTCTGTCTCAAAAAAAAGTAAATAAAAATAAAAAATAAATAAATGCCTGTAATCCCAGCACTTTGGGAGGCCGAGGTGGGCAGATCACGAGGTCAGGAGATCGAGACCATCCTGGCTAACACGGTGAAACCCCGTCTCTACTAAAAATACAAAAAAATTAGCCGGGCGTGGTGGTGGGCACCCATAGTTCCAGCTACTCGGGAGGCTGAGGCAGGAGAATGGTATGAATCCAAGAGGCGGAGCTTGCAGTGAGTCAAGATCGAGCCACTGCACTCTAGGCTGGGCGACAGAGCGAGACTCCGTCTCAAAAAAAATAAAAATAAAAAAAAATAAATAAATAAATCTGAATTGGCTTTTAAACAATATATTACGCCAAAGTTGTGATCAGACAAACTTGATCTAATGTCTTAGATGAGATGAAAAGATCCTCTAGATGTGGAACAAAGAACGTTCTTCAATCTTTTGTTAACTTTGAGCTGTTAAAAATAAGGGGAAAAGCCAGGCGTGGTGGTGCGGTGGCTCATGCCTGTAATCCCAGCAACTCAAGAGGCTGAGGTGGGAGGATCTATTGAGCCCAGGATTTTCAGGCTGTAGTGAGTTACGATTATGCCACTGCACTGTAGCCCCTGGGTGACAGAGTGAGACCCTCATTAAAAAATAATCATAAGAGGAAGAGACATTTTACTTTTAATTTTCAGTTTGTTGACTTTTCCCTTATTTCTTCATGATGGGCCTTTTTTTTTTTGAGACAGGGTTTCACTCTGTTGGCCAGGCTGGAGCGCAGTGGCACAATCTCGGCTCACTGCATCCTTTACCTCCTGGGCTCAAACGATCCTCCCACCTCAGCCTCTTGAGTAGCTGGGACCACAGGCATGCACCACCACACTCAACTAATTTTTGTATGTTTTTGTAGAGGTGCAATTTTGCCATGCTGCCCAGGCTGGTCACAAAATCCTGGGCTCAAGTGATTGCCTGCCTCTGCCTCCCAGAGTGCTAAGGTTACAGGCGTGAGCCACCACACCCAGCCATGATGGTACTTTTGAAATTTCCATTTTACTTACTTGGCTTAGAGCCCTAAAGGTCTGTTTACTGAGAACTAAAATTCTTAGTGTTTTCGTTATGACTCTTGTTTTTGTTTTTGCTTATTTAATCAGTTACTGCTATTAGAGGCTCTGTTTTTAGAAGTGCAGGTAAGTAACCTGTTGAGAATTCCTATCAGTTGTCACTTGAGACCTCTCTGATCACTGGATGACCCTTCTGTTTGAAGAACTGTGTAATTGTAAGGCACATCTTTTGACATGGCATGAAAACAGATTACAAAACTTGTATAGTATGAATAGAAAGTGAGAGCAGAGGTGACTCCAAGATTAAGAATAAAGAACATAAGAAATTATGTTCCTTGTCTCCAGGTAACTCAAGTTTGGAGGTGGGAGTTTAATAACGTTTTTTGAAGGTTTTTTTTTTTTGGTGTAAATTTTTAATGTAAGTGAAAGACTAGGAAGAGTACACTGTTTTAAGCCACTTGTAGTGAAGTAACTGATGTTCTTTGACTATTTTTCGTAACTCTGAAATGCAAATTATTTGATAAAATTGGATGATCTTCTCATGGTGAGACTGTGACAGATTTACTCAGTATTGTATATTAACTTTCCCAACTTGTTCTTCATTTAACAAAAAGACTTAGCCTAGTTTTAAAATGTTGATAGTTTCAATAATGAAAAAAGTTTAATCCTCCACAATGCCTCATCACTTTCCTGTTAGTGACATTACATTACAGAGATTTGAGGATGGAGGATTACAAAGCTGCTAAGCCATAGTATTAGTTTCTCATTTGGAAATTTTGAAAGAGCAAATAAATAACATAAGTGTACTACAGTTAATAAGGGACAAATGGGAACTTTGTGCTACCTTATACTACCATTTTCTTCTTCCTTGTAAAATTACTCTGTACCTGAGCCTTTCTTTCTGATCTTCACAAAATGGAGGTTTTTGAAGACATGACTTAATAAACAGATAAGCCTTTGGGTATATAAATTATGTGACACAGTAATTCCTTAGTAACAGATGTTAGAGGATCTGCATGACTCATTCGGATTATGTTCTGGCAAAAAGATAGGTAAATACAACTTTACAGGAAAATTTAGCTTAACTGTTGATATGGCTTTGGTGAGTGGGTTCTCCTCCGTCTTGGACCTCCAGTCTTTCAGGAAGATTACAGAAATGTTTCCCTAAGTAAACAGTAGCTATTTTAATTCATGTTGCCTACTGTCATTCTTTGTTATGGTGACTTACCAAGAATCAGCAAAGTTTGGGATATTACTGAAGTGATTGTAAATATTCAGTGGATGAAGCGATTTACCTTACAGTTAATGAAATGTCTAAATCATCTTACCTATGCCTGTTCATTGTGCCAGAGTATGTATGGGCTTCGGGTATGGGAGAGATCAAGAATAAGGTTAAATCGATTACAGCAGAATTATACCCTTTTACATTTAACCAGATATAATGCCTGGGTCCTACCTTTATTAAGGATTCTAATTTAATTGTTATGGGTTGTAATGTGCTTCTAGGTAGCAAAGTTTGAGGACCTCCATGTTACATAATCTCCCCAACTGCATAACAGACTCTTGAAACAGAGATTATAATAATCTTACATTTCTCTCTTCAACATAAGAATGTGACTATGAATTGATTAGATGCTGATTCTGTACGTACTAGTTAAACACACCCTAAACATAAAAGAGCCAATTATTTAGTTGCTCAAACTAAACAAATATCAAGAAAGCCATGGTAAAGTACAGTTCTTTAGTAGGTATTGTAGAATATAGAGCCCATCAATTTATGATGGGGCACATTCCAATAAATAAACCCATCATAAGTTGAAAATGCATTTTTTTTTTTTTTTTTTGGAGATGGAGTCTCGCTCTGTCGCCCAGGCAGGAGTGCTGTGGTACGATCTCAGCTCACTGCAACCTCCGCCTCCTGGGTTCAAGTGATTCTCCTGCCTCAGCCTCCCGAGTAGCTGGGACTACAGGCATGCACCACCACACCCAGCTAATTTTTGTATTTTTAGTAGAGATGGGGTTTCACCATGTTGGCCAGGATGGTCTCCATCTCTTGACCTCGTGATCCACCCACCTCAGCCTCCCAAAGTGCTGGGATTACAGGCATGAGCCACTGCGCCCAGCCAAAAATGCATTTAATGCTCTGATAAACCCATGGTAAAGTCAAAATATTATAAGTGGAACCATCATAAGTTGGGGACTGTCTATACAAAGAAAAAAAATGGGCCAGGCACAGTGGCTCATGCTTGTAATCCCAACAGTTTGGGAGGCCGAGGCGGGCGAATCACTTGAGGTCAGGAGTTCGAGACCAGCCTGGCCAACACCATGGTGATACCCTATTTCTACCAAAAGTATTTTAAAAAAATTAGCCAGGTGTGGCTGGGCGCGGAGGCTCACACCTGTAATCCCAGCACTTTGGGAGGCCGAGGCAGGTGGATCACGAGGTCAGGAGATCGAGACCATCCTGGCTAACATGGTGAAACCCCGTCTCTACTAAAAATACAAAAAGTTAGCCGGGCGTGGTGGCGGGCACCTGTAGTCCCAGCTACTCGGGAGGCTGAGGCAGGAGAAAGGCGTGAACCCGGGAGGTGGAGCTTGGAGTGAGCAGAGATTGCGCCACTGCACTCCAGCCTGGGCAACAGAGTGAGACTCCGTCTCAAAAAAAAAATTAGCCAGGTGTGATGGCGCACACCTGTAATCCCAGCTACTTGGGAGGCTGAGGCAGGAGAATCGCTTGAACTCGGGAGGCGGAGGTTGCAGCGAGCCAAGATGGTGCAACTGCACTCCAGCCTGGGTGACAGAGTGAGACTCCATCTCAAAAAAAAAAATGGTAGTTGTGAAGTAAAGTAGGACTTAATCAGGAAAGGCTTCTGTAAAGAAGTATGGTCACATTTTGAAGTAAGTAAAGGACTTTTGTTGAAAAGCAGCAAGGATTCGTTAGATCAGCTTAGGTAGCTTGGGGGGACCATGACTCAACAGTAACAAAAGACCTCTACTAGAACGTAGAAAGGTGTTTATTATGTTTTGAATCTTGTATATTTGAACCGTTTATGATATATCCTAAACTGAGCTTTGGTTATGATCTGAGATTATTCAGTCTTGTTTAGACCTCCACTGAGTGTCTTTCTTCTTTGTTTATAGTAGAAGTTGGAAAACGTATATTTCCTCTTCAGAGAGACTTGCAGGTCTAGAATGGCAGGTTATGGTACACGTTATGTTGCACATAAAGAGTGTTCTGGCCGGGCATGGTGGCTCATGCCTATAATCCCAGCACTTTGAGAGGATCACTGAAGCCCAGAAATTTGAGACCAGCCTGGGCAACATAGCAAGACCTCGTCTCTACTAAAAATCATAAGGAAAAGAAAAGAATGTTTCATCAATGTGGGCAAAGATGCAGAAAGAGAAGTGACAGCTATTCAGTGGAAAAGACCCCAGGTCCAAGAACTGGGCCAGCCTTATTAAGTTTCCAAAGACTTCAGTGTTAATTTTATATATATATATATATATATATATATATATATATATATATATATATATTTTTTTTTTTTTTTTTTTTTTTTTTTTTTTTTGAGGTAGGGTCTCGGTTACCCAGGCTGGAGTACAGTGGTGCAGACTTGGCTCACTACAACCTCCACTTCCCAGGCTCTAGGAATCCTCCTACCTCAGCCTCCTGAGTAGCTGGGACTACAGGCATGCGCAACCACTCCCGGCCAATTTTGGTATTTTTTGTAGAGATAGGATCTCACTGTGTCACCCAGGGTAGTCTCGAACTCCTGGGCTCAAACAATCCACCCACCTCGGCCTCCCAAAGTGCTGGGATTACAGGCGTCAGCCACTGCACCCAGCCTATATTAATGTAACTATACATAACATTATATTAATATAATAAAATATGTATTGAATCCTGTGAGGCACATGGGAAGAGTCTGGCTGAGAAAAGTGAAACCAGTGCAACAAAAATATAAAAATATATCCTTAGTCTCCAGGAGCTTAGAGTTATAAGGCAGATCCACACTATTTCCTGTATGTTTTATAGCAAGGAGTAACAGATAAATCCTATGAGTTTAGAAGTAACAAGAAGGATTCAGATGGGCAGAATTGGGAGAGCATTCTGGACTTTCTGGATTGATGGGACAGTGTGACTTCAGTCATTCTGTTTGGGGGTTGGAATTGTTTTTAGCACCAGTGCTGTGTGACCTTGGACAACAAAGACACAGGTACAGTTCAGAGGTATGGAAATACAGAGATGAATAAAGAGCTGTACCTAACAGTACTTGATGTTTAGAGCTTTTATATCAAAGATGGGACCAACTTTCTCATCATCCAAGCATTTATTGAGCATTACTGTTTGCTCAGCATATGTTAGGCATTACCTGGGGGATAACAAAGAAGTTTAAAGCATGTTTTCTCCCTTGAAGCATTTATAATGTCATTGAGAAGATGACTAATACATGTGAAAAAATTAGTGAGAAGTATGGTACAAAATAGATATTTTGATAGTTTGTGTGGTCCAGACTCAGTGCCGTCTAGGAGTTCAGGAGGAATAAGAGAGGAAGATTAAGTACAGTGGAACTTAAGCCAGACCCTGCTGGAGCCGGATCAGGGTCTTAAACTGGGGTCCATAGATGTGCTTCAGGGAGTCTAAAATTCCCTCTAAAATGGTATGCTGCTTTGTGTGAAAGCACAGTTTTAAGGCAGAGAGGTCTTAATACCTTTCATCATATTTGCAAAACCTTTTCTGCTCCCCTAAAATGTTAATACCAGTATCTATGTGAATAAGGAGACAGCGCTTGGGAATTTAGTATGGCATTTGTAGGGCACAATGAGTAACCTGCCAGGAGAAGCCTCCCCTCCCATAGGAAACACCTAGCACACAATTACAGAGAGATTTGGGTGAAATGATGGCCCTAGCGATAGAGAAGAAAGATTGACTTTACCTCCTCTAATGCCCTTCACTGTGCTGTAGCCTTTCAAAAATTTATGTTTGGTTTCCTAGGAAAACATTAATGTGCTCAAGAAGGGATAATGTATCATTCTAAATATTGTATGAGTTTGCCGGCTTGCTTTTTAACTGAGTCAGAAAATTATAAATAGACTTCAAATGTAGAACTACTTTATTTTGTAACATTCAAACTGAGCCTTTATGTAATGGCCGGATGGTACCTTAGATTCATCTTTTCTCCTCTAAGTAATTGATGGTGTGTAAGAGGTGCCATATTGTGGGACAGGGTCTTGAATTCATGTCTCAGCAAGACTGAGGGGGAAACATGCACCTTTTATGAGATAGAGGCTGATAGAGGCAATGTTTTATATCAAGAAAGGTACTGATATTTTACTTCTCGTTCATTGGCCTAATCTTTCCTCCTCCAGCTCCAGCTTTGCCTTTCTTCACCCCCTGTCCTATGCTTTGGCATACAGAAGAGCCAGTAGTCTGCATATATGATGATACTTTTCAGCACCATGTTTTTGTTTATGCTTTTCCTTCTGCCTGGAATATCTTGCTCATCTTTGATCTGCTGGTTTTCTCTTTCATTCTTTAAGATCCAACTTTGGCCAGGCACAGTGGCTCACACCTATAATCCCAGCTCTTTGGGAGGCTGAGGTGGGTGGATCACTTGAGGTCAGGAGTTCAAAACCAGTGTGGCTGACGTGGTGAAAACCCATCTTCAGTGAAAATACAAAAATTAGAAGAGTTAGCCAGGTGTGGTGGCAGGCAGCCTGGGGCAACAGAGTGAGACTCTGTCTCAAAAAAGATCCAATGTTGTTGTTCCCTCTTCCGTGAATCTCTCATGTTCCCAGAGTACCCTGTTTGTCTCCAATGCTATTTCTTTTTTTTGTAGAGATGGGGTCTTACCATCTTACCCAGGTGGTCTCTAATTCCTGGGCTCAAGCTTATCCTCCTGCCTGGGCGTCCAAAAGTGCTGGGATTTAAGGTGTGAGACAACAATGCCCGGCCTCTGTTACTGTATTTTAAACTCTTTGAAGGTAGAGATTGTTTTATTACCAGCACCTAAAGAGCACAGTTCCTGATAAGAAGAAGCCAGGAATTGGAGAAACCCAATATGATTCCCAGATTTTTGGCTTAACTTACTGTTTTTTTTATATCATCCAAGTTGGATTGCAGGCTTTTAGGAGTCTTTGCATTGCTTCTTATGAAAGACAACGATTGAGGCCAGGCGTGGTGGCTCACACTTGTAATCCTAACACTTTGGTAGGCCAAAGCAGGCAGATTGCTTAAGATCAGGAATTTGAGACCAGCCTGGGCAACATGGCAAAACACTGTCTCTACAAAAAATGTAAAAATTAGCCAGTCATGATGGTGCATGCCTGTGGTCCTAGCTACTCTGAAGGCTGAAGTAGGAGGGTTGCTTGAGCCCTGGGGGCAGAGGTTGCAGTGAGCTGTGTTCTCGCCACAGCACTCTAGCCTGGGCAACAGAGAGAGACCCTGGCTCGAAAAGAAGAGAAGAGAAAAGAAAAGAACAGGAGGGGAGGGAAGGGGAAGATTGCTTATATTAGAGTAATACAGGGAGGGAGGGAGGGAAAAGAAGATTGCTTACATTAGAGTAATACCAGAAAATGTTGATGGAAGGGAAGAGATGTATTTAGATATTAGAAGATATATTTAGGAATAAATACATTGAGATATATTTAGTACTTAATGATTAAATAAAAGGAGGGGAAAATGATGAGATAGATGCTAGCCAAAATATTAGGTATGGGGTAAGACAGAAGTGATGTAGAGTTAGTACTTGTAGTTTATAGTCTTCAGTACGACAAGCATTCTCTTCTGGCTGGCTGTATTGCGTGAGTTCTGCAGTTGATGGATATATAGACTTTATGTACTGCATTTGGTTGTGAGGTACTCTTTGTTAGCATTCATTATTGATGATGGTCCCAGAAATGTGTAATGGTTTTACATTATGCCTATACTAATGAAAATGTAATGAGAGTTTGAAAGAGATGAAATCCCGTAAGATTATAGCAGTGACAGTCTGTTTTAGCCATGTGGGGTTTGAAGTCTGGGAAAGGAATCCATATGAGGAATGGCACTAATGGCAGAGATCTTTTTGAAGATTTTTAAAAATTATTAATTAGCATAGACTACTAGTTCCTCTCATAGACCTAGTTTTTAGGACACCTTGTTTATCTCCCTGTTTCCTTTAGTCTCAACCCAATTACAAGCACCTTGCAATTATATCAGTATCTAATTTTGTAGCAGTCTTATTTAAGAATTAAAAACGCGGTCAGGTGTGGTGGCTCATGCCTGTAATCCCAGCACTTTGGGAGGCTGAGGTGGGTGGATTACTTGAGATCAGGAGTTCAAGACTAGCCTGGGCAACATGGTGAAACCCCGTATCTACAAAAATACAACAGCCAGGCACAGTGGTGCATGCCTGTAATCCCAGCTACTTGGGAGGCTGAGGCAGAAGAATTGCCTGAACCCAGGAGGCCAAGGTTGCAGTGAGGCGAGATGGCACCACTACACTCCAGCCTGGGAGACAAAGCAAGGCTCTGTCTCAAAAAAAAAAAAAAAAAAAAAAAAGAATAAAAAATTCTCACAATCCAACATAAAAACACAACTCTATTTAAAAATGGGCAAAAGATTTGAATTACACGTCATTCTAAAGAAAATGTACAAATGGCCAATTAGCACATGAAAAGATGTTCAACATCATTATTTTCAGAAATGTTTTGGAATTCCAAAAATATTTGGAAATATTTTTCTAAATTTTTTGGAGAATAATTTGACGTAAAATTACCATATGATCTGGCAGTTTTACTCCTGCTGTATTCAAAATAATAAAAACATTCAAACAAAAACTAGTACATGGACATTTATAACAACACTATTCTAAAGAGTAGAATCAACCCAAATGTTCACCAGCTAATTAATAAGTAAAATGTCGTGCCTACCTACAATGAAATATTATTCTCAGCCATAAAGAAGAATGAAGTACGGCCGAGGCAGGTGGATCATGAGGTCAAGAGATCGAGACCATCCTGGCCAACTTGGTGAAACCCCATCTCTACTAAAAATACAAAAATTAGCTGGGCGTGGTGGTGGGCGCCTGTAATCCCAGCTACTCAGGAGGCTGAGGCAGGATAATCGCTGGAATCCGGGAGGCGGAGGTTGCAGTGAGCCGAGATCACGCCACTGCACTCCAGCCTGGCGAAAGAGTGAGACTCCATCTCAAAAAAAAAAAAAAAAAAAAAAAGAATGAAGTATGGATACATGCTACAACATGGGTGGGCCTTGAAAACATTATGCTAAGTGGAAGCAGCCAGATACAGAAGGCTATATTGCATGACTCCATTTCTACTTCTCAGAATAGGCAATCCGTAGAGATAGAACGTAGATTAGTGATTGCCAGGGGATGAAAAGGGGGAGAATGGAGAGTGACTACCAAAGGGTGTCTTTTTGGGATGATGGAAATTTTCTGGCAATTGTAATGTGGTTGCACAACACTATGAATATACTAAAAACCACTGAATGGTACACCTAGAAATGGTGGGTTTCATTTTCTTTCTTTCTTTCTTTCTTTCTTTCGTTAGAGACAGGGTCTCGTTCTGTCATTCAGGCTGCAGTGCAGTGGCACGATCATGGCTCACTGTAGCCTTGACCTCCCAGGCTCAAGTGATTCTCCCACCTCAGCCTCCTGAGTAGCTGAGTAGCTGGGACTACAGGTGTACATCACCAAGACCAGCTAATTTTTTAAATTTTTTAATTTTTCTTTTTTTGAGATGGAGTTTCACTCTTGTTGTCCAGGCCGGAGTGCACTGGCGCGATCTCGGCTCACCACAACCTCCACCTCCCAGGTTCAAGTGATTCTCCTGCCTCAGCCTTCCAAGTAGCTGGGATTACAGGCATGTGCCACCATGCCTGGCTAATTTTTTTGTATTTTTACATGTAGTAGAGATGGGGTTTCTCCATGTTGATCAGGCTGGTCTCGAACTCCTGACCTCAGGCGATCAGCCTGCCTCCGCCTCCCAAAGTGCTGGGATTACAGGCGTGAGCCACCGTGCCCGGCCTTAATTTTTTTTTTTTTTTTAGAGGCGGGATCTCACTGTGTTGCCCAGGTTGGTTTCAAATTCCTGGGCTGAAGTGATCCTCTCTCCTTTGCCTTCCAAAATGTTGGGATTATAGGTGTGAGCCACTGTGCCTGGCTATGAATTTTTATGTTATGTGAATTTTATGAATATGAATCTCAATACTAAAAGAATAAAAAGTTTTTAAAAATTGATAATAACAGGCCGGGCGCGGTGGCTCACGCCTGTATTCCCAGAACTTTAGGAGGCCGAGGCGGGTGGATCACGAGGTCAGGAGATCGAGACCATCCTGGCTAACATAGTAGAAACCCTGTCTCTACTAAAAATACAAAAAATTAGCCAGGCATGGTGGCGGGCGCCTGTAGTCCCAGCTACTCGGGGGGAGGCTGAGGCAGGAGAATGGCATGAACCCGGGAGGTGGAGCTTACAGTGAGCCGAGATCGTGCCACTGTACTCCAGCCTGGGGGACAGGGCGAGACTCCGTCTCAAAAAAAAAAAATATATATATATTTCCACGTGCCCCACGCCGCATTTCAGATGTGCGAAATTCAGACATTCAGGAGCCTCTTCACCTGATTCAAATTGTTCCACAGTTCCTGTGGGGATTGTTGAGTATCTACTAATCTCATGTTCCCAGGAAGTAGCAGAGCCCTGTTCATATTTACATTCTTTTAGTTTTTAAATTTTTGTTATTTTTTAATTTAAAAAATTTTGTTATGCTGCAAAAAGCTTTATTCCATTTAGTCCAGGGCTTGGGAGAGGGCTTCAGCGTGGTTAAAAAAATACATTCTTTTAAATAAATGGAAATAGTTTTTTTTTTTAAGTCATGACACTTATAAGAAATTTTTTTTTTTTTTTTTTGAGACGTAAGTCTTAATGCCACCCAGGCTGGAGTGCAGTGGTGCGATCTCAGCTTACTGCAACCTCTGCTCCCTGGGTTCAAGCAATTCTCCTGCCTCAGCCTCCCAAGGAGCTGGGATTACAGGCATGTGCCACCACGCCTGGCTAATTTTTGTATTTTTTAGTAGAGGCAGGGTTTTGCCATGTTGGCCAGGCTGGTTTCAAACTCCTGACCTCAGGTGATCCACCCACCTTAGCCTCCCAAAGTGCTGGGATTACAGGCGTGAGCCACCACACCCGGCTAATTTTTTATGTTTTTAGTAGAGACGGGGTTTCACCGTGTTAGCCAGGATGGTCTCGATCTCCTGACCTCGTGATCTGCCCTGCTCGGCCTCCCAAAGTGCTGGGATTACAGGCATGAGCCACCGCGCCCGGCCAAGAAATTTTTATGATGCACACTTTTCTTGTTACCTTGCCCCTTAGAAATAACTCATAATGGTTTGGTGTACGTTTTTCTAAACATGTGTTTTGCTTATATAAACATTTTATTATGTATAAATATATGCAAATAAGTAGATATGTATATATGTGCATTTAGTAAATAGGATCATACCATCCATTTTCCCACAGAGTTATCTTTGCCACAAATCATGTGACCTTATATATCTAGTTCTGGATTCTATTTTATTTAATTGGTCTAATTGCCTCTGTTTTTTTTGGAATTGAGACAAGATCTTGCTCTGTCATCCAGGCTGGACTACAGTGGCACGATCATAGCTCAGTGCAGACTCAAACTCCTGGGCTCAAGGGATCATCCCATTTCAGCCTCCTGAGTTGAGTAGATGAGACTACAGGGGTGTGTGTGTGTGTGTGTGTGTGTGTGTGTGTGTGTGTGTGTATGTAGAGATGATGTCTTACTATGTTGCTCAAGCTTGTCTTGAACTCCTGGCCTCAAATGATCCTCCTGCCTCAGCTTCCCAAAGTGCTGGGATTACAGGTATGAACCACTGTGCCCAGCCAGGTCTAATTGCCTATTTTTAAGCTCTTACCATGCTTATACAATCAGTGTGCCTTTGTAATGGGTTGAGTAGATACCTGGTAGTGTCAGCTCTCAAACTGTTGTTTTTCAAGATCAGCTTAAATTCCTTGGCCTTTTTAAATTGCTATATAGATTTTAGAATTAATTAGTTGTCAATTTCCATAAGAAAAAACCTGGTAGGATTTTATATTGGAGATTGTATTGAACCAAAGGGTTAATCTGGGAATAGCTGACATCTTTACAATAGTTTTCCAATCTATGAGCATGATATATATATCCCTTTAGGATATCTTTAATTTCTTTCAATAATACTTTGTAGTTTTTTATGTAGAGTTATTGTACAATATGGGCTTCCTTCCACATTGGACTTAAAAATGTACTTCTTTTTTAATAGTAGTTAAATAGTTTGGATGAACCATATATATTTTTAAACTTTCCTGAGGGTATTGAAGACTGTTTGAAATCCTTCTGTATTAAAAATGATGCTAATGAAAATCCTTGCAAAATGTGTAAGCTTGAGACCTGATTACAGCTTCCGGTTAGGATCTCCATGTCTTTGCTTACTTAGCTGAACCAAACCCTCCCTGTGTCTCTCTCTATCTGTCCCTCTCCCTCTCTCCCTCTCTCTTTCTCCCTCTCCTGAATGCATCCTCTTCTGGACCATTCCAGTGGTCCTTACCCTGAGGCTGGGGCAAGCTGTCATCCTCAAAAGCTGGGAGGCCTAGAAGCCCTCTCTTCCAAGCCAATGGGCCCTCCAATTTTCCTAATTGTATACTGCAGTACTGTAATTTTTAAAGACAGATTTTACTTTACAGTTTTGTGTTATCTCTGCTTAGAAGAGATGGAGGAGGAAGGAAAAGTTTGTAAATTACCTTCTTTAGCCAAGGGAGGGTATTGTTTCCATTTGTTTTCACTTCCTTATTGTCCCATCCAGTTGGTATTTTAGAATAGCTCTTTGTCCTACCACCATACCACCAAAAACAACAATTAAAATGACAACACAAACAATAGCAAGTTATGAAATAGCATAACTTACTGATTACTTCCTATGTACAAAGTACTAATCTAAGCACTATAAATACTATACCTCGGGCCGGGCGCGGTGTCTCACGCCTGTAATCCCAGCACTTTGGGAGGCCGAGGTAGGTGGATCACGAGGTCAAGAGATTGAGACCATCCTGGCCAACATGGTGAAACCCCGTCTCTACTAAAAATACAAGTATTAGCTGGGCATGGTGGCGTGCACCTGTAGTTCCAGCTACTCGGGAGGCTGAGGCAGGAGAATCACTTGAACCTGGGAGACGGAGGTTGCAGTGAGCCAAGATTGCACCACTGCACTCCAGCCTGATGACAGAGTGAGACTCCGTCTCAAAAAAAAAACAAAAAAAAACAAAAAACAAACTATACCTCATTTTAAAAATGAACTCAAGTCCAGGTGTGGTGGCTCACACCTATAATCTCAGCACTTTGGGACACTGAGGTGGGAGAATTGCTTGAAGCCAGGAGTTTGAGACCAGCCTGGGCAACATAGAGAGACCCGTCTCTACAAAAAATAAAAAAACTTAGCTGAGTGCAGTGGCCCATGCTGTTATTCCCAGCTACTCAGGAGGCTGAGGCTAGAGGATCCCTTGGGACCAGAAGGTTGAGGCTGCAGTGAGCTGTGATCCTGCCACTGCACTTCAGCCTGTGTGACAGAGCGAGACCCCAACTCTAAAAATACAACAAAAACAATCTTATCTAGTCAGTCATCCCCATTTTATTTGTGAAGAAATTGAAGTCTAAAAGTTTAAGCAAGGTATCCAGATTCGCACAGCTGGTACACAGTTGGAGCTGGGATACAAGCCAGTTGTTTTTGACTGTGAATTTTGTGGTCATACTGTATTATTTTAACCCCCTGATTATTCCATACTCATAGAACATCCTTGATGCTTACCAGGGCCTCTGAAGTGGCTGGAGCAAGGGTCGAGGTAGAAAGTGGTGCAGTATGATGCCGACATCATGGTCGTGTGATTTATTTGTATTTCTTATTTCCTTTTTTATGGGGCTGATAGACTTTTGATTTATGTTAGATCCTTGATGTATGTAGAAAGTTTTTGGTTTTGGTTGAAGAATGAAATTATCCTACTTCAGTTGAATAGCAACCATAATCATAAAATGAAGTAGAAATTAATTTGCTTTACATATTCCATTCAGATTCCCTGTAGCTTTTACGAGTGTTGTCTAGCCTTTGTATGACAATTTCTGTACATCTCTGTGACATTCCATTCCATTGGTTCTCTTCCTGTCCTTTTATTGCGCCTTACCCTCTGGGTTGGCCTAGCCCCTTGTGCATACACCTGTCATAAAGCTTTCTGTATCATATTGAAGTTAGTTATTCATATGTCAGGCTTCACAGCTGCCTAGTAAATTCTGTAAGAATAGACCCATTCTTTCTCGTAGCCCTTGTGCCTGACACAACCCTGATAAGCAGTAGGCACACGGTGGCCTGTTATTAATAGACATGGACACAAGGCCTGTGCTGTAGGGCTTTATTGCTTTCACTCAGACTTCCTGACAAAAGAAGCAAGAGTCTCCGTGTCTGCAGCATTTCTCCATTCTGTCTCTGCCATCAGAGGAATTTTAAAGCAAAGCTCTGATTATAATTTTGTACCTCAGAGATGTCAGTGACAAACCATCGCCTGTTGGATAAAGTCCATATTTCTTAGCTGTCATTCAGGTTCCTCCATGGTCCTGTCCTCACTGACCTTCTATTCTTCATGGGCACTCTGCATTAATTAAACAGGGCTCTGTCCTTATCTTCTTTTTTTTCTGTCTCTGTGCTTTTGCCTGCATTGTGTCTTCTGTGTACCCTTCGCCTGCCAAAATCTTACCCATTCTTCAGATGTCTGATAGAAATGCTAGTCCCTCCGTGAGGCTTTCTGTGATCTCCCTGCTTTCTCTGACCTCTACCCAAAGAGGTCTTTTTCCCATCTGAACTTTTTTTCTTCTTCTTCTAAGGAAAGCAACACTGCCATATGAACTCTTAATGGCACTTGGACTATGACATAGCATTATTTGTATACCCTACTAAGTGATAAATTCCTTGAGCACAAGGTCTTGCCTTTGTTTTCTCTGCTGTTTTGCATTAATTACTGCATTGAACATACAGGGTGAGTATCCCTTATCCAAAGTGCTTGGGATCAGAAGTGTTTTGGATTTTAATTTTTTTTTTTTTGATTTTGGAATGTTTGTGTGTATGTGATGAGATGTCTTGGGGATGGGAAAGCCCAAACATGACATTTACTTCTTTTTGTATGCACCTTATACATATAGCGTGAAGGTAATTTTATATAATATTAATATATTAATTTACAAATATACAATATTTATAACATAAATATATATAATATTTTGTGTGCATGAAGCAGATTTTTGACTGTGTTTTGCCTGCAACCCACCACATGAGGTCAAGTGTGGAATTTTCCACTTGTGATGTCATTTCAGCACTCAAAAAGTTTCGGATTTTGGGCCGGGCACAGTGGCTCACGCCTGTAATCCCAGCACTTTTGGGAGGCCAAGGCGGGTGGATCACTGAAGGTCAGGAGTTCCAGACCAGCCTGGCCAACATGGTGAAACCCCATCTCTACTAACAATACAAAAGTTAACTGGGCGTGGTGGCAGGTGCCTATAATTGCAGCTACTGGGAAGGCCGAAGCAGGAGAATCGCTTGAACCTGGGACGCGGAGGTTGCAGTGAGCTGAGATTGTGCCACTGCACTCTAGCCTGGGAGACAGAGCAAGACTCCATCTTAAAAAAAAAAAAAAAAAAACCTCAGATTTTGGATCATTTCAGATTTCAGGTTTTCAGATTAGGATGCTCTCAGCCTGTGTGTGAATTACACTGAATGTATATTAACTTAGGATTTTTTAGTTTCAAGGAGACTGCTCAGAAGACTGTCAAAAATTCTTTCTCTGCATTGGCCTACAAATACATGCATTCCATTCGGAAACTATGTAGGTTTAAACAGTGTTTCATTCCTAGAACTTCAGTTTAGGAAAGAATTTGCTTTCCAGATTGATGTTTATGTTTTAAATAGTTACCATTCTTTATTATTGACGCTTGTCCTTCGTTTCTAGGGCACTGTGTTTAGTCTTGAGTCAGAGGAGGAGGAATACCCTGGAATCACTGCAGAAGATAGCAATGACATTTACATCCTGCCCAGCGACAACTCTGGACAAGTCAGTCCCCCAGAGTCTCCAACTGTGACCACTTCCTGGCAGTCTGAGAGCTTACCTGTGTCACTGTCAGCTAGCCAGAGTTGGCACACAGAAAGCCTGCCAGTGTCACTAGGCCCTGAGTCCTGGCAGCAGATTGCAATGGATCCTGAAGAAGTGAAAAGCTTAGACAGCAACGGAGCTGGAGAGAAGAGTGAGAACAACTCCTCTAATTCTGACATTGTGCACGTGGAGAAAGAAGAGGTGCCCGAGGGCATGGAAGAGGCTGCTGTGGCTTCTGTGGTCTTGCCAGCGCGGGAGCTGCAAGAGGCACTTCCTGAAGCCCCAGCTCCCTTGCTTCCACATATCACTGCCACCTCCCTGCTGGGGACAAGGGAACCTGACACAGAAGTGATCACAGTTGAGAAATCCAGCCCTGCTACATCTCTGTTTGTAGAACTTGATGAAGAAGAGGTGAAAGCAGCAACAACTGAACCTACTGAAGTGGAGGAGGTGGTCCCCGCACTGGAACCCACAGAAACGCTGCTGAGTGAGAAGGAGATAAACGCAAGGGAAGAGAGCCTTGTGGAAGAGCTGTCCCCTGCCAGCGAGAAGAAGCCCGTGCCGCCGTCTGAGGGCAAGTCTAGACTGTCCCCCGCCGGTGAGATGAAGCCCATGCCGCTGTCTGAGGGCAAGTCTATACTGCTGTTTGGAGGGGCTGCTGCTGTTGCCATCCTGGCAGTGGCCATCGGGGTAGCCCTGGCTCTGAGAAAGAAATAGGAGGCTTTTCAGAAGAGAAAGACAGAAGGATGTAAGGTTGGAGTTGTATTGGCTGGAATTTGAACCTCCAGCAGCTGTCTGGACATTTGTGGAACACTCTGGGATAATTGGGGACTTCTGCTCAACATGGCAGTGGCATGTTAGGCATGTTAGGGCTTGAGGTGGGGCATTCACATTCATCTGACTGTAAATCCCAAGGGCCTCCGCTCATGCTAAATTGAGAATCTTAGGGGTAAAGCACCCCCTCCAGGACCGGGTTTCTCAGCCTTGGCACTAGTGCTGTTCTGACCATTCTCTGTGTTGGGGCTGTCCTGTGTGTGGTGGGCTCCACCCACTAGATGCCAGTGGCACCCCCTCCCAGAGATGACAAACGAAAATGTCTCTAGACATTGCCAAATGTCCCGTGTGAACATCCCCTATTGAGACCCACTGCTTTAGCGAGAGAGGGTTTACTTAGGAAGAATTGGGATAGAAATTCCCAGCTGAGAGAACTTAGCTGTGGGCTCCTCAGCTACTGACTTCTTAGCTCTTAATCCCCTTAGAATTTCATCTTTCTCGATGAGCAGGCTCTGCACCCACTCTTTTTTTGCCCCCCGCCCTCATCCTGGAGTGTGAGGGTGCTCGCCCGTACTCTCAGCTGCCTCTCAGGGACTGCACTGTTCCTCTTCACCCCCAGGTTCCTGCTAAGATCCCACGGGCGAGGGCTTGCTCTGGACTCAGTCTGTCAAGTCCCCGAAGCTTCCTGCAGCTCCACCTTGTAAAAATGCTGCCTTTGGGAATCTTCGAAATATGTACACAGAGAAAATCACATGAAGGAGACCTGGGGTCCCCACTTGTGAGTGCAACTGCAAGTAACTCTGGCTAGAGAGACACATGTGTCTTGTGTCAAGGCAGGAGGATAACCTGGATGACCTTCTGAGGTCTCTTCAGCCCTTTTCGCTAGTGGTCACCCACCACCATGGTTACTTGCCAGCAACATCTCTATTGCTGGATGGTCCCTGTCTATAACCTTGGGCTAGTATATTTTTTCCAATATGGGACCTTAGTCTTACTACTGATGAGTTCTATGGGTCTCTTGCTAGGGGGTAAGGATTTTTATTCTTGGGCTTATAGAGCCAGTTAGATCATAATTCTTATGAAATAGAGAGTGTCCTAAATATCACTGAAATAAAAAGTAGGAAAAAGAAGCTTGAATTTTAAGACTGAGGCTGCTCTGCAGATTCTAGTTTGGCTTTCAGAGTTCAAGAGTGGTGGCATCTTCACCTGAATTCTTCAATGCCAGGGTAATAAACCAAAATAGTCCTAATCAGTATATGCTAGTTGAGCATCGGCATAATTTTCTTTCCTCTGGCTGATCCCAGCCCTAAAGGAAGGGTAGACCCGTGTCTTTCCAGCCCTAAAGGAAGGGTAGACCCGTGTCTTTCCAGCCCTAAAGGAAGGGCAGACCCGTGTCTTTCCATGCCCGAGGGCCACGACGTCACTATGCAGGGCACACGTGGCTTGGTTTAAAAAGGTCATCTTAGATTTATCTTAGTAAATGTAATAAATTATTTTTTAGATCTTGAAATTTATAATAAAAATACTTTACCTACCCTGATCACCAAAACCTGATGTTTTAAATGTGCTTTCTTTTTGAAATTTATGTTTTCAAATAAAATCTCCCTAAAGCAATATTTAAAAATTGGTCAAAACAAGGTCTGGGAGTATGTTTGTGTGTCTTTCCAGCTTTATCCTGTAGCGTGTCTTTGTTCTGTGTTTTAGTGTCCCATTTAGGGAGTGATGTTTTAAGGGTTTTTGTGTACTTGGATTAAGTAATTAGAGGTGAGTGGGGGGAATGGGATTATTGAGGCAATGATTTTTTTCTTCATGGGCTCTGATAGTTGCATTGATTGTTCTGTATTCTAATTGCTATATTTGTGTTTGCATAGGTGAAGAGCAAACTGGTGCGTTATCTTGATTTTTAAAAAGTAATAAATCCTATGAGTTCCAGTATTAACACTTGCCAGTTCTGGATCCTCACACCCATTGGCTGAGCGCATTCAAGCACCAATCGAAGCCAGGTTCATCTCTGAGCTGCTGAAAGGAGGTGTGAGGCTTAGGAAATTGGAGCCTGTGTTGCCCACGAAAGGAAAGAATAAGGAAGAAATGTGGTATGGAAGCGGCTACTTGCTGCTTTATTTTCCCACCTGTTAGACATTCCTCCACAGTGATTTGGCCAGTTGTATTTCACGGTAATGGAACTAGATAGTGTTTTCCATTGGCTTTCTCTGGTAGCTCTTGGTCAGCTCCTGAGTTAACAGGATGTGGCAGCATCCCTGTTCTTCCTTCACGTCCTCACCCTCTGCCTCCAGCAGTGGAAGGGAACAGCCCTCATGAGGACTGCTTCCTACTGCAGCTCCTGCTTTTTGCTCATACATTTAAAAAACTATTTCTCAAGCTTCCCCTCCTTTTGGGGGGAGGAGCTGATAGTAGGAGGCCATTCCTTCCACCTCCAACTTATACCCTCTAAGTCTAAGGTGAAGGAAAGATTCAGAATAAATCCAACTTGTTTATAGAAAAGTTCTTGTTAGTCCTTAGACCTCATCTCAACTGCTCTGTTGAAGGTAATGATTTATTGGGGGGAAAAAACAACGCCAATTTATCCTCTCTGTATTAAAGTGATAATTCTGGGCCCACAGAAATCAGTCAGTACCTGCGGTGTGCCTTAAGGGGACTCTCATGATCATCATTCCCTTCTAGAGAACATTCTAGATGAAGAAATGCAACTGTTGACCTTCTGGTTCACCCATCTCCCCCTCGAGGCATTCTTGATACCCCTTCTCACCTGCATTTCTGTCCCAGGGATACCAGATGCAGCCACTACCTAACTAGGCTTGTCCTGGGGGAGTGAGCCGTGAACCTGGAGACATGGCTTTGACCCACAGCTACTGTTCATTTCCTCAGGCTTTGCGCTGATTCCCTCAATAATATGACAGTAAGGCAAGTAGTCTCCTTGCCTTTCTCCTGAAAGGTATGAGATGTGGACATTTCAGTGTTTGAATTATTTTAAGAGATGTTTTATAGAAATAAAACGTTTTGTAGCTAAGAATTTTCCCTTTCTCTTAATTTCTTACATCTTTCCACACAAACTTATCTTTCCAAGAATTTGAGGTGGTGATCATACCCATCAAGACGGCCTTGTAGGCTATCTGATTGCTAACAGACACGACCTAGAGCTTCTGCCCAAATTCCCACACAAGCATTATCTCGTTTAACATCTCAGCGACATACTGGATACCAGAATAATGTTTCCTCTTCTCTGGTGCACCAAAACCTGCCCTTAGTGATAATCTCTCAATTATGACATTCATTTGAGTTTAGGGTGTATAATTTTTCCTAAAAAAAATTCATGTCGATAATTATATTTTAGCAAATACTAGTTGAGCATTTATAACATGCCAGAGACGGTTCTAGTGCTCTCACATACCTTATTTCACCTTCACAGTTCTAATAGCTGTTTGTATTCCTTTTATTCCCATATTACAGAATGAAGAACCTAATCAGAGTTTGTTAGTTTTTCTTTTTCCTTTTTTTTTTTTTTTTTTTTTTTTGAGACAGAGCCTTGCTCTGTCGCCCAGGCTGGAGTGCAGTGGCACAATCTCGGCTCACTGCAAGCTCCGCTTCCCGGGCTCACGCCATTCTCCTGCCTCAGCCTCCCAAGTAGCTGGGACTACAGGCGCCCGCCACCATACCCGGCTGCTTTTTTTGTATTTTTAGTAGAGACAGGGTCTCTACTATGTTAGCCAGGATGGGCTCGATCTCCTGACCTCGTGATCCACCCGCCTTGGCCTCCCAAAGTGCTGGGATTACAGGCGTGAGCCACCGTGCCCGGCCCAGAGTTAGTTTTTCTAACGTCCTCAAGCATAGGCGAGGCAAGGCAATGATTTTGCCGGTTTTTATCATTTTCCTGGCACTGCAAAGCAGTATTGGCAGGTCCCCTGCAAACAGTTGCGCCAGTTGTTTACTGCATAAGGACTGACTGGGGACAAATTCCGACGTGCAGCCTGTGCTCTGCTCACCATGCTGTGGGCTCTGGGAGAAGCGAAGTATTTTTCTAATTTGTACAAAGGCACCATATAGGCTCACTTAAACATTAAGCATGTTCTACTACAAAAAAACAAGAGTGAGGGTTAGGTCCAGGACTGGTCTCAGCTTCCAATTATGTAGCTGTTTTCCCTGTAGACATTGAGTGAGATGCTTTGTGGTTACAGAATTCACAGTCATTGCCGATGAGCTTTCATTAGCTTTCTTGATTAAATATTTTTGCTTGTAGACAAGGTTAGGCAATCTGTCCCAGCAGTTATCACAAAGTGCTAAATGAGGGGGGTGAAGACAGCACCACGATGCATTTCTTGGTCTTTTTCTGTTTGTTCGAGTTCGTCCCTTCTCCCCTGTGTATGCCATCATAAGGGTGGGGCTGTGGAGTGAAGTAGGGGAATACCTGGAAGCATTGCTTGGCCTCTGGACAGACAAAGAGGTTGGGGACTTAGGAGGGTTGACCAGGTATGGCCACAAGTACGTCAGCTCCTGGAGGATCTTCCCAGTGAAAAGCCTCCTACTACATTCCACAGCACTTCATGGTAATTATAACCTTGGCTAGATAATACCTGCTGTATGGTACAGAATAGTGACATTCAATTACCTCATATATAAAGAGAGCTCCATGGAGAGCTGGAAAGTGCATGCCACTACAATATTAACACATCCCATCTTCCCTTTCTTTTTGCAAGGCTGTTGAATTTCAGCCCGGCATCCCCACACACTAACACCATCAGGTCTTCCACATTTGATGGTTACACCACAGGAGCCCACACCAGACTGCTGCTTCCCTGTGAGCTCAGAGTGAAATTGTTCTCAGGGGTATTTGCAAGGCCTTGTCATCAGTTAAAGACTAGCAGCTGACTCCAGGTGATTCTACCCCGCTGTCACCTCTCCAAAGGGGAAATTGAATAGTGGTATTGCTCACTGTGGTGAGTGTTCTTTGCACCACCAGAAGAAACTGGTTAATGAATGTACTATTTAGAAGAAAAGTTTTGACATTTAAAGATTACTAGTTGTTCCCTTTCCCCAGGAAAAGAAGGTCAAAGTACAGTCTTCCCTGTTGCAGAGTTTGGAATAACTCTGTTTGCCCTGATGCTTTCCAGCAGGAGAACTGTATTATGTAGAGGGGTCCTTGGCCAGCATCAAAGGAAAAAAATTATTTTTTTCCTAGACCTGTATTTTTCCTATTACAGTCTTCCATTTATTTCTTCCTCCAGATTAAAAGTGCCTCTTCCTACCTCATTCCTTAATTAAGGTCAATTTAGTGTTGGCTCAAATGCTTTCATCTCAAAAATACCGGAATTGAATGGTAATTTGGATAATTAAGTTATCGTGCATTTTAAGCAGCATGTGTTTCCTTTTTCCGTGTGAGTTCCATGAGCCTCTGCACTGCCGCTCTGCACTGCTGAACTGATCACTGTGGGTCATTCTGGCTCCTCTTCCTTCCTGTCATCTACCTTTTGGCCAATCTACTCTTCATCAGGGGAAAGGAACAAACTTCAAATCTGTGAGTTATTCTTTCTGTCAGAAGCAACGTGCTAGAGAGAATACATGGGATTTGAAGATAATCAGTGGACTCATCTTTCTATCCACATGGTAACTATGCCCTTGACAGGTGGTATCATTTCACATCATCAATTGTCTTTGTTAAGTCCATACTTAATTGGTTTGACTCCAGGTTTTGAAAACAAGATCGTAACATTCAAAGGACTCTATATTCCAATTCTCAGCTAGCACAACTAATAAAGTTGCTGGACAGTAAAACTAGGCGCCAGTGCTGTGATCCTTTAAGGAAGCCTTGAGTATCGCAGCAGTTAATGCTGGGTCCTAAGAGGAGAGGTCAGGAATGATTTGACCTTCTGAATGCACCAAATGTCCCACGTGACTTTCAGATACACCAAGCATCTTTTCAAGGAGAAAGCTTTTGATGTTTAACAAAAGAATTTCCATCACTTAATTCAAATATTTTTAAAACAGAAAGGAAAACACATTCTCTGAATTAAAGTCACCTTTGAATCATATCCACAAGGATTGTGTTACAGGGCAAAATCCACCAACTGCCAGGATATGCCCGAGTCACCATGGCTGGGAAGTGCTCAAGACTGGAACATTTGTGTTTGAGACAATGGAATCTTTTTATAATGTTGGCTTTGGGAGAAGGGGTGACGGTCTTGCTTTACAACCAAGACTATCTCAGACTTGGTCTGGAAGAATTTACACTAAGACCTGTTATAAAATGGTGGCCTACTGTATGAATTCAAGTGAAACAGAAGCAGGTGAAGATGCTGTGGAAGAGTCAGTGTGTGAGAGAGGTGGTCCAGAGTCACTTGCTGCTTAAGAACACTTTCCCATTAGTTCCGGGTGATGACTGCATACAGCTCCTTTGGGAAGAAAATGCCTCCCCCAGTGAGAATCTGATTATAATGGCTGACGTATGGATGGATGTGTAGGCGCAGTGTGGTTCAACCTGTTTCCATTGTGGTTGGAAAACTTTTTTAAAAGTCCACTCCAAAACATGAAAAGTCGTAGTGTTAGGAAGATTTATTTCCAAACAGTGGCCTCCACACTGCGCGGCAGCACTTCTTTTTAGTATTTGTAAGCTTTTGCCCACTTTCAATTGAGCCAGCCCTAGCGTGGTATGTATTGCATGCTGAACAATATAGAGTTTGTTTTTCCTTTCTGATGATTTTAAACTCTTAAAGAACAGGAAAGCATCTGGTAAGAAGAAATCATGAGTCCGTCAGTGCCCTTACTCATATGCGTCTCCAGTGGCCTCATGTTGTGGTCACAGGAGTTTCCTGTTCACAGCAATGTGTGTGATATGGACCCAGCATCCACTGTCGTGCTTTTAAACTGATTCCTGGGACATAGCTTACCACTGGAACAGCAGACCAGTGTTGCACTGTTTCTAAAGCTAAGCTTTTCCTTATTTATTTTGGTACTACCTAAGTGACTTGGTTTTGACTGTCCCTAAGAGAGGGAACCACTTTGCTGAATTTTTAAAAAGTCCAACTGCTCTTTCATCTTTTATGCTTAGAAACCTGTTCTCTCCAGATGCACTTCTGAGGCATGGATGAGCTGAGCGTATGGCTAGAAATTGGAAGTTTACAGCTATTACCAGGGGGCTAACTCCCGGGGCATCGCAGTAGCTTCTGGCACCCGTGGCTTCATGTCTTTAGCAAAGTCTTGATGTCATGGAAAGAGAAAAAGTGTATGCAGTTAGTTACCTGATTTTGTAAACAAACAGTGGCTGACCTGGGCCCTTAAATCACCTTCACACCTTTTAGAACCACAAGTGGTTCTTTTTGACTCCAACAAAGGAAACGAAGTTGAAAAAGTCAAGCCCCTGTGTACTGGGGCCGGACTTCCCATCATTTGAGTGCAGCACTTTAGTTCAGAATCTCTGTGCCATGTGGTTTTTTAAACAGGAAGATTGTTGGTTCCTTAGTATTAAGATAGATAGTCCCTATTTTGAGTGGAATTTTTCATTTGTAAGGGGTATGTTCCTTCTCTGATTCTTGCTTTCCTCAAACAGGATACTGCCTGCTGTAAGACCATCCTCTATGGTTGTACTTTAATAAACAGTAATTTTTTTTTACCAAAAAAATTGTATTTTGTTTCTACTTCCTTGAAACCTGCTTTCCAATTTAATTTTTAAGTGGGAACCTGCACAGTGGAAATAAAGGCACCGTGTGTAGATTTACAGATGTGCAGATTCATGTGTGGATGATATGAAGGCCATTCAAATACGTGTAAATGGACATTTTCATTCAAGTATATTAATGTAGATATTTTAAAGTGGGTTATAAGTTTAACATTGTCTTTAAAATAGAAGTCACAGCTATCTTCCAGCCTGTCTTCTCTAGGAACGCTGTTGACATGCCAGGGCTCCGTCTACACTGGAAGCAGCTATACAGCTGTGACCACATCGAGCTTTAGCCAGTCACACTTCTGGAACTGTCCGTTCAGTCCATCCCCTAGAGCAAGAAAGGAGAAAAAGCCAGAATCAGCTAGGCTCATTCACAAACCAGGCTCCAGAGCTCTGTGCCACAGTAGAGCAAAGCTGGGGTTTATGCAAAAACATGTTCTCCAGACCCCTGAAGTCCTATCCGTGCATCCTACTTTTTGCTACATGGGGGCAACTGCAAAAACAGGCCGTTCAGGCGGTGAGGTGGGTATTCACATCTCCAAGGCACTGACGGTGTCAGGAGGCCCCTGCTGGGTCAGAGGAATCACGATTCTGCCTCAGCCCTCAGTCTCTGGTAAGCTGTCCATACAGACTGCTGCACACGTCTTGCCCACCCTTTCCCCCTTTACATGGGTGTTGGTAAAAGCTGTCCAGGAATGGTCTCAGGCTTACCTCCTTCCAACAATTCAGCTGGGTTTAATGCCTGATTTAAGATTTATATTCATTCTCCTGTTTTTAAAATGCTTGTATAACTGAAGACCACAGCATATAAGGAATGTTTTCTTATGAGTTCTCAGTAGAGGATTAGATGCTATTTTACTTAAAAACCAAAGCCTGAAGTAATGCTTCTGACATGTCATAAAATCCCAAACATTAGGCCGGGCGCAGTGGCTCACGCCTGTAATCCCAGCACTTTGGGAGGCCGAGGTGGGCGGATCACCTGAGGTTGGGAGTTCGAGACCAGCCTAACATGGGAGAAACCTCATCTCTACTAAAAATACAAAATTAGCCGGTCATGGTGGTGTGTGCCTGTAATCCCAGCTTCTTGGGGGGCTGAGGCAGGAGAATCGCTTGAACCTGGGAGGCAGAGGTTGTGGTGAGCTGAGATCGTGCCATTGCACTCCAGCCTGGGCAACAAGAGCAAAATTCTGTCTCAAAAAAAAAAAAAAAAAAAATTCCCAAACATTCGCTAATATTTTTAAATTTACAAATAAGACACATCCACTTAATTTCCATTTGGGTCTATGAAACAGAAGCACCAGATTTTGCTACATGGGGGCAGCTGCAAAAACTGGCCCTTCTTGGGCAGCATTGTGAACACTGTATGTTTGTTTTTAGAGACAGGTCTTGTTTTTGTTCAGGCTGGAGTGCAGTGGCACAATCAGCTCACTGCAGCCTTGAACTCCTGGGCTCAAGCAAAGAGATCCTTCTGCCCCAGCCTCCTGAGGAGCTGCCTCAACCTCCATGACGGCGTGAACTACAGGCGTACGCCACCATGCTCAGCTAATTTTTTTTTTTTTTGAGACAGTCTTACCCCATCATCCAGGCTGGAGTGCAGTGGCGTGATTGCGGCTCACTGCAACCTCTGCCACCAGGGTTCAAGCGATTCTCCTGCCTTAGCCTCCTGAGTAGCTGGGATTACAGGCGCCCGCCACCACACCCAGCTAATTTTTTTTGTATTTTTAGTAGAAACGGGGTTTCACCATCTTGGCCAGGCTGGTCTTGAACTCCTGACTTCATGATCCGCCTGCCTTGGCCTCCCAAAGTGCTGGGATTACAGGCGTGAGCCACCGCGCCTGGCCCTCAGCTAATTATTTTTATAAATTTTTTAGAGACAGGGTCTCGCCATGTTGCTCAGTTTTGTCTCAAACTCCTGGCCTCAAGCAATCCCACTGCTTCTGCTTCCCAAATCGCTGGGATTACAGGCTTGAGCCACCATGCCCAGCCTTTAGACTGTGACTTGTAATACCTGGTTATGGGACAGATGTGCTCTGGAAAAGATTTCAGACAGTTCCCCCCCTTTTTTGACTACTCGTTTTGGTTCACATTACACCTTTTTTTTGAGATGGAGTCTTGCTCTGTCGCCCAGGCTAAAGTGCAGTGGTGCGATCTCAGTTCACTGCAACCTCTGCCTCCAGGGTTCAAGCAGTTCTCCTGCCTCAGCCTCCTGAGTAGCTGGGACTACAGGTGTGCGCCACCATGCCCGGCTAATTTTTGTATTTTAGTAGAGACGGGCTTTCACCCTGTTGGCCAGGGTGGTCTGGAACTCCTGACCTCAGGTGATCCACCTGCCTTGGCCTCCCAGAGCAGTGGGATCACAGGCATGAGCCACCGCACTGGCCACATTACACTTATTTTTTATGGCAAGGTGAGAGGTCTGAAAAGCTCATTGTGAGCCCTCCAGCCCCTTCCTTCCACTCTGTACCTGCTTGTGCCTTGAGGACCCCACCAGGAGTGTGACGTGAGCCTTTGCCACCCCTCTGAATGGAGCATGTCTCCAATAGTAAGCTGCTAAAGCTCCAAAGGACTCTGGGTGCTCTTCGTCACCTTTACACACAGCTTTCTAGCTCACAACAGCAAAACCAAACCCGAGCAGGACAGCCTGTAACCCTTGTGCTGGCATCAGAGGCAGGGGCCCCGCTGGGCTTCTCAACCTTCCAGAGAAAAGGGCATGGGCGGCAGGCAGGGAAGGAGCTGACCTCAAGGGTTCTTACATTTCTGGCTAAGCTCCTCACGTAGGTGCGTAGGTTCTGGTTAATAAAATTCACTGTTGTGTGAAAGACATCACGGAGCAAGGACGGCGTGTGACTGGCCACCTTCTTGGCCAGCAGCAGGGCCAGCACCAGCATGGTCTTCTCCTTCTCCATGTCTCTAGGGTAGGCCTGCAGCAGCTGCTCCAGGGCAGTGGCCAGGTCCCTGTTCCGGTCCTGCACAGAGGGGCACACAGAACCTGGTTTACTAATACTCTTCCCTCTCAAAGGAAAGACAGTCCCCAGTATGAAGAAGCACTTCAAAGTACTTATTAAGTATCCAGGGCTGCTGGGCGGAAAGAATGAGAAACAGTTGAGTTCTGAGAGGCAATGGAAAGGGAAGACTGCAATCACTCCCTGCAGGGGGCTCGGTAAGCAAACGCATGTGTGGTGAGCCCATGTGCCCACTGTTAGACGGTGATGGGATACAAGAAGCCTGGGTCATCCCTGCGCCCAAGGCACTTCGAGTCCAGAACTAGTGACCACCTGCGACGCCTTAGGCCCATTTTATTGGTGCAGACCTAGCTGAATGGACAGGAGGAAGGGGGTTCCTGGGGGACACTAGACAGACTACAAGGCTGGCAAGGACCGTCAGGCGGTCGGCGCACATGCAGAGTTACATGGGAGTGCGCCAGCCACTCCTGCGTTCTAGGCAGCTGCTGGGACATCACAGGCTGGCCCCACTGAACAGAAGCATGATTGGATTTCTAGGAGGTGAGGACGCCTGCATTTTCAGCTGGTAGAGTCGAAAAAGTGGAACTTTCTCTCCTCTCAGCTCCTACCGCTACAGGCCTGCATTTGGCAGTTGGGAGGATGTAGTTCTTTCCGCTAAGTGTTCTGGGGACACAGTGCCCCGGACCAATCTTGTATCCCCAACAGTGCCAAGCAGATGGTAGAGCTCAGAAAGTTGTGTGGATTCCAACCAAGGAGCTCAGCAGAGCAGCAGGCACCACTCCCAGGGCTTACGGTTCTCACTGGCACCATTATTAAACTCCCTACAACCAAAGGAAGCGTCTGTTTCTTCTGTTGGCCAAACATGCTTCGTTCATCTTTTAGAGGCTTTTACCCCTAAACTCTTTACTCTGATTTAAGGTTCAGGTTTCCTCGATGTCAACCAGCTGAAATCTTCTGCAAGGCAATGAACCATACCCTACGTCCAGTTACTTCGTCAGAGTTCTGGACCTGACAGTCACGAGTTGAGTGGCCTCACGGGACAGTGGGCTGCCTGGTGAGAGGCAGGGGACAGGCCCCCTTGGCTCACTTGCCCGCCCACGCGGTCCTCAGGCCCTCACTCACCTCCTCCGACCGGCTGGTGTTCCTGAGCTGCAGGGCCAGGCCGTTCACCAGGCCCGGAGGGATGCTACGGTCCATGCTGTCCCCGACCTGGGCGAGGTGCCTGGCAATATTCCGGATGATGTCTTCTTGACTTTCAGAATCTGTGTTCAGGCAGGGGCGGCAGAGACAGAGCAGACTCAGAAAATGTCCCTGATACCCTCTCCCACACCACCCTGCCCCGGGAAAGGACAGGTCCGCGATGGGACAAGGCCAGCCCCCACTGGGCACGTGCTCCACTCCACCAGGGCCACAGCGGGCGGGCTGAGTACCAGCGCTGAGCTGGGTTCTGGGCAGTGCCGGAGCTCAGGGCCTCGGCTGAGGCCCAGGCTCCCGCACACAGGCACCACGTCCCCACAGGCAGGGCCGGTGAAGCTGGGGCATCACGACCACGCCTGAGGTACAAGCCTGGCAGCGGCTTCATGGCTCACACCACACAACCCAACAGGGTTGGCCTTGGCCTGGGCAGCCGTTGGGGAAGGGGCTCTGTGGGCAGACGGCATCCCAGACCCACTTTTGCCCTCTCAAGCCTGAGAGCCCCCATTCCTCGCAGTCCCGTCTCAGGAAAACCCCAGTTGTCACTGGCACCGGCAAGGCCCTGGAGAATCTCCCCTGCCTTTCCAACCAGAGCTCTCCCCCTTGCCCCTCAGTCCTCCTCCTCTGGCGCACAGCCTCCGTGCTGCCCCTGCCCGAGTACCACTGTCGCAGCTCCATGAAGGCCACGCTCAACTGCCACGCTCCCTGCCGCCTCCGTTTCTTCCTCAGCACTTGCTGTGTTATTGTCTGACGCCCCTGCCAGAAGGTAAGCTCCCTAAGGGCTGTGATTTTTTTAATCTGTTTTGTCCACTGACAAATACCCAGCACTTAATACATGGCACTCAGTAGGTGCTCAATAAACAATGGCAGGGACCAGGTGTGGTCATGCATGCCTGTAATCCCAGTGCTTTGGGAGGCTGAGGACAGAAGATTGCTTAAGGCCAGGAGTTAGAGGATGCAGTGAGCCGTGATTGCACCAGCAACAAAGCAAGGCCCTGCCTCTACAAGAAACTTTTTTTTTTTTTTTGAGACGGAGTCTTGCTCTGTCACCCAGGCTGGAGTGCAGTGGCGCGATCTCGGCTCACTGCAACCTTCGCCTCCTGGGTTCAAGCAAGTCTCATGCTTCAGCCTCCTGAGTAGCTGGGATTACAGGCGCCCGCCACCACACCCGGCTAATTTTTGTATTTTAAGTAGAGACGGGTTTCACCATGTTGGTCAGGCTGGTCTCGAACTCCTGACCTTGTGATCCTCCTGCCTTGGCCTCCCAAAGTGCTGGGATTACAGGTGTGAGCCACTGTGCCCTGCCTCTACAAAAAACTTTTAAAGGGAGCCAGGTGTACCGCACGTACCTATAATCCCAGCTACACAGGAGGCTGAGGTGGGAGGACTCCTTGAGGCCAGGAATTCAAGGCTGCAGTGAGCTGTGATCATACCACTACACTCCAGCCTGGGCAACAGAGCAAGACCCCGTTTCTTAAAAAAAGTTTTAATTGCATGAATGAATGAATGGGCCCTGTACCTAGCTCCCAGTAAGTGTTCAATAGATGCCAGCTATTGTTATTTCTCCCATTAAATCTTCTATTTTTTCTGTGCTTGCAACTTCCCTCTGGCTTTTTTGGTTTTGGCTGCTGCTCCCACCCTCGGTCAGCTGTCAAATCTCACCTTATGTTGCAAATACAAGCGTTTTGCCTACCCTCTGCCATTGCCGCCACCCTGGTGGGGGTCCCCTTAGCTCTCATCTGATGATGACAGCCCCACTCCCTGCCGTCCAGTCTACTCGGCCACCTTCACAGCACAGACCTCAGAGCAGGGCAGGGTTGGGAGAAGTGACGTGCTAAGGAGTGGGCACGTTCTTAGAAGCTGTGCTCTGGGGGTTTCACGGCCTCCCTGGAGTCTGTCCATGGAACATGCAGTAAGGCTGCCACATCACTTCTCTTCAAAACCTCTCAAGTGCTCATCTCTGCTTAAGTGACAAGTCATGACCCAGCCTGAAAGTACGTCTGACTTAACTTCCACGCTTCCTAGGCAAACTCAACTACTCACTGTAGCTTTTTTTTTTCTTTTTTTTTTCAAGACATAGTCTCACTCTGTTCCCCAAGCTGGAGTGCAGTGGTACAATCTCAGCTCACTGCAACCTCCGCTTCCCGGGTTCAAACAATTCTCTACCTCAGCCTCCCAAGTAGCTGGGATTACAGGCACCCGCCACCCCGCCTGGCTAATTTTTATATATTTTTTTTAGTAGAGACGGGGTTTCACCATCTTGGCTAGGGTGGTCTTGAACTCCTGACCTCATGATCCACCTGCCTTGGCCTCCCAAAGTGCTGGGATTACAGGCGTGAACCACTGCACCCAGCCTCACTGTAGCATTTATAGCCGCTGGGCTTTTGCTTAAAAGATGGCCATTCCCTCTTCCCAGTTTCCAAGGAACCAAACATACCCAACCCCCAAGGCCCAGCTCAATTGGAGCTGCAGCCCCAAAGTTTTCCTGATTCCCTGCAGAGCAGAGCACCCAGCTCCTCCAGCACCTCATCACTCCCCCAGCACCGAATCTGTGCCTCGCTCGTTCCCGAAGCTTATCCACCTTGCTTCAGTTACGGACACGTCCTCTCTCCCTCTGGCCACCAGCCGAGTAGCAACAGGAATCTTTCCTGATCCGTCTGTGTCCAGCCGAGTGAACGGACTCACCAAAGAAACCCCGGCAGCCAGAGCCTCTACCTTGCCCCTCTTTCCAGGCTCGCCAGGGACTAGATTCACAGTCCCTGTCACCTGCAGGCTAAGTGAACTGCCATGATCACTTTTGCAGGTGCCACTTGAGTCAACCCCGGTTTCTCAGTCTAGAGGCAAAGGCCGGCATGGAGAAGAGCGAGAGAAAAACACCAGGGCAGACTGGGGCTACAGTCACCCCCACAGCAGTGCTGACAGCAGAGCTGTGCCTGTCCACTCCTGCCCTTCCTGGACCTTCCCAAAGGGATCTGGGGTTTCTCCTCAGTTCAGGGCGAGCCAGAAGATATGCTGGCTGGATTAGAAGGCAGAGACATTCTCAGACACCTCCCCCCACCCCCCACCCCCACCCCCACCCCGGTCTAGTGGGGAACTCCAGCCACGTCCTCAAGCACCTGATCTAAGACAGGCGGGAGGCAGAAGGCTGGGTCAGCTGTTGGTCTCCCCCACAGCCACCAGAGGGCAGTGCAACCCTTGAGCTTGGAAGGCCTGGACCAGGGTCCGGGGATCCCTGCAGGCTTTCAGGGCAGGGATTCTACCTGCGTCAGAATCCTCTGGGCAGTCTCCCGCCCTAAAACAGCCTGATGCAGGCAGCTGGAGTAGGGCCCAAGGCCTGCATTTGGAAAAGGTTTCTCGTGTAATTCCAATGTGCACACTACTGAAAGCCAGCGTCGCAGGGCTGGATCTGGAAGTGGGTGAGCCTCCACTCGCCCCCAGCCTCCACTCGGGACAGCCCCTGTCCATAGAAGCAGCCCCTTGGCAAAGGGGAGTGGAGCTGGAGGCTGGAGGAGAGTGCAGGGATCAGCAACAGGAAAGGTGAACAGTCTGGAAACCATGGTGACCTGGAGTCAGTGCCCTACAGTGGGAGGGCGGCTGAGGCCCACCTCAAGAAGGGGCCTGGCCCCATGTCCCAGTGGTAACATGGCCACAAGCTGTGTGATCTGGAGCTAGTCATTTACCCTTTGCTGGACCTGGGTTTCCTCACCTGGAAATGAGGTTCCAAATACTTCTGTGTTCTTGTATAGGTAATCACGGAGCATAATGTATGAAAGGAAATATGTCAGGTATAGACAGTGCAAAAGTCACTGTGAAACCAGTGGGCCTCAATCAATGGGACAGTCAGCCAGGCCTGCTTGGGGAGGCAGGGGCCGCACCGGTAGTGCCACCTGGGGGCTTTGCCCAGACCCAGCAATGCCCAGACCAACCAATCAGAATCTCTGGAGGTGAGATGCAGGCACCAGCATTTAAAGCTCCAGGTCCTTGAAATGATACAAGGCCAAGTGTGAGAACCCCTTGGGTTATATAATCCAGACAAGTGGTCTGCAATCTTTGTATCAGAATCACATTTGGAAAATTGGATAAAAACACCATTCTATGTTGGTCCAGACAAGGGACTCAAGACCAGTACATGAGATTCTGTCTCAACAGAAAGGAAGAACTTTCTAACAGAGTCACCCAAAAATGGTAGGCAGTGAGTTCAGCAGCACTGGAGGGAATCAAGTAGAGACCAGTCAAGTGATTAAGTGATACCAGCGTACGTGGCAGCTGAAACTGCAGAGGCAGAGTGATCCCGGGGGTCCCTTCCAGCCCTGAGGCTCCCTGAATGTTACTGGCGACAGAGAAGCCCAGCTTTGGGGAAGGAGGTGGGGCCGGCCGCCTACCTGCCTCTATTCTTCCCAAGCGGGAGTGGCTGCTGCGGTTGCCATCAGTCTGCAGCTCATCGTAGCCCTCCCACTGGGGAGCCAGCACTGGCAGCTCGTGGCCCAGTGCGTCCAGCTCTCTGCGGAAGCTGTTGTCAGAACAGCTTTGGAGGAAGCCAAACACCAGTAGGTTTGTGATGCACTCATCCCTGAGGCTGGAACCGTTGTTGACCTGAGGGGAAAGGGGAGTCAGGAAGCCGGGACTTCAGCCAGGCCAGAGGCCCCTCCTGCAAAGAGCTCCAGTTGCAGCTGGCCCAAAGAGCCTCACAGGTCCCAGAGAGCTGAGGGACCCTGTGGGCTGGAGGGCCCTGCAGGAGGTCTCAACAGGCAGAGGCAAGGTCTGCAGCCACAGCTTTAAGCAGCACTGCCCGTAGATGGCAGGGAGCGAGCCCCGACTCTGCAGAAAGGGATTCCTCTGCAGAGGAATCTGCTGGACCTCCTGAAACACGCGGCTGGGGAGCTTCCCACTAGGTGAGAAGGCCACAGGCTGTTCCGGGGAGGCGAGCGAGTGTCATGCGGGCATCATCCGCCATCCTGTGCTGGCACGCTTTCTTCAAGTTCCCCTGCAGGCTTCAGCAATCTGAGCCCACCTTTCCTGGCTGTGCTTCCAACAGGCGGAGCCTCTTTCCGCTCATCTCCTTCACGGGCTCAGGAGGGTATTGGGCAGATGGAAGATTTTCAGTAACTACTGCGGAGTGGTGACCACAGCTGGGCACCTGCCTTTGGCCAAGCTTGGTTTACTTTGGGTGGGTGTGTCCTTAATCCGAATCCCACAGGGAGTGGTGGCACTGGCTCCTGCTCTACCCAGAGGGGCTGGGCTCTTGGCCGGCAGCTCTCCAGCTCCCTGGGCAGCACTGGCAGCTGCAGCTTGGCCAGCATCTGTGCCGCCAGAGATGGCAGGGACTGTTCTTGGGGTACTGACTGTGTTTGGGGGCTGTATTCTTACAGGCAAAGGTGAGCCCTGCAGCTGGGTGTGCCCAGACCAGAGAAAGACCTAAGGTGGAAGAGAGAACAAAACACAAAGAAGGGCAGGGACGCTGAGATCTGCGCAGATTCACACAAAAAGACCTCCTGGGCTGCCAGAGAAGGGTGGGAGGGAAGATGGAAGTGTAGGCAGAAATTTATTTCTATTCTCTAAGTCCATAATATTTTTCATTAGAAAAACCAAAAACTTTTAGAGGACAGTTCTTACAGGGCAAATTGTTTTTTTGTTTTTGTTTTTGTTTTGAGATGGAGTCTCGCTCTGTCACCCAGGCTGGAGTGCAGTGGTGTGATCTCGGCTCACTACAACCTCCGCTTCCTGGGTTCAAATGATTCTCCCGCCTCAGCTTCCTGAGTAGCTGGGATTACAGGTGTGCATCACCACGCCCGGCTAATTTTTGTATTTTTAGTAGAGACGAGGTTTCACCATGTTGGTCAGGCTGGTCTCGAACTCCTGACCTCGTGATCCGCCCGCCCCCCAACTCCCCCCAACTCCTTGGCCTCTCAAAGTGCTGGGATTACAGGTGTGACCTACTGCACCCAGCAGCAAATTGTTTTAATGCTTTGCTAGGTGATGCCTGTAATCCCGGCACTCTGGGAGGCAGAGGCAGGAGGATCGTTTGAGCCCAGGAATTTGAGACCAGCCTGGCAACAAGATCCCCATCTCTACAAAAAATAAAAATTAGCCAAGGTGGCATGCACCTGCAGTCCCAGCTACTCATGAGACTGAGGCGGGAAGGTCACTTGAGCCCAGAAGTTTGAGGCTGCAATGAGCCATGATCACACCACTGCACTCCAACCTGGGTGACAAAGTGAAACCCTGTCTCAAAAAAGAAAAAAAAAATGCTTAAAATAAGGAGCTTGGCCGGGCGCGGTGGCTCACGCCTGTAATCCCAGCACTTTGGGAGGCCGAGGCGGGCGGATCACGAAGTCAGGAGTTTGAGACCAGCCTGGCCAACATGATGAAACCTTGTCTCTACTAAAAATACAAAAATTAGCCGGGCCTGGTGGCGGGCGTCTGTAGTCCCAGCTACTTGGGAGGCTGAGGCAGGAGAATCGCTTGAACCCGGGAGGTGGAGGTTGCAATGAGCCGAGATCGCGCCATTGCACTCCAGCCTGGGGGACGAGAGCCAGACTCCGTCTCAAAACAAACAAACAAACAACAAAAATAAATAAATAAATAAATAAAAATAAGGAGCTTGTGTATTGCTGCAGCCATAAAAAAGAATAAAATCATGTCCTCTGCAGCAACACGGATGGAGCTAGAGGCCATTACCCTAAGTGAACTAACTCAGAAACAGAAAATCAAATACTGACTGTTCTCACTTATAAGTGGGAGCTAAACAATGGGTGCCCATGGACACGAAGATGGAGAGAGCAGGCACCGGGCACTTTACAGTAGGGAGGCGGGGGCGGGGGAGCGCAGAAAGAGTCCCTCTCCATGCGATACCGGAAGCCCAGTCCCCACCAGTGCACAATATTCCCATGTGACAAACATGTACACGTGCCCCTGAATCTAAAATAAAATAAAATAAGGTGCTTGTGTATTGCTATTCAGCCTTTACTTCTCCAAAGTTGTTTCTGAAGAGAGGAAAAACTGTATGCAAAATTCCACTGCATCAATTCCTAACAATTCTTGTACGGAGCAGCCGCATGGCACAAGACAGCTTACAAACAGGATGTGCTTCATTCCTGCCTCAAGCGACAGTCCTGGTGACACAGTTAGTGCTGGGCTAAGCTGTGTCACCCAAAAAGAAAAGCGCAAGTCCTAACCCCAAGTACCTGTCAATGTGACCTTATTTGAAAATAAGGTTTTTACAGATGTAATCAAGTTAAGATGAGGTCATATTGGATTAGGGTGGGCCCTAAATCCAATGACTGGTGTCTTTGTAAGAGAAAGGAGAGGGAGATTTAAGCAGAGACACACAGAGAGGACGCCATGTGAAGACAGAGGCAGCCACAGGAGCCAGGAGAGCGCCCCAGAAGGAAGCAGCCGGGCAACATGGGATTCCAGCCTTTGGGCCTCTAGAACCGGGAGGGGATCCGCATCTGTTGTTTAAAGCCACTCTCCTGCTTGGAACCGCCTACAGCAGCCCCAAGAAGCTAACGCAGGCAGCCGCTGCCCAAGGACTTCTTTTTGACCTGCGCTTGGTAAATTGGCATCCAGAATCTGGACACAGAGCGGTGCTGCCACCACAGCAGGTCAGGTTATCAAACTCAAGATCCCACAGAAAATAAAGACTCGAGGCGGCAGGGAGGGAGAGGAAAGAATGGCACCTGCCAGAGGAGGTCTAGGTGCCGCAAGTGACCGTGAAGCCAAGCACTGGGCCCACTGAGTGGACAGCTGTGTGGACAGGCTCCTGTCTGGACCAGTGCCTCAGGGACAGGCTGGGCCGGCCCTGCAGGACAGGAGTGGGCTCGGAAGATGGATGCCATTTAATTCCAAGAATAGGGCTTGTGCTGTGCCAATATGGAATCATGCCCTTTTTTGATCTTCTAGATCCACTTTGTTTTTGGAGACAGAGTCTCATTCTGTTGCCCAGGCTGGAGTACAATGGTGCCATCTCAGCTCACTGCAACCTCTGCCTCCCAGGTTCAATGGATTCTCCTGCCTCAGCCTCCCAAGTAGCTGGGGTTACAGGCACGTGCCACCACGCCTGGCTAATTTTTGTATTTTTAGTAAAGATGGGGCTTCACCATGTTGGCCAGGCTGGTCTGGAGCTCTTGACCTCAGGTGATCTGCCCACCTTGGCCTCCCAAAGTGCTGGGATTACTGGCGTGAGCCACCATGCCCAGCCTCTAGATCCACTTTTGATAAAAGAATTGATAGTTTTTTATCTTTTTAGATCACAGGAAAAAAATATGTTAAGAGAAACGATCAAGACAGTAAATCCTGCAAGACATGTTACAAAAATGATCTAATGGAGGCAAAAATAATAAGATCAGTTCCAGTGGAAAGGAAAAGATGGTGCTGGCCGGGCGCGGTGGCTCACGCCTGTAATCCCAGCACTTTGGGAAGCCGAGGCGGGCGGATCATGAGGTCAAGAGGTCGAGAACATCCTGGGCAACATGGTGAAACCCCATCTCTACTAAAAATACAAAAATTAGCCAGGTGCGGTGGCTCACGCCTGCAATCCCAGCACTATGGGAGGCCGAGGCGGGCAGATCGCGAGGTCAGGAGATCGAGACCATCCTGGCTAACACGGTGAAACCCCGTCTTTACTAAAATATAAAAAATTAGCCGGGCGTGGTGGTGGGCGCCTGTAGTCCCAGCTACTCGAGAGGCTGAGGCAGGAGAATGGCATGAACTTGGGAGGCGGAGCTGGCAGTGAGCGGAGATCACATCACTGCACTCCAGCCTGGGCGACAGAGCAAAACTGCGTCTCAAAAAAATAATAATAATAAGGCCGGGCACGGTGGCTCACGCCTGTAATCCCAGCACTTTGGGAGGCCCAGACGGGCGGATCACGAGGTCAGGAGATCGAGACCATCCTGGCTAACACGGTGAAACCCCGTCTTTACTAAGATACAAAAAATGAGCCGGGCGTGGTGGCGGGCGCCTGTAGTCCCAGCTACTCGGGAGGCTGAGGCAGGAGAATGGCCTGAACCCGGGAGGCGGAGCCTGCAGTGAGCGGAGATCGTGCCACTGCACTCCAGCCTGGGCGACACAGAGACTCAATCTCAAAAAAAAAAATAAAAATAAAAAATAGAAGTATCTACACAGAATTAAAGTTATGATGGGAAAAAAGGCTGAACCCTATAATTGAAAAGAAAGTTTCGGAGTGTTTCGCTGTGACCCCAGCTCTGTGGCCCTGGGCGGGCTGCCGTACTGCTGCCTCCGCTTCCTCACTCCGAAGGCAAGAAAGGGGAGTGGCGACGTCCACCCTCCCTCACTGAGGGGGCCGGGGAGAGGCGGGCGGGAGGGCAGGCGCCTCCTCCGGCGAGTCAGGGCGCTGCGCGGGTGACGGTGGTGTTCTACCTGCGGAGGCCGCCAGAGCGCGAAGCCGGAACAGCAGCGGCAGGTGGGAAGGGACAGTGGCACCCAGAGTGGTCTTTTGGACACTGACAACAAGCCTGGATCAGGGCCGGGGGAGCTCCTGCAATCTCCTCTGTTTATGTAACTAACATCAAACTCGAGCCACTGCCTCAGCCCTCCAGCCACCACGCTGAAATCCACACCGTCCCCACCTTTGGAAAGGACCCCCAGTAGGGGCAGCTTGAGAACCTCCTGGGTGCCGGGTGCTCTCCATGCTCAGGAACTGCGACACAGTCACTAAGTGCCAAGGCATTAGACTTCGCAGATGCCTTCCCAGAGGCTGCCAGGACAGCGTGAGGCGCCCAGAGGCTGCAGAATTCGGCAGGAGGGAGGGGAGGAGGATGTGATGCAGCGGGTGGGAGAGAGCACCCGTGTGCTGTGATTTTTCTCTCCCCAGACCATTTAAAGGGAAGGAGAGACAAGGAAGCATCCAGGGAGCGTCCTGCTGAAGGCGGGGGCTCCGGGCTCCCCTCCCAGAACTCCACCGCTTTTATCTTTATAAAGACGGGGTCTTACTATGTTGCCCAGGTTTGTCTCAATCAAACTCCTGGCTTCAAGCAATCCTCTCGCTTCTGCCTCCCAAGTCACTGGGATTATGTGCCTAAGCCACCTCGCCCAGCTATGAAGGGAAATTTAAATCCAGTGGGTTAAAAAATTTTTGAAACACCTTACAGTTTACAGTACTTTTATTTGACCTTTATTGATTTATTTGCTCCTCATAGCAATGGCATTGGTTAGACAAGGTAAGTATTGTCTTGCTTTTACAGTTGAGAGAATTATATGAAGTGCTTATCTAATGCCCCCTTTCTTCTTCTTAAATCTCTTTCGTGTTTGTTTGGACAGGGCTGCAGTGCAGTGGCACAATCACAGCTCACTGTAGCCTCGACCTCCTGGCCTCAAGGAATCCTCCTGCCTTGGCCTCCCAAAGTGCTGGGACCCACAGCCTATGGCTGTTAAATGGTCTTAAACCCAAAGCCCCCTCGCCCTTGCAGTTAGCCCCAGGCGCGGTGTGGAGGGGCTGCACCACAAGCGGAGTGCGAGGAAGGCGCAGGACAGGGAAAGGTAGGACTTCCCGGCTCCCGCCTGCTTCAGTGAAGGGGCTGGGCGGGGTTCGTCTGTGCCGAGCTGTGGTAAGGGCCAGGCGGGCTCAGCCTCAGCCCTCAGGGATGCGTGGTGGGGGACACGCAGGCCCTTACCCCTCGACCCCGCCCCCCACAAGGCACCCGCAGGGGATCTGGCCTCTGACCTCACAGTCCATGGCCTGGGCAGCGCGGCAGCTCCGACTCACTCCTGGTTCACAGTGTCCCAGTGGCGACCTGGAAAGGGACACACAGAGTGGGCGGCCGCTCCTGGGAAGCCCTGGTCAGGACCCCTCGGGAGGACGACGAAGCTGGCCTGTGCTCCAGAAATGGCGGCTGAGCCGAGGTCCTGGCCTGAGCCCCGCATCCTGAGTTTCTTTCTCCTTGGCGGGAGCCAAGCTTTGTTTTCCTCATTCCAGATACTCACCCAGGCGCTCAGTGCCCTGGGGCCGACCCCGCACCTGAATTCAGCCCTCCCATGCCGCCCCAGGAAGACCTCAGGCATCAGGGAAACGGGGCCGTGGGCTCACAAATTATTTTATTATCATAAAATGTAAAATGTTTATAGAGAGAGAGAATGGATTTGACAATTAAAAAATTAAATCTTCCGGCTGGACGCAGTAGCTCATGCCTGTAATCCCAGCACTTTGGGAGGCCGAGGCGGGTGGATCATGAGGTCAGGAGATCGAGACCACCCTGGCTAATGCGGTGAAACCCTGTCTCTACTAAAAATACAAAAAATTAGCCGGGCGTGGTGGCGGGCGCCTGTAGTCCCAGCTACTCGGGAGGCTGAGGCAGGAGAATGGCATGAACTTGGGAGGGAGAGGTTGCAGTAAGCCGAGATCACGCCACTGCACTCCAGCCTGGGCGACAGAGCGAGACTCCATCTCAAAAAGAATGACCAGTCTGGCCAACATGGTGAAACCCCATCTCTACAAAAATACAAAATTAGCCAGGTGTGGTGATGCAAGCCCTGTGGGCCCAGCTACTTGGGGGGCTGAAGCAGGAGGATCACTTACACCCAGGAGGTGGAGGCTGCAGTGAGCGGAGATTGCACCACTGCACTCCAGCCTGGGCGAGAGTGAAACCCTGTCTCGAAAAAAAAAAAAGATCTGTGCGGCATCAGTACAGTAAGCTGTCTTAAAAAGACTGAGGCCGGGCGCGGTGGCTCACGCCTGTAATCCCAGCACTTTGGGAGGCCGAGGCGGGTGGATCATGAGGTCAGGAGATCGAGACCATCCTGGCTAACAAGGTGAAACCCCGTCTCTACTAAAAATACAAAAAATTAGCCGGGCGCGGTGGCGGGCGCCTGTAGTCCCAGCTACTCGGGAGGCTGAGGCAGGAGAATGGCGTGAACCCGGGAAGCGGAGCTTGCAGTGAGCCGAGATTGCGCCACTGCAGTCCGCAGTCCGACCTGGGCGACAGAGCGAGACTCCGTCTCAAAAAAAAAAAAAAAGACTGAACACAAATTTCTACAGAACACTGTGAATAGAATAATCCTGTTTTAAAAAGTATTTGCCTGTGTGTGTGTGTGTGTGCGTGTGTGTGTGTAGACACAATATCAGGTTGAACCAAATGAAATGGCCATTTTGTAGGACAAAACCAAGCATTGGCAATTTCACATGGTTCCTGAATACATAGGAAATAAAAAGCAAACAGAGGAGAAAGCCTGTGCCCAGGCAGAGAGGAGGTGGCAGGAGGTAGCACTGACATGCGCATCACCCACCTCCCCACCTGGGGGCTCACACAGGCCTGGGGACCCTGCACTGTTGCAGGCTGCACCCTACTCTCCCTCTGGGGAGCCCAGGAGAAACCCTGGCTGTGTGTGGCCGTGCATTTCATAGGAAGGGACCAAGAGCAAATGACTGAGCTGCATGTGGACAGGGAGGCACCAGGATCTGGCTCCGGGGCCATCTGCCGGCTCCACAGCAGAGGAAGGGGAGTCTGCACCCACAAGAGACAAAGCGCAAGACAGACCCCACCCCAGGAAACAGGCCACAGAGGCCACGGCACCTCCCAGGGCCACTGCCCAGTCCACAGAACAGTGGACCAGACCCTAGCTTCTGCCTCAAGGTCTGGAATCCCCGCCCCTCACCACTTTGTTCTCCAAGGAACAACTTCAGGGGTCTCTGTGGGGAAAGTGCCCACTGTCACCTCTGAGCTCGGGAGGCAGCTCACAAAAACCAGCTTCCTTCACACTCAGATACACGCCCATGTCACAAGCAAACTGCAGCCACCTTGGCACTGTGGTGAGTCTCCCACCAGACCCTAACGCCGTGTCTCATGCAGTGTTTCTCTGCCAGGGCGACTTGGATACCCAGGAAATATCTGGAGCTGTCTGGAGACATTTATGGGGGGTGTGCTCCTGGCACGTAGCGGGTAGCAGTGGGGGCACGGCTCATCAGCTCAAACCCACAACTCATCCAGCTCAAAGTGTCACTAGTGCTCAGGGCCGAAGTCCCATACCAGTGTGTTCAAATACATAGCAAATACCACTAACCCATACCAGTGTCATATGCATGGCAGAATACCCACTAATCCAAACTGGTGTGTCACATACACAGCAGAATACCACTGACCCATACCGATGTTGTCACATCATGGAGGAATACCACTAACCCATGCTGGTGTGTCACATACACAGTGAATACCACTAACCCCAGTGTTGGGCATGTGAATAGCTTAGCATTGTCACCACTAAAGACAGGGCTGTGATGAGTACCCCAATGGGACATTTTTTTTTTTTGAGACGGAGTCTCACTGTGTCGCCCAGGCTGGAGTGCAGTGGCATGATCTTGGCTCACTGCATGCTCCACTTCCCGGGTTCCAGGGATTCTTCTGCCTCAGCCTCCCGAGTAGCTGGGACTACAGGTGCCCGCCACCACGCCCAGCTAACTTTTTGTATTTTTCGTACAGACGGGGTTTCACCGTGTTAGCCAGGATGGTCTGGATCTCCTGACCTCGTGATCCGCCCGTCTTGGCCTCCCGAAGTGCTGGGATTACAGGCATGAGCCACCGCGCCCAGTCTTTTTTTTTTTTTTTTTTTTGAGATGGAGTCTCGCTCTGTCACCCAGGCTGGAGTGCAGTGGCGCAATCTCGGCTCACTGCAAGCTCCGCCTCCCGGGTTCACGCCATTCTCCTGCCTCAGCCTCCTGAGTAGCTAGGACTACAGGCGCCCACCACCACGCCTGGCTAATTTTTTGTATTTTTAGTAGAGACGGGGTTTCACCGTGTTAGCCAGGATGGTCTTGATCTCCTGACCTCATGATCCGCCCGCCTCAGCCTCCCAAAGTGCTAGGATTACAGGCGTGAACCACCGCGCCCAGCCCCCCAATGGGACATTTTCTATCAAATCCATGATCATATGGGATAACAGAGGGGCAAGGTGTTGTGGCAGTCTCGGGAGAGGACAGAGTGAGGGCAGCTCCCCTGAGCTGTGCCTTGAGGCCACACGGCCCAGACCCTGGGGGCCCCATCCCTTGGGACATGAGGCCGCCTCCCCTAGGCAACGGTCTTGGAGGGCTTTAGGAGCAGGGAGTGGCATTCCTAGGCCTGGCTGGTCAACTTTAGGTGGAGCACCAGCCCTGCATCGGGTAACCTCTGGCTTCATTTGTCACTTAAGAAGAAATCCAATGAGTCAACTGCAGCTGTGAGTGGGCCTAGGAGGGCGTGGATGCAGACGCCCTGGAAACCACAGAGGCTCCCCCGTCAATAGCGGCCCTACGCCCATCCCAACTCCTAAACAAAGTTGCTAGTAAGAAGGAAACTCACGCAGCCAGGAGTTCATGCCCTCTCTCTTCCAAGGGCCAGTGGGAAGACGGCCAGGCAGATGGGAAACGGGAAATACCCTGCCTCACCTCAGTGAGGCTGCCCTCATGCCAGGACACTCACAGCCAGGTTCCCCAAGGCCCTCGCAGTGAGCAGGGTGAGGTGCCGAGCCCTGCATGTGCCATTCCCCCAGTCTCCAGGACTCTGCCAGATGGGGGTGACATTCCCCTAGTCTCCAGGACTCTGCAGGACTGGGGTGACATTCCCCCAGTCTCCAGGACTCTGCCGGACAGGGGTGACATTCCCCCAGTCTCCAGGACTCTGCCGGACGGGGGTGACATTCCCCCAGTCTCCAGGACTCTGCAGGACAGGGGTGACATTCCCCCATTCTCCAGGACTCTGCCAGATGGGGGTGACATTCCCCCAGTCTCCAGGACTCTGCCGGATGGGGGTGACATTCCCCCAGTCTCCAGGACTCTGCCGGGCGGGGGTGACATTCCCCCAGTCTCCAGGACTCTGCCGGATGGGGGTGACATTCCCCCAGTCTCCAGGACTTTGCCAGACGGGGGTGACAAATACCATCTCTGACAACAAGGACCCCAGCAGGCACCGCCAGGCCCCTCCGCAGGCCTCCCCTCCAATCCTCACCACGGCCTCGCCAGGAAGGCGCTTCTGCCCTGGTTTCGGAGACACGACTGAGGCTCCAGGGTGCCCAGGGAGGGCAGGGGGCAGCTTCGCTGCTGCTGAGCCAGGGGGCGCCAGGCCCTCACGAGTATGCTCAGATGCCAGCTTTGCTTCTGAGGCCTATGTGCCTCCCATGCACTCTGGAAGCCAAATGTCCTGGAACTCATTGAAAACACCATGCAGTTGGTCAGATAGAGGCATGGGTCACACGGGGACAAGCACAGCACACAGGTGCTCCCAGAAGAAGATTTTTAAGGGCCAGATATCTGCAGGGCAGTCCTCTCCTTGGTCAACATCATCCCTGTCTTCCTAGTCCCACTCACAGGAAACAGCTGACTCACTGAATTTCTTTTCCAGTTTTTTTGTTTTTGTTTTTGTTTGTGTTTTTTTTGGAGACAGAGTCTCACCTGTGTAACCCAGGCTGGAGTACAATGGCATGGTCTTGGCTCACTGCAACCTCCGCCTCCCAGATTCTAGCGATTCTCCTGCCTTAGCCTCCTGAGTAACTGGGACTACAGGTGTGTGCCACCACACCCGGCTAATTTTTGTATTTTTAGTAGAGACGGACTTTCACTATGTTGGGCAGGCTGGTCTTGAACTCCTGACTTCATGATCGCCCACCTTGGCCTCCCAAAATGCTGGGATTACAGGCGTGAGCCACCGTGCCTGGCCTGAATTTCTTTTTTTCTTTTCTTTTTTTTTTTTTTTTTTTTGAGTCGGAGTCTTGCTCTGTCGCCCAGGCTGGAGTGCGGTGGCACGATCTCAGCTCACTGCAAGCTCCGCCTCCCAGGTTCACGCCATTCTCCTGCCTCAGCCTCCCGAGTAGATGGGACTACAGGTGCCCAGCACCATGCCCGCTAATTTAGGAACATCGTGCTGCTCTAGGAACGTCGATCCACCCACCAAACTTCACAGCATGCTCCGTGCAGTGCCAAGGAAAGCTCCAACCCGGAAATGTGAACACACATGGACCATGGCCTAGATTGGTGACCCAGAGAAGGGGCAGTGCCATTTGGGTCAGGGCTGAAGAATGCCCAAGAATTAATCAGAAAAGGAGAGGGGTAGGGAAAGGAATTCCTGACACTTCACTTTTTTGTGCCTTGGTGTCTTCAGAAAAATAAAGGGTTTGGAGGCCGGGCGTGGTGGCTCATGCCTGTAATCCCAGCACTTTGGGAGGCTGAGGCGGGTGGATCACGAGGTCAAGAGACTGAGACCATCCTGGTCAACATGGTGAAACCTTGTCTCTGCTAAAAATACAAAAATTAGCCGGGTGTGGTGGCGCGTACCTGTAATCCAGCTACTCAGGAGGCTAAGGCAGAAGAATCACTTGAACCTGGGAGGCGGGGGTTGCAGTCAGCAGAGATCGCACTACTGCACTACAGCCTGGGCGACAAGAGCAAACTCCGTCTCAAAAAAAAAAAAAAAAGAAAAGAAAAATAAAGGGTTTGGAGAAGGTGATTTCCTTTTTGGTTTTTTGTTTGTTTGTTTGTTTTTCTGAGACGGAGTCTCACTCTGTCGCCCAGGCAGGAGTACAATGGCACGATCTCGGCTCACTGCAACCTCTGCCTTCTGGGTTCAAGCAAGTCTCCTGCCTCAGCCTCCTGAGTAGCTAGGATTACAGGCACACACCACCACACCTGACTAATTTTTGTATTTTTAGCAGAGATGGGGTTTCACTATGTTAGCCAGGCTGGTCTGGAACTCCTGACCTCATGATCCACCCTCCTTCGGCCTCCCAAAGTGCTGGGATTACAGGCGTGAGCCACTGCAGCCGGCCTGTTGTTGTTCTTACGTGAACACATGTGAAAGGTTTTATTAACTCATTTTTTAACAGGGGAAACAGCGATGTTAAAACCATTCAAAGGAGTCCAAGAACTGTGTGCGCAGGCAACGGGGAAACTGGAAATGCGTTGACAAACTGACGCAAAACTGGGCCCAACAGCCACAAGGCACTGGTCGTTTTCCACTGGGCAAAGTTCAGTCGCATTTCTTTCTGTTCTCTTTCTTTCTTTTCTTTTTTCTCTTTCTTTCTTTCTTTCTTTCTTCTTTCTTTCTTTCTTTCTTTCTTTCTTTCTTTCTTTCTTTCTTTTCTTTCTTTCTTTCTTTCTCTCTCTCTTTCTGTCTGTCTCTCTCTTTCTTTCCTTCTTTCCTTCCTTCCTTCTTTCTTTCCTTCCTTTCCTTTCTTTCTTTTTTTTTTCTTTTTTGAGATGGAGTCTCGCTCTGTTACCCAGGCCGGAGTGCAATGGCACAATCTCGGCTCACTGCAACCTCCACCTCCTGGGTTCAAGTGATTCTCCTGCTTCAGCCCCCCAAGCAGATGGGGCTATAGGCATGCACCATCATGCCCAGCTAATTTTTGTATTTTTAGCAGAGATGGGGTTTCACTATGTTGGCCAGGCGGGTCTCAAACTCCTGACCTTGCGATCCGCCCCCCTCAGCCTCTCAAAGTGCTGGGATTACAGGCGTGAGCCACTATGCCGGCCGCAAAGGATTCTTTAACACAAAAGGGCAGGACTCATGAGACTGACCTGACCATTACATGGTGCAGTGAGAGTTCAATTTAACTAAGCCTCCTTATGCTTCTTTGACTAATTTAGGGCCATGCAGTGTCAAACAGCAATGAGGGCACAAAAGCAGCTTCTCCCTGGCTATCTTCAGAAGGAATCTTAGATTGCCCTTGAACACCATCAACAATCTGCTATTTGGAGGGCTGGAAACTAAGCCTAAGAAACCACCAGGCTTCGGCCGGGCACGCTGGCTCATGCCTGTAATCCCAGCACTTTGGGAGGCCAGGGCAGGCTGATCACCTGAGCCCAGGAGTTCAAGACCAGCCTAGGCAATCTGGTGAAACCCAGTCTCTATAATATATACAAAAACTAGCCAGGCATGGTGGCGTGTGCCTGTAGTCCCAGCTACTGGGGAAGGATTGCTTGAGCCCGGGAGGTGGAGGTTACAGCGAGCTGAGATCACGCCACTGCACTCCAGCCTGGGCAACAGAGCCTGACCCTGTCCCAAAAAAAAAAAAAAAAAAAAAAAATGCCAGGCGCAGTCGCTCATGCCTGTAATCTCAGCACTTTGGGAGGCCGAGGCGGGCGGATCACAAGGTCAGGAGATCCAGACCATCCTGGCTAACACGGTGAAACCCCGTCTCTACTAAAAATACAAAAAAATTAGCCGGGCGTGGTGGCGGGCGCCTGTAATCCCAGCTACTCGGGAGGCTGAGGCAGGAGAATGGAGTGAACCCGGGAGGCGGAGCTTGCAGTGAGCCAAGATAGCGCCACTGTACTCCAGCCTGCGCGACAGAGCGAGACTCCGTCTCAAAAAAAAAAAAAAAAGAAAAAAAGAAAGCAATTCCAGCAGGTTTCTCCTGTAGTGCCTGTGCGAGTGAAGCCCACCCAAAGGTGAGGCGAGGGTGTGTTCTCAGAGCTCCCAACAGCAAGGGACTCGGCCGCTGTCACTCGCGTTTGCCTGGGAGAGGCTCCAAGGAAAGCTACCCATCGATCCGTTACGTGCACCTATGGGTTCTCTACTTGGTCTCAAGTTGGATGGAAGCAGAGACAAAACTTCAGGAAGCTGCCAGTCAATCAAGCCCTGGCCATGTGGGGCTGACAGCATAGACTCTAGTTACTGCATGGCTTCCCGGATGGTTGCTAGTGACAGCACCCGGCTCCACAAGCTGGCCTGTGGCCTCCTGGGGGGTCCTTGAAGGTAACGGGGTCCAGTCATGTCTGTTTGTACATTCAGTCTCATATCTCTTTTATTCAGGTCCCTCAAAGAGCTTAAGTTCCCCAGCTGCTGGCAAGTGACCTTCCTGCCACGCTGTGAGCTGGGGCCGAGCTACTCTTCCCAGGAGGCCGAGACCTCGCAGGCACTGACTCCACGGTCGCCTCAGTTCCTCTAGAAGTGGCTGGTCAGCATCCTTCACAAATACGGCATTCCAGGGAAGGCCCTGGCCGCACTAGGAACTTATCCAGTTATATTTTAGTTTGAGAAAAGGCACAGACGCCAGTCCCTCAAAAAATTAAACCTAGAACTACCATTTGACCTAGAATTCAGCTTTTGGGTATTACGCTGAAGAACTGAAAAGTAGAGCCTGGAACACACATTTGCACACCCATGCTAACAGCAAACAAAAGGCCAAAATAGTCCAGATGTCTAACAGATGAGTGGAAAAATAAAACATGGGGTGACATACAATTGACACACGCTACAACACAGATGAACTTGAAGACACTACGCTGGGCGAACTAGGCCAGTCATGAAAGGACAAATACATGTGGTTCTATCTCCAAGGGGTGCCCAGAGTAGTCAACTTCACAAGGATCAGAAAGTACAAAGGCACCTGCCAAGGGCTGGGGGTGGCAAGTTAGCGTTTAATGGTACCATTTCTGTTTTGAAAGGTGAAAAAGTTCTGGAGATGGTTGGTGGTAATGGTTGCACGACAATGAGACTGTACTGAATGCCACTGAACTGTACGCTTAAAAATGCTTAAAATGGGAAATCTTATGCTATATCTATTTTACCACGATAAAAAAATATACACTTAAAAAAGAGCCAGGTGGGCCAGGTGTGGTGGCTCATGCCTGTAATCGCAGCACTTTGGGAGGACGAGGTGGGCGGATCACAAGGTCAAGAGATCGAGACCATCCTGGCCAACATGGTGAAACCCCGTCTCTACTAAAAATACAAAAATTAGCTGGGCGTGGTGGCGCACACCTGTAGTCCCAGCTACTCAGGAGGTTGAGGCAGGAGAATCACTTGAACCCGGGAGGCAGAGGTTGCAGTGAGCCGAGATCACGCCACTACACTCCAGCCTGGCGACAGAAAAAGACTCCGTCTCAAAACAAAAAACAAAACAAAAAAAAAAAAACAAAAGAACCAGGTGTGGGCTGGGTGCGGTGGCTCACACCTGTAATCCTAGCATTTTGGGAGGCCAAAGCAGGTGGATCACTTGAGGTCAGGTGTTCAAGACCAGCCTGGCCAACATGGAGAAAACCCCATCTCTACTAAAAATACAAAAATTAGCCGGGCGTGCACCTGTAATCCCAGCTACTCGGGAGGCTGAGGCAGGAGAATCGCTTAAACCCAGGAGGCGGAGGTTGCAGTGAGCCGAGATCATGCCACTGCACTCCAGCCTGGGTGACAGAGTGAGACCCCGTCTCAAAACAAACAAACAAAAAACAGAGCCAGGTGTAGTGGTGTGCACCTGTAATCTCAGCTCCTCAGAAGGCTGCAGTGGGAGGACTGCTTGAAAGCCCAGGAGCTCAAGGCCAGCCTGGGCAACATAGTGAGGCCCCAACTCTAAAAATTATTATTATTATTAAAGTTTAAAATTTTTTAAATTTCAAATTTCAATTTTAAAAAGGACAGATTCTTACTGAACCTATGCAAATAACTATATCACCACAAAAAATAAGGAGACAGTGAGAATGGGGGTTCACTGAGAAAGCAATATCATTTAAAAATGTTTCGGCCGGGCGAGGTGGCTCACGCCTGTAATCCCAGCACTTTGGGAGGCCGAAGCGGGTGGATCACGATGTCAGGAGATCGAGACCATCCTGGCTAACCCTAAGTCTCTACTAAAAATACAAAAAATTAGCCGGGCGTGGTGGTGGGCACCTGTAGTCCCAGCTACTCAGGAGGCTGAGGCAGGAGAATGGCGTGAACTCGGGAGGCAGAGCTTGCAGTGAGCCGAGATTGCGCCACTGCACTCCAGCCTGGGCGACAGAGTGAGACTCCATCTCAAAAAAAAAAAAAAAAAAAGTTTCATATCTGGCCGGGCACAATGACTCATGCCTATACTCCCAGCACTTTGGGAGGCTGATGAGGGCAGATCACTTGAGGTCAAGCGTTCAAGACCAGCCTGGCCAACATCTCTACTCTACATCCCAGCTCTACTAAAAATACAAAAACTTAGCCAGGTGAGGTGATGGGCAACTGTAGTCCCAGCTACTCGAGAGGCTGAGGCAGAAGAATCGCTTGAACCCAGGAGGCGGGGGTTGCAGTGAGGTGAGATCGCGCCACTGCACTCCAGCCTGGGTAACAGAGCAAGACTCTGTCTCAAAAAAAAAAAAAAAAAAAAAAAAAAGTTTCATATCCATCTACCAGAGCAGAGCCTACTAAATCATCACGGATTACAGACACTAAGAATGAGAAAGCATTTCCTCTTACATCTAGAAAACAGAAATGAACACATCAGCTATATTCCAAGCAAACCACCACAATTCAGTTCCCTCAGCAGCCCGTCGCACTCTGCAGGACTCGGAGCCAGCTTCCAGCCTCACGAAGCCCTGGCCCGGCGCGCTGGGGTGGTCTGAGAGCCATTGAGGTAATGTCCATGCAGAAGCCTGGGCCCAGAGGCTCTATTAGTCACTGGTGAAAGCACCAGGCAATCCTTTCCCACATGGGGAACATCAGCATGGGAAGACTCAAAGTCTCTTTTCATAACGATTTTCTAATGCATCTGGCCAGATGCGTTATTCAGATATTTCTGAATATTTCATTCAGATATTTTCTGAATGAAAATATCCTACACAGAGCAAGGGAGGGCACTGACAAGCACGGGGCCTCCCGCCAAGCCCAGAACTTCTGAATTATTTCCATGAATAACATTTACACATACACACCGAACCAAGGAGCTGTGGCCAGCGTCTCTTGTGATTTGACAACCACTCTTCCCGTGCAGGTCTTACAAGATAACGCTTAAAACAAACCTCATTATGTCTATGGTATTTTTCTTTTTATAAGGTGAATGATCAAATCTTTGTGATTTTCCAGGGGCACTCAGAGTCTCAGGGACAGTTTTAGAGGCAATCTGGACAGTTGTTTAAGGCAGGCTCGCGGGTGTCTGAGAGAGACTTGATTATCCATTAACAAAACAAACCTGATGTTTCACAAGTGATGAACCTTTGTTCTTTGTTTTTTCCCCTTAAATAAGCACAAACATAATAAAGTCAACATAAAGCATCAAAAATGATTCTGCTATACAGAACCTCTGCCATCCAGGTGCATTACACAGAAAGGAAAGAATAATCTTTCACTTTTTTTTTTTTTTTTTTTTGAGATGAAGTCTCGCTCTGTCGCCCAGGCTGGAGTGCAGTGGCGTGATCTTGGCTCACTGCAAGCTCTGCCTCCTGGGTTCACGCCATTCTCCTGCCTCAGCCTCCCGAGTAGCTGGGACTACAGGCGCCCGCCACCACGCCCGGCTAATTTTTTGTATTTTTAGTGGAGACGGGGTTTCACCGTGTTAGCCAGGATGGTCTCGATCTCCTGACATCGTCGTGATCCACCCGCCTCGGCCTCCCAAAGTGCTGGGATTACAGGCATAAGCCACCGCACCCGGCCATAATCTTTCACTTTGAAGGCAAAGGCATTAATGAGTAAACAAAGAAGGCAAGACCATCAAGGCCAGCAAACTTTGCTAAAATTGTGACATAATTCATTGCTGCTTTTCAGACTCAGGTACCATGATGATAAAAGGCACATACCTAGTTTTGCCCTTCACTATGTTTTTTGTCATTTTTACCATATTCTGGAAAACACTGGTAAATCGCTTTAGGAGAGAGTGTGGACCAGGATATCCTAGGGTGCCTGAGGCCCTTTTCAGAGAATCTGTGAGGTTGAAAAGCTTCCATAACACAGTTTCTTCTGTCATTCTCTCATGAGGGTACAGTGGACTTTCCCAGGGGCTGAGCGAAAGAGATACTGCAACAACCGAGAATCCAGGTATCCTCTATTCAGTCAGACACCCAGGAGATCTGCAGAAACACTGACGCAATGCTGTTCTTCTCAATAGAAATGTTTTGTTTTATAAAATAGTTACGTTGGCCAGGCGAGGTGGCTCACGCTCGTAATCCCAGAACTTTGGGAGGCCGAGGCGGGTGGATCACCTGAGGTCAGGAGTTTGAGACCAGCCTGACCAATATGGTGAAATCCCGTCTCTACTAAAAATACAAAAATTAGCCGGGCATGATGGCGTGCACCTGTAACCCAGCTACTCGGGAGGCTGAGGCAGAAGAATTGCTTGAACCCAGAAGGCAGAGGTTGCAGTGAGCCAAGATCAGGCCACTGCACTCCAGCCTGGTCAACAGAGCAAGACTCTGTCTCAAAATTAATTAATTAATTAATTTAATTAAACAATTTCACAAATTTCAAATGAATGAACACTTTTTTTTTTTTGGAGACAGGGTCTCACTCTGTCAAGCAGGCTAGAGTGCAGTAGCACGATCATGGCCCACTACAGCCTCAAACTCCTGGGCTCAAGTGATCCTCCTGCCTCAGCTTCCCAAAGTGCTGGGATTACAGGTAAGGACCACTGTGACTGGCCTATTTTTAAAATTTCTCAGTTTTAATTCTAACACAGAATATAGGGATAAAAGCCTACTTAATCAAACGCTTTTTGGTTCCTCAATAATTTTTATATATAAAGGGATCTAGAGACCAAAAAGTTTGAGAAGTGCTGCTTTGAGGAAAAAAAACAAAACCTGTTTGTTTGTTTGTTTTTTTAAGACGGAGTCTCACTCTGTCACCCAGGCTGGAGTGCAATGGCGTGATCTTGCCTCATTACATCCTCCGCCTCCCAGGCTCAAGCGATTCTCCTGCCTCAGCCTCCCGAGTAGCTGGGACTACAGGCATGCACCACCTCATCCGGCTAATTTTTGTATTTTTAGTAGAGATGAGGTTTCACCATGTTAGCCTGGCTGGTCTCAAACTCCTGACCTTAGGCGATCCACCCGCCTCAGCCTCCCAAAGTGCTGGCATTACAGGCGTGAGAAACTTCGCCTGGCCACCTGTATTTTTTCTTTGAAAAATAAAAGCATTTACATAGCTGTTTGTCTCCATCATGTGTATTAATTATAACTTTTTTTTTTTTGAGACATAGTCTGGCTCTGTCATCCAGGCTGGAGTGCAGTGGCACAATCTTGGCTCACTGCAACCTTCGTCTCCTGGGTTCAAGTGATTCTCCTGCCTCAGCCTCCCAAGTAGCTGGGATTACAGGTGACCGCCACCACACCTGGCTAATTTTTGTATTTTTAGTAGAGACCGGGTTCCTCCGTGCTGGTCAAGCTGGTCTCGAACTTCTGACCTCAGGTGATCCGCCCGCCTTGGTCTCCCAAAGTGCTGGGATTACAGGCGTGAACCACCGTGCCTGGCCTTATTATAACTTTTAACAAAGTAACTGACTTCCATTTTACAGAGAACCGCAGGCTGACAGTTGAGAGCTGTCTCCAGACACATGTTTAGCAGACGCCTGTGGGCACACACACCATAGCCTTCACAGCCACTCGCGCCCTTCTATGCTTCCTCAACATGAAAACATACTTTTTTTTTTTTTTTGAAAAGCAACCATTTATTAGAACCAATACAAGAGTATGAAAAGAGGGAAAAGAGGAGGGTAGAAGAGGGGGAGAGAATGAGGTCTGTATCAGATGTCAGTTATGGAAACACATAAATGCTTACTCTTTTTAAACACTGACATTTACAAGGTGAACATATATATAGACCACTTATAATTTAAAAAAAAAAAAAATCAAAAGCAGACATGTTTGGCTGAAATAAAACCAGGAAACACAACCAAAACTCCCCCATAAACCTAAAAGTCCATGGAGAATTCAATTTCTCATTTCCATTCAGAAATCTGGCTACAGAGTGATTTGTTTGCTACTTGGGACAGTACAGCGTGCTGAAAGAAACCCAGCTACTGAGTCTCTTAGATCCCATCCTGTAGGAAGTGGTGGGAAAGCCAGCGGACCATGGGCAAGTCAACTCCTGGCTACTTGGCAGGGCGTCAGACTGTGCTCTCTCCATTCCCCAGGACTCCACAGAACCGTCTGGTACTGCTAGTGCTGGGTGAACAGTGAGAGCACAGTCCACAAAACACAGAGAACCAGAATGTGACTGCAAGCAGCCAGGACCTTGTGCTTTTTCATGGATTACAAATCTAGGGCCAAGGAGAGGGAAAGGAGAAAGAGCCCTATTGGGAAGAGGCGTTGGCTGTGCCCCTACACTGAGATGGAAAGAGTAAGGCTCTTGAGCCCACACCTGGGCAAGTAGAAATAGTGTCCAAACTTTTCTCAAACCAGAGGGAAAAAAGGTCAAGGTTAGGTTAAGACTGCAGACACTAAGAGATCACAGATGCTGAATACAGTGAATCGGATGAAGCTTTAAGGATCAATGCCCAATTCTGAGTGTTACACACATTTCTAGGAAAAATAATTCCAATGTAGCTTTTTGTTGGGGGGTGGAAATAAGGTGGTCACATTTATTGAATCAGCTGTCCCTATGAGGAAGGAGAGGCCCGGGTACAGATACCACAAAGGGGTACAGTGACCCAGCTGTCCTGGGATCGGTTGGGGAGTGGTAAGCAATGACATAAATCAAAACCATTGAGGGTTGCTTTGATCCTGAGACAGTCTGAGTCTGCTTCAAACCCATGGGGAATGGAACTTTCATCCCCAACCTGCAGAGAGAAATAAGCGGTAGCATCTCTGCCTCACGATTCCCTAATCCAATGCTCCTGCATCTGAAATGACCTCCCTCTGTGAATGCAAGACACAGAAAATCCCAAGTGCCTTCCCCAACAACATCCTAAGTAAGTCTGGACTAGTAAGATTCCAACATTCATGAAAACACTGTCAACATCTGAACTAGCAGATCTGATGAGGGGTGGGGGTAGAGAATTTGCCGAGTCAGTAAGTAGTTCCAGTCTTGGAGACAGCTCAGTGAGGACCAAAGCCTGTGTGTCCGGCTCAAGACATCCTCCACAGAGGACCCAAGACATCCTCCACAGAGGACCCAAGACATCCTCCACAGAGGACCCTGCGGTATTCTATTAACTTTGACTTACAATGCCTCACAACAACGCCCCTGTGAGGTAGGTCAGTATGATCACCCCCATTTGACAGATGGGGAACTGAGGCATTGAAAGAAGTGACTTGCCAAGGTCATGACTGCAGGCCAAGATACGGCCTCTTTTTAGAGCTGAAAAAAACCCAGGTATACCTAGTAACCAATGTTTTACTATTCTGTCTTACCGAGTAAGTATGTCGATATCCAAAGAATACCTACTCAACTCCATTTAGTATCAGTCCAAGGTTTTAAGTTACCTAAGCTTTATTTTGGTACAGTACACTTTCAGAATAATGAACACATTTATTTGAACACAAACTTATATTTTTCATAATCTTAAACATTATGTAACAGTAATATTAGCTGATTTGATAAGTAAACCCGTAGAAGTTTAGGGGAGGAAGCCAAGTAGAACAAAAGGTACACCTGTATTATAGCTAATGCTGATAAACTGAAGAAAAGGGGGGAAGGATAGCATTAGGAGATATACCTAATGACGAGTTAATGGGTGCAGCACACCAACATGGCACATGTATATATATGTAACAAACCTGCACGTTGTGCACATGTACCCTAAAACTTAAAGTATAATAATAAAAAGAAACTGAAGAAAAGACATAGCTTTTTAAAACCCAAATTATTAGTCTCATTTGCCAAAGATTTACATCAATTACGTGAACTTAGATGATTATTGTTATTATTATTATTGGAGACAGGGTCTGGCTCTGTTCCGCAGGCCGGACTGCAGTGGTGCAGTCACAGCTCACTACAGCCTCAACCTCCCGGGCTCAGGCGATCCTCCCCCCTCAGCCTCCAGAGCCGGGACTACAGGCACAACCACCATGCCCGGCTAATCTTTTATTTTTTGTAGAGTCAAGGTCTTGCCATGTTGCCCAGGCTGGTATCGAGCTCCTGGACTCAAGACATCCTCCTGCCTCAGCCTCCCAAATTGCTAGGATTACAGGTGTGAGCCACTGCACCTGGCCTGAACTTAAGATTCTTAAAATATTCCAGTTTGTTTCTGTAAGAAGAATTTCTTTCTTTCTTTTTTTTTTTTTTTTTGAGATGGAGTCTCACTTTGTCGCCCAGGCTGGAGTGCAGTGGCGCGATCTCAGCTCACTGCAAGCTCCGCCTCCCAAGCTCAAGCGATTCTCCTGCCTCAGCCTCCCGAGTAGCTGGAATTACAGGCATGCACCACTATGCCGGGCTAATTTTGTATTTTTAGTAGAGAGGGGGTTTCTCCATGTTGGCCTGGCTGGTCTCAAACTCCCGACCTCAGGTGATCGACCCGCCTCGGCCTCCCAAAGTGCTGGGATTACAGGCGTGAGCCACTTCGCGCCCAGCCTTTTTTGTTTGTCTGTTTGTTTTTTGAGACAGAGTCTCACTCTGTTGCCCAGGCTGGAGTGCAATGGTGTGATCTCTGCTCACTGCAACCTCCGCAGCCTGGGTTCACGCCATTCTCCTGCCTCAGCCTCCCAAGTAGTTGGGAGTATAGGCGTCTGCCACCACGCCCGGCTAATTGTTTGTATTTTTTAGTGGACACGGGGTTTCACTGTGTTAACCAGGATGGTCTGGATCTCCTGACCTCGTGATCTGCCTGCCTCAGCCTCCCAAAGTGCTGGGATTACAGGCCTGAGCCACCATGCCCGGCCAAGAATTTCTTTTTAAATTTAAAGTCTAGTGCATTAAAATTATTAGAAGTACAGCCAGGCGTGGTGGCTCACGCCTGTAATCCCAGCACTCTGGGAGGCCAAGGCAGGAGGATCACCTGAGATCAGGAGTTCGAGACCAGCCTGGCCAACATGGTGAAACCCCATCTCTACTAAAAATACAAAAATTAGCTGGGCATGGTGGCACACACCTGTAATCCCAGCTACTTGGGAGGCTGAGGCAGGAGAATCTCTTGAACCCAGGAGGCAGAGGTTGCAGTGAGCCGAGATCGCGCCACTGCACTCTAGCCTGTGTGACAGAGTGAGATTCCATCTCAAAAAAAAAAAATTATAATAAATAAAGAAATAAATTATTAGAAGTACGATTTTCCTACGTTCTGGAAATCTTAGAAATATTTACTTACATAAGCTAATCACGAACCAATCAGAATAGAGTTCCTCCAATTCAAGACACTTCATGACCTTACCCAATGACTCAAAAAAAGTTTTCCACATTCACTTAGTGAGAGGCAAAGGCCTTTCTGAATTACAACTTCAGCCCCAGGGCAAGAGTAAACACAGAAACTGGAAAAGTCCCTGGACCAGGTGTCAAAGAGGTATCCTTCCCGGTGGACACAAAATTCTGAATTGAATTGAGCTCAAAAGAGGCTAAGGACACAGAGAACGAAGTCTGATCATCCAGATTCTCCGTATCTGACCACAGAGAACTGATCTCTGTCATCCGCCTACAAAGATGAGCAAAACAATATGACCACAAACCAATGCTCAATCACTGATGCCACCAAGCCATGGGTAAGCCCGAAACCAACAGAACACAGAGTCAGGGGCAGGGGAAACAGAGACACGGAGAGAAAACGGAGAAACAGCGTCCGCGAAGTGAAAAGTTCCATTGCTGCTTGAATTTGCCTCTGGTAGCCAAGAAAAGGCCAGCACTGTGGGAGGCCAAGGCAGGAGGATCACTTGAGCCCAGGAGTTTGAGGCAAACCTGGGCAACACAGTGAGACCCTGTCTCTACAAAAAATACAAAATAAAAAATGAAGGAAACATTGACACCTACTGTAACATGAGTTACAGCAGTTAACATGAGTTGAAAATATGCTACATGAAAGAAGTCAGTCACAAAAGACCACGTAGTGTGTGATTCCATTAGTATGAAATGTCCTAAATGTGCAACTCCATAGACAGAAAGATTAGGGCTGCCAGGGCTGCGGAGCAGCCACCAGTGTGTCTGGAGCTTCTCTTTGGGTTACTGAAATGTTCTGCCTGTAGGCGGTGGTGACGGTCGCACACCGTGTATATACTAAGCCACTGAACTGTGCCCTTTGATGGGTGAATTTTATGGCATGTGCAGTATGTCTCAATCAAACGGTTTTTGAAAAGGCAGCCAGCAGGAGGAGACATGAGGAGGCAAGAGCCTCTTCAGGTGACTGGGGCCCCCTCCCAGAGGTCGGAGGCTCCACCACAGGCCCCAGAAGTCAGTGGACCCCTATGCTCCAGGTCTTTGTGACCCGGGAGTCCTGCCTCCCTCCCCTGCCCAGGCCCTGGGCTTCTGGGTGGGGCATGGTGGATGGCAGGGGAAGGCAGGTGTCCCTCAGCTACTCCAGAATCCCTGGTGAGCCTCTGGTGAGCCTCCTGGTCCGCCCCTCCCTGAACTCTCTGTAGACTCTGTCATAAAGAACAAGGCTGGGCCGCAAGGTGGCTCACGCCTGTAATCCCAGCACTTTGGGAGGCCGAGGCGGGTGGATCACGAGGTCAGGAGATCGAGACCATCCTGGCTAACACGGTGAAACCCCTTCTCTACTAAAAATAGAAAAAATTAGCCGGCATGGTGGTGGGCACCTGTAGTCCCAGCTACTCGGGAAGCTGAGGCAGGAGAATGGCGTGAAACTCGGGAGGCAGAGCTTGCAGTGAGCCGAGATCGCGCCACTGCACTCTAGCCTGGGCGACAGAGCGAGACTCCGTCTCAAAAAAAAAAAAAAAAAAAATTAGCCGGGCGTGGTGGTGGGCGCCTGTAGTCCCAGCTACTCAGGAGGCTGAGACAGGAGAATGGCGTGAACCTGGGAGGCGGAGCTTGCAGGGAGCAGAGATCGTGCCACTGCACTCCAGCCTGGGCGACAGAGTGAGACTCGTCTCAAAAATAAATAAATAAATAAATAAATAAATAAATAATAACTAAATAAATAAAGAACAAGGCTTTCACCACATCCCAGGCAGAGTCCAAGTCAGGGCAGAGCCTCACAGAGCACAGCAGGGCCTGTGCCGTGCCAACGCCATGCCCCTGCCTGGCAGAAATGCCACCCAGCCCCTGGCAGAAACGCCTCCCCTCTCCTATGGAGGGGCTGATGACCCAGGAGCGGCTGGCTGCTGGTGTGAGTACACGGGTGACCCTTCCACAAAGGCCCCTAGCTGGGCTCCCTGCTCAGTTGGCCGGGTTTGGGGCTGGATGTCTGCAGGGGTCCTCAGGGATACCCAGAGGGAGAAACAAGGCTTTTGGGGAAATGGTGACACCTGGGGCCAGGTTTCTCACAGCCAGGCCCCATCTCTCCCTGCCTGGATTTCAGGGGAAGTGGGGCTTGGGTAAACAGGAACGGACGTGGCCATCAGGCCGGAAGGGTGTGTGGGCCACAGAGAAGCACCCTGAGGCTGTGCTGTCATCCAGAGTGCCACCCCGCTTTTCCAGGGCACAGCAAGGAAGTGCCTGCTGGAAGGATCCTGGGGACAGTTGTTAAGGCAATTTTATCTTCTCATAGCATGCCTGCCTCAGTTCCGCAGCCAGGACGGTGCCTTACTGACTCCACACACAGAGGCAGCTGGGTCCAGGAGGCAGCCATCCCAAACGCAGTGACCTCCAGCACCCAAAGCTCAGAGTTCCCAGCTGAACCCAGGAGGCACCCACCTTCCTGTCTCTAGGCAGATGCCAGCTGGTGCAGGAGCCACTCCCAGTCCCAATACCAGGCCTGGTCACGTGGTGCCCCGCCAGGCTTGGGGGTGTGCACTTGCCCGCTGGCCTCCGGTGCCCTCAGGCCTAGCCTCATTGTCACAGGAACGGAGCTCCTCGGGGATGGCCACCTTCCTGGACTTACCCCCAGGAGGGACACGCTGCTGCCTCCCAGGGCCCTTCGTGCCACTGGCCCCTTTCTTTCCACCCCCATATGCTACCCCTGCCTACTCCCTTCCCTGGCCCTGGGTTGCCACTCCTGTCCTGTTCTCCTGCTGTCCCCACCCCAGCCCTGACCCCAGATGGCTCTCCCTACAAAAACACCAGAACCCCAGAGAAGCTCAATCCCCCAAGTCCATCTGCATTTTAAGAAGCCCTCACGCACTCCCAGCCCAGAGAGGGAAGCTGTAAAGGTGGACAGGTCATGTCGGGCTTTGAACCTGCAATGTGATCTCACCTTCCCCGTCTGTAAAAGGGGACACTCCCTGCCTTGTGGGATCACATGCAGTATCAGAAAAAGCACCTGACATGTGACATCCACTTACAAAGGGTTTTCCCTTCTCTTTGGTTTTGGGGGAGAATGGGAGAGGCCCAAGCAGAAGCTCCTGGAACACCGCCCATCCCGGACCCAGGGTTGTAGTCACCTGAACACTCACCCAGACAAGGGAAACTTCACAGAATGAATGTGAGGAATAAAATGAGACATTCAGTTACACAAATTAAACCAAACCCAGATGCAGAGGTGCCCCATAACAGAAATAGAGCAACTACTGCCAGCCTTGGATGAAAGCTCTTGGCCAAGGGCCGTGACGGCGGCGGGGAGGTTCAGCAGCTGTCCCCAAGCACACAGGACATTTGGCACCTCCAAGCCCAGCCTGTCCCACCAGGCCACGGCACACTTTCCTTCCTCTGAAGAAAGGGGGTTTGTTAAGCCAACGAGGAGGGAAGCCAAGGACTGCCCCCGGCGCCAGCATGGCTATGAGCATAGAAGCGGGCTGAGCCACAGGCTGGGGGATCCCATGCAGACCAGGCAAAGCCCAGGCAGGATGCTCTGCAGAAAGTTCCCTGGTGATCCGGACCCGGAGCCAGACTGAGCCGCAGCCCCAGAAGACAGGTATCTCCTCCCCTGGGGCCACAGCAGCCACAGAGGCCACCCACGGCTTCCACTAGGACAGTGTGTCTTTCCAGTTACTCTACGTACCTAAAAGTGACCAGCCCCCTTTCAGGTCTGGTCTATGATCCAGATGGTGATCTTTCCCCCACTTTTTTTTTGAGACGGAGTCTCGCTCTGTCCCCCAGGCTGGAGTGCAGTGGCGCGATCTCGGCTCACTGCAAGCTCCACCTCCCGGGTTCACACCATTCTCCTGCCTCAGCCTCCCAGGTAGCTGGGACTATGGGCGCCCCCCACCACGCACAGCTAATTTTCTGTATTTTTAGTAGAGACGGGGTTTCAACGTCTTAGTCAGGACGGTCTTGATCTCCTGACCTCATGATCCGCCCAACTCGGCCTCCCAAAGTGCTGGGATTACAGGCGTGAGCCACCGCGCCCGGCTGGTCTTTCCCCTTTAAGACCCCACTTCCCACCCCCACCCTGGCCAAGCTGATAGGATTCAAGGAGTGCGGCGGTGCAATCACAGCTCACTATAGCCTTGACCTCCCGGGCTCGAGCAATCCTCCCGTCTCAGCCTCCCAAAGCCACTTCCTCCTTTTCTTAGTTGTTGGCTTCTTCTACAGAAAAGGATCCTGAAAACAAACACCTAAAATGCCAACCAAGAATTCAATCTGCAAGGCAGCAGCACCTCCAGAAATAGCTGCTTTGTGGCCTGTTTGCCATTTATGTGAAACTTCCCCATTTTGGACCAACGCAGGCAGAAAGAGAAAAGGAGGAAGAGGAAGGAAAAGAGGCAGGCTGTGTTGGGGCTGGATGGGGCTGTAGGAACCTGCCAGCAGTGGCTCTTGGGGAAAACCCCACTGCGAGGTTTCTGAACCCCTGCCCCGGAAGCTTCCCCTTTCCCACACACGTCACTCGCTGCCTTGGAATCTGGGCTGCCTCCCTCCCAGGGGCTCACAGGGGAGCGAGGCCACAGAAAGGCTCCTTACCCCCAGTGGCCTAACAGGTGTGACATGTGGAGGGGGAATCTGGGCAGTGTGCCTGATGCTCAGAGCTGAGACCCTGAAGTCCAACTCCCTCGGGTGTGACCTTGGACAAGTTACTTAGCCTCTCCTTGCCTCAGTTACACCATCTGGAGAATGGGGATGCTACCCTCGTCTGACCACCGTGATGTGAGCCAGTCAGCACACATCAAGTGCTCCGTGAGCGTCCGGCACACAGGTGCTTGTCTCTGTCCTGTGCTTCAGCTCCATCAGTGTCTTCTTCAGACCTGTCATTGGCTTGGGGCAAGGATATATGTGGCCGCTGAGGGCGGTCCGCCAGGTATGGCAGCCATGGAGCTGCTAATTAGGCCCTGTGAGTGGGAGGCCCTGTGGGGTGGGCAGGGGCAGACGCCCAGCTGCTCTCGGGGACACTCCAGGCCTGTGCTGCCCTCCACAGCCCCAGCTGGAGAATGGTGACCAGATGTCAACGACAGGAAGCATTTCCAGAGGCCACAGCTCTGCAGGGAGGTCTCTCATGGGCTGACAGCCAGAGCCAGCGCTCCGGGTCCCCTGAAAAAACGGGCACAGTCCTCGGTCACGTCGAGGACCTGCTCAGCCCCTCCACTTGGCACCGGAGAGAGGATGACTCACGGCCCTTCTGCCTGGAAGGCAGGCTCCAGTGTCAAATGTCCATCCGCCTCCATCACCCTCATCCATCCTTGTCAGTCCAGGGGCCTGGGCACTGCTGGGGCTCCTGGGCAGACAGTTCCCCCTTGCAAATGAGTGGGACCCTCAGCTCCTTCGATCAGCATCCTCACGTCAGCCGAGCCTGTGAGCACCCCTAAGCAAGGCCTCTGAGCTGGGCATGCGACACCCCTTCCCACCCAGGCACCCTCCCCCTAGAATCCCCCATACCACCCTGGGGCCATGCCCCGCTTCCCTCTCTGGCAAGCTCCTGCACAACCTTGAGACCACCTGACAGCCACCGTCTATCCTGCCCAACCTCCTCAGAAGCACTAACAGCACCTCGCCCCAGCCACGGCAGGTCTCTGCACCCCTCGTCTCAGTCACCACTCTCACATCTCATGAACAGAGACACGAGCTGCTTCCTCATGCTCCCTGTGCCCGTCCTGGGAGATCCCTGCCTTTAAACCCCAGCCACGAACTGCTGACCCCGCATTTCCTCTTCCCTCCCTGGGCAAGAGGGGCAGAAGGGGCAGGGACGCACACCCTGGGCCGCAGGCAGAGGCTTGGCCAGGGTCGTCCTCCCGGCAGTGCCTCCCTGGAGCTCTGTCTACCTCAACTCCTGATGCCAGAGGATCCCTCTGCGCTCCCCACACCCTTAAGACCCCAGCTCAGGGAATCTGGTCTCGGTCATCACTCCCAGGGGACTGCAGGGCCCCAGGACGGCACACATTCAGGCCCAGGAGAGCTCCCCCCATCTCAAAGCCTCCTGTGGGTGGAGATGGAATGTGGAAAAACCGCATCCTCTGCAGCTCCCCCACAGTGAGAGCGAGGACTGAGGGTGTGGATAAGGCTCCAGGAAGGGGGTGCAAGCCTGAGAAGGTGGAAGAGCTCTGGGTGGGTCCATCTGCTCCTCACCTGCCCCAACCCTGCCTGCAGGTGAAGGCCGGTCCAGCCGCAGAAGGCCCAGCCCCCAGCCCACTTACAGAATCCGCACTGTGCTCCTCCAGCCGGCCCGGCCCCTCGCTGCCCACCGAGCCATCATGACCCCAGCACCGCTGCACATTCGTATTTGTTGAATGAATGAATGAACCCTTGCCAGCCCAGCCACTTGGTGGCTGAGGGCTTCAGAGCTCTCCCAGGGTCCCCTGGGGTCATTCAGCCACTCAACAGTTTCCCAGCAGCAGCAGCGAGGATCCGCACATCATTGCCAGTGCTCTAAGGAGCGGGCGAGCCCCAGTAAGCGGCCGCTCTGACCGCGCTTTGTCAGCCCTGAGCTCCGCTCGGGAGGAGCCGGCAGGTGTCTGCGGTGCTGGAAAGACCACGGTGTGGGCGGGGATTCCGATCCGCCGGCAAGGGTGGCCTGCACCCGGCCAGGCCCGCGGGTTTTCTCCTCTCCGGGGCTGGCCTCGGCCCCTCCCCCTCCCCGCGCCCCGCACCCCTCCCCTGAATCCCCAGGCCACGTGGAGAGGACACAACAAAGCCTTCCCCGCCTCCGAGGCGGACCCGACCCTCAGCACCGACCTGCCGGCCGCGCCGAGGAGGGCGCCCGGGCGGAGGGGAGGCGGGAGAGACCCGGCCCTCAGGTCGCTGCTGAGGCCTGGGGCTCTGACCCCCCGCCTCCCCTCCTCTGGCTCCCACCGCGGTCGGGCCCAGGGCGGGCGGCGGGCCCTGAGCTCCACGCCGGGGCAGGCGGCAGGCAGGGGTCACGGGCTGGGGCTCGGCGCGTACCCCGGGAGGGGCGCGGGTGCACTCACCACCCTCCAGCCGCGGGGGCGCGGGCGCGTCCGGGCCGAGGCAGCGTCTCCCAGGCGCGCGGACACGGTCGACTACCCGCTTCCTCCTTATGGCGCCCCGCGCGCTTCCTCCTTCGGCCCCCCACGCCCGGGCCCGCCCCGGCCCGCCCCGGCCCGCCCCCGGCGGCTTGCGGGGACCCGGGGAGCCCGCGCCGGCGCGGGGCTGTGGAGCGGGGCGGGGAGCCGGCAGCGCAGTGAGAACCAGGCTTTCCACCCTTACCCCTTACGCGACTGTTTCAGACAGTGTCGTCCAACTTTAAGTTGGCCACTTACTCCAGCGCCGCTGGGATAATTCCTAATGATTCTCTGGGAAACATTCAGAATCCCCAGGCTGTTTCTGGAACAGTCTGGGGTGGTCATTCTAGGTCCTCACGGAACCAGGGGTTTGGAAAGTGGGTGAAGCCATGTGGGTTGCAGAGAATCTGGCCCAGCCCCTCACCAGTCCCTGTGCTTGTTGTTTATTCTTTAATTATTTGGATATCAACTCTGATTTAAAACATCAGTTTAACATATAGATAATGCTGGGACTACAGGCGCACACCACACCCAACTAATTTCTTTTTCAGTTTTTAGTGGAGGTGGTGGGGGGGGGGTCTCCACCTCTGGAGGTCTCAGGCTGGTCTCGAACTCCTGGGCTCCAGCGATGCTTCCCACCTCGGCCTCCCAAGGTGCTGGAATGACAGGCCAGTCCATGCATCCCCGGATGCAGCTCTCACCGGCAGTGCTGCTGCAGAGCCCTTTGTGGGCGTCTTCACTTCTCTTGAGTGTGATACCTAGGAGTGGAAATGCGAATCATAGGGCTGGACGAGCTTCATGGTATTAAAAACTGCCTGCTTTCCAAGGTGATGCACACCGTTCGGCACTTCCACCAGCCCTGTTGGAGCGTCCAGTTGCTCTGCGCCCTCGCGTGGGCTCACTCCCTGAGCCCACTGTGGCTCCTCCAGACGCCCTCACTTCTACCCGGGCTCCCTAGACTCTTGCCTCTTTTATAAAAGGTCAGAGGATGTCACTCACGCTTTAACATCCTCTGAATAAAAGCCAAGTTCCTTTCAGTGGCCCGCAGAGTCCCACGCGACCTGCCCTGCTCTAAGCAAATCCTACCCTGTCCCTGTTCCTCCTCGGCAGCCCCATGGCCTCTGGCTTTCACCAGGCCTCACTTCATTTTCCTCCACAGCCAGCATCGCAGCATGACATACCACGGAGTCGTTTGTGTGTGTGTTGCCTACCTCCCCTCTCGGAATGTAGCCTCCACGAGGACAGGGGCTTGTTTCCTGCATGCTCTTCACTCGGGCTGGGCACTCTGGGGGGCTAACAAATGGAAGATCCTGTGAGCAGGGAAACCGTCAGATGGCATTAGGGGCCGGTGCCCTGCAGAAGACGAAAGGGAAACTTCATGGACTGAGGCCAGGTCATCTGCAGGGTGGTGTTCAAATTCATGGTACAATGTCAGCAGGCGCCCAGATGGGAAAAGAGAGGGACGTGCACCTGGGCACAAGAAGCTGCAGGGGCCCCTCCCAGGGCAGGCGAGAGCTTGGACAGTGGGGCACAGTGGGCAAGAGGCCAGTGGGGTGGCCTGAAGGCAGGAGGCTCCAGCAGCCTGGATGAGCAGTTGGATTTTATCCTCAGCACTGTGGGGGCCACTGGCCCTGTCATGCAGGGCAGGACCTGTACCAATTGGCCCCCACAGTCTCTGCCTCTCCTGTTGGCTTTTTGCAGGTCTCTCAAGTGCTTCTTACAGTCAGGGTAGAGCCTCCCCGCCTCAATCCTCCCTGTCCTGATCTGCTGCCTCTATGATGCTTTGGGCTTCAAAATCTGTCTGCAGTATTTGTAAAATGAGAGAGGGTGATGTTTCCTGCAAAACAACCACTTCAAAAAGAAAGGGGGGCGGGGTGCCAGAAAACAATTCAGGGGGTGACGGACTGGGGGGCTATGGAAGGGTCCAGGGAAATTCCGGGGATGATGGGATTCTTCTATACAGGGATTGTGGTGGATGCCACACAATTGTACACTTTTGTGAGAACTCTGCACGAAGAATGGTGAGTTTTACTGTATGTAAAATTATACCTTAATTAACAAATGAAACAATATACACATACATGAGAGAATGATGACTTTATTTTTTTTTTTGAAACAGGATCTAGCTCTGTCACCCATGCTGGAGTGCAGTGGTGTGATCACAGCTCACTGCAGCCTTGACCTCCCAGGCTCGAGTGATCCTCCTGCCTCAGCCTCCCAAGTATCTGGGACTGCAGGCATGCACCGCCACGCCTGGCTAATTTTTTAAAAATTTTTTTTAGACGGAGTCTGGCTGTGTCACCCATGCTGGAGTGCAATGGTGTGATTTCCGCTCACTGCAACTTCTGCCTCCCGGGTTCAAGTGATTCTCCAGCCTCAGCCTCCCAAGTAGCTGGGATTACAGGCACCCACCACCATGATTGGCTGGCTAATTTTTGTATTTTTAGTAGAGACGGGGTTTCACCATATTGGCCAGGCTGTTCTCGAACTCCTGACCTCAGGTGATCTGCCCGCCTCAGACTCCCAGAGTGCTGGGATTACAGGCGTGTGCCACCACACCTGGCCTTTTTTTTTTTTTTTTTTTTTTTTTTTTGGGACAGGGTCTTGCTATGTTCCCCAGGCTGGTCTTGAACTCCTGGGCTCAAGTAATCCTCCCACCTCGGCCTCCCAAAGTGCTGGGGTTACAGGCATGAACCACTGCACCCGACCTGAATGATGTTTTTGGCAATGAAAATGAAACACAAAATCCAGCAAGGTTTGACGGGGAAGGCGAGCTGGCGACCACATAGTCACAGTCGGCCTTTGCTTCCGCTTTATGCTGCAGTTTCTCACTGTCACTTCCTGCCACCGGGCTCGTCTTCCTGTGAAAATTCAGCCCCTCTTCCTCAGTTACCCCTTTGCAACAGAACGAGGCCGGCATTTTCTAAAGCGTCCTTGAGGAGTCCAGTTCCTAAAAGATTATTTCAGAGTCCACTGTTGTGGGCTGACTTGAATGCTCTCAAAATTCGTAAGTTGAAGCCCTGACCCCCAGGACCTCAGAACGTGACTGTGCTTGGACACAGGGACTTTCCAGAGGTGATTAAGGTGAAGTGAGGTCACTGGATGGCCCTCCTCCTATCTGACTGGTGTCCTGATGGGGACGCGGACACCCACACAGGAACGGACCCGGGGAGAACAACACATCGTCTCTGCGCCAGGGAGAGAGGCGTCCGGGGAACCCAGCCGTGCCCACGCATTTATCTCCGCCTTCCGGCTCAGAATTGTGAGGAAACCCGCTTCTGTTGTGCAAGTCCCGGGTCTGTGGTGCTCGGCCATGGCGCCCCCAGAACTGCATCCCCACCTTCTGCTCTGAGCCACCCATCCCCTCTGGAAGGGCTGAGCTTCTCTCCCTTTCCACCTTCTGTTCTGAGCCACCCGTCCCCTCCAGAAGGGCTGAGCTTCTCTCTCTTTCACTGCCTATGCTCTGGGAAACTTTCAGAATCCCCAGGCTGTTTCTGGAATAGTCTGGGATGGTCATTTTCGGTCCTCACAGAACCGGGGGTTTGGAAAGTAGGTGAAGCCATATGGGTTGCAGAGAATCTGGCCCAGCCCCTCACTAGTCCCTGTGCTTGTTAGTTATTCTTTAATTACTTGGATATCAACTCTGATTTAAAACATCAATTTAACATACAGATAATGCTGGGACTGCAGCTTCGCCAGGTGGCCTTCCTCTCCCGGTCTCGGGAGGCGTCACCCCCATCTTGTCCCCCCAAGATCAAGCGAAAAGGGCAAAGTTATCTTTTTTTTTTGCAAAATTCAAACCTTTCCCTCCTTCCCAGGTCTGGGTCACTTGCGACCCTCCTCTCAGGCTGCTTCTGACAGGCCCAAGTCACAGCCAACTTCAGGGGAGCTGTGTTGGATCCCTCCAAACTCCGGGAATGATGTGACCTCCCCGGCGCTCACCCTGGGCCTCTAGGTTAGACTCAGCCCAGACCCTGGCTCACAGGGAAGCAGAGCCCATGGCTGGCCTCCACCCGCTCAGACGCCCGCACACAGGCCAGGGGAGGGCTTGGGGGCAGCTCTGGGAGGGTCCCTGTTTGCGCTGTGGGTGTCCAAGGCTGGGTGTGCAGAGCTGAGGTTGCCACACACCTGAGGGACTCTCGCATAAGGATGGCGCAGGGCTGGAAGCTGGACTGAGACAGTGAATGAGACAGCGCTGCCGGCTCTCTCCGCGCCGTGGACTGGCTCCTAGGCAGTCTCACGAGCAAGTGTGCTGTTGCTCGTGCACGTGTGTTTTAACTGAGATGTGAGCTGGCGCGTTTTCTCCACCCGGCTCCATCTGCTGGGTCCCTCCACATTGCTGCGCGTGTGCCTCCAGTGCCATGGGGTCCCCACTGTGGGCAGCCCTGCATTTTGCCCAACTGCCTCCCAAACCATGGAACCCCAGTGACCTCCAACTTGCCGCCATGACGAGCCACTCTCATTCATATCCTCAAACACGGTGCTCTGAGCCCGAATGAGGGTTTCTTTAGAGAGATATCTGGGGACCAAACTGTAGGGACAGAGCTCCCGTCTAAGGTGGGCCTGTGGTGAGGTCTCCCCAGTGGTACACTTTAATCCCACAGCAGGGCTTGCAGGCCGCCCTGCTCCATCCCCACCAACACTGGGCAGGATCTAGCCTCCAAACCTTTGCCAGTCTAATAGTATAAAATGATAGCTCGGTGCTATTTTGGTTTTGCATTTCCATGGTGAACAATGAGTTTGAGAGTTTTTGTTCAAAAGTCCTTTGGGAGTTCGAGACCAGACTGGGCCACCAGGAGTTCAAGACCAGCCCGGGCAATTCAGTGAGATGTTCATCTCTACAAAAAATAAGAAAGATAAAAAATTAGCCAGGCATGTTTGTGTGTGCCTGTGGTCCCAGCTCCTCAGGAGGCTGAGGTGGGAGGATGGCTTGACCCCGGGAGGTGGAGGCTGCAGTGAGTTGTGATCGTGTCAGTGCACGGCTAGCCTGGGCAACAGAGTGAGACCCCGTTTCTAAAATAAAAATAAAAAACAAAAGAGAAAAGTCCTTTGGGTTTCGTCTTGGTATTACTCAGCAGAGGACAGAGGTGTCAGTTTCCATCCTCCGGCAAGCAGATGCTGAGACAAAGCTCGGTGGGAGGTGACACCCAAGAGGAAGGGGCGGGATTGGACAGGGACAGCCTTCAGATCACAATGGGGATCGGACCCCTGGGAGGGGAGAGAGGGAGGAAGAGAACTGGTCGGCTGTGAAGCAGATCTGATAGGGCCCTGCTGCGACACCAACAGCAGCTCAGGGCCAAGGATGCTGTTGCAGGAACAAGGGACAGACCCCCCATACCACTGGCTCAGTGCCTGGAGCACGTGGCCTCTGTGGCTGCAGCCCGAGGCTGTCGGCTGAGGCACTCCACACACCTGGAGAGCACGTTCTCTGTGGAAGGAGACTGCAGCATTCCCACGGCTCCAGAGCAGTAGTGGCGGCACCTGGAGAAAGAAGTCCACCACCTTCCTGATGGCGGACTCTTTCTGCAGGCTCGCTGCAGTAACAGACTGGGAGCTCCGGACCTGGCGTATTGCTAGCTCAGTCTGACGGGGTCCCGGCTTTCCTCTGAGGTTCTCCTCCCAAGAGTGCCGAGATTGATGCTGTCCCATCCAGCGTCTCCGCGGTCACCAGCTCTTCACATCCCTGGGTGAAGATGGGGAGACAGTGCGCGTAGCTTACTCCCGAGTGACTTGGGATAGAAGCCACGGCACAGAACTCTACAAGGGACACTGGTGCACTGAAGAGCAGGGTGCGGTTCTGACCAGAAGCATCTGTGCATCTGGAGGGCAGAGGGTGCGTGGGCACGGGGGTCTGGGCAGGCCTCCCAGGGCAGAGGTCAAGAGGAGGGCGGGAGGCCTCTAGCTTGGTGGTTAAGAGCTCAGCCTTCAGAGTTTGTTTTCTCAGCTCTATCCTTGACGAGCTTCGTGAGCTGTAACTGGCCAGGGGCTGCCCCCAGAAAAGCTGGCCTCCAGCTCCCCGCATCCTGAGGCCCCAGATCAAGTTTCTTGGGCCCCAATTTCCTGTCATCAAAGAGATGATAGTACATTCCTCAGAGGCGGGCTGTGAATACATGAAACGCAAGGTCTTAGGCACCCAGCATGCGCTCAGGAAGCGTGGCTTGTGATTACCCGGCAGTGCGGTGGGAGGCTCCTAGCAGCTGTGTGTGCTGTGAGTGGGGTGGCTGGGGTCCCTGTGGGAGGTGCTTCAGAGTGGGGGCTGGATGGCGGCTCCCGAGGGGCATGGGGAGAAAGACAGGAGCAGAGGGGCTGCCACGCACTGCCCTTTTCCCCTTCCACCCCAGTCCCCTTCTCAGTGCACCCTTGGAACTTCACCCCCTCCCTGCCAGCTGCCCCCACCGCCTTCCCCTGTCCTGAAGCCCCTGTCCCTACCATCCGCCCCAGACACTTCCATGCTCTTCTTGAGGGTGGGCTGTCTCCAGGTGCCGCTCATTCCCCGGCCGGGCTGCTGTGCTCTCACTGAAGCTCAGGTGCTCTCAGAAGCAGAAGGAATGAGGGGTGGAGGGGCCAGTGTCCTCCTGGCCTGAGGACAGGGCTGGGGAGGCAGGGGCAGAGGTGGCCTGTCCCCTGCTGGCCAGGGCTGACACGCGGTAATGGCTATTACCAAGTGGGCCATTTCTCCCTCCTGCCCCTCCAGGCATCTCATCCCCCCACACTGCAGGAGGTGAGGTCTGCACAAGGCCTCTGCTCCCCTGGGAATAAGCCCATGCGTTCCATGGTGCCTCCTAAGCCCCTGAACTGGAGCCCACCCCAGTACTGGCGGGGGCCTGATTGCTGGAGTGAAGGCTTCCTCCTTCCTGGCCACCCCATTCCCCTCATCTCTGGGACAGAAACCGACAATAAACGCCTGCCCGAGACCTGGGTTGGAAAAACAGAGTGAACACACACCATCACATGGCAGGAGGCCAGGTGCACAGAGCCCTCCCTGCAGTTAGTTCCCCAGGAACTGGGGCTGCAGGGATGGCCCAGAGCTCTCAGCCAACATCAAAGGGCCACAGCACCGGGGCTGGTGGCTCCTGGCCAAGTCAGCACCGACCACAGAGCTCCCCTCTCTGCCTAGACCCAGGGCTCTGCCCTGACAGCCTAGAGAAGGGCCTGGCTGGTGGTGCCTGGCTGGGTGGCTCCCTGCCTAGGAGGTGCTTTCCCCAAGCGCTGGGCCTTGAAGGGCCGGTGGGTTGTGAGGGCAAGAGTCTTGCTAGAGGAGAGGGGAGAGATGGCGAGATGCAGGACCAGAGCCTGGGGGGGTGAAAATCATGTTCACCCCCATGGTGAAATCACGGCCATGGTGAAGACCAGTCCCACCCACTGAGCGGAGGCAAGTAGACCCCAGGAATTCCCCAGCCCCGCTGCTGGGTGGGTGTGACCCTGCAGAAGCTCTGGGAGGCTGGCATGACTCAGCTGTTGCAGAAAGACCAGTCTGGGGTTTCCCATATTGCTTCAAGCAGCCTTTTCCCTGGGACTGCTCTATCTAATGCCAACAACCCTCAGCTGCTAGTGAGCCCTCGCCACCAACTTTCAGAGGGCTAACTCCTAAGGCCCAAGGGCTGGAAAACTCCAAGCACAGCCCTCCCAGAGTCTGGCTGTGGCTCAGAATGGGTGCTGGGGCAGGGCGAGCAGGATTTCCCAGAGGGAGCTGGGCCCTCTGGCGTCCGCCCCAGGGCTGGCCCAGCCCAGGGACCCCCATGATATCCTTCCTCTCACCCTGCCCTTTCTGAAGTGAACTCTTTGGATATTGGCCAAATCACACCCAGCAGAGGGAAGGGAGTGGAGGTCCCGGTGTGGGGGTCCCGGCGTGGGGTGGCTGTGCCCAGCTGGAATGTTTTGCATGGTGATTTGTTAGAGGGATATTGAGCAGAGGGCAAACCACCACTGTGTCTAGCATTCTGCTCAAAGGTGCAGAAACCAAGACTGCCACGTGCAGAGTGAACGGCCCAGGCTGTGGCCCCCCGGGGAGGGGCTGAGTCTCAGCACTGCAGCCTTATGCTGTGCGCAGTTCAGACCTGCGATAGGCGAGAGGCCAGCAGACACACGCCTCGCCTTACGTGACGTTTCTGCCATCTTCATTCCTGTGTTCGCTTCTGTACCAAATCTCCCCCACACACGATCTGACCCCGTGGCATCCTTCCTTTCCTACAAACTGCACTGAGACCCAGGTGTCATCGTGAAGTTCATGCCAGCCAGAGGAGCCACTGTGGCGTTTCCGGCCATAGGCCTGGGCAGGAGCCGCTCCCAGGCGTGCCGTGGGCAGGGCCGGGTCAGCCTTCAGGGAAGAGATGCCTGTATGGGACCAACTCAGGCAGCCACAGAGGGATGGCCCAGCACCCCACAAAACCCAAAGTGCTCAGCGTCTAGGATCTGTTTACGGGGCAGAGAAGTGGATGTTCTTTTCCTGGTTCAAAGGTAGAAACAGGCTTGGAGAGCCGCACCCGGCATCAGCCAGCCAGGCAGACGCCTGGTCTAGCGCTTGGTTCTCACAGGCATGTGGCCTCCAGTAAAAGATCTTCCTGGAGAGAGGGATGAAGGCTCTTGGGATCATCTTTAGAGGTGCTGATGGAGAAGCGGGGGGGGGGGGCCTTCAGGTGGGTGTGTATCCCTTTATCTAGAATGCTTGGGACCAGAGGTGTTTCAATTTTTCAGATTTTGGAATCTTTGCCGACATGATGCTCAAAGGAAATCCTGCATTAGGGAGTCTTAGCCTGTATCTCCGCTGGCGTGGAGGAAAAGGACAGGAAAGTTTTGAATGGCGGATCCACCCAGGGGACTTCCCTGGATGGGGCGCTGCCACCCCTGGGCCCTGTGTGGGAAAGCTTCAGTACTACACGGTGCCACCGGCTCCCAGCCCCAGCTGAGCTCACCGTCCAGCTCTCAAAGCCAAGGGCAATTCTTTGGCACCTGAAAATGCATCTAAAACTATGACGTTTATAGCTGCCTTAGCCCTACTTAATCTCTATTTCTCTACACCAAATCTCTCTACTGCATGTGCTTACGCCTACGTGCTCTGCTGCCATGGTGCCTTGCCAAGAGCGTGGCTGTGCTTTAGTTCTCCCCGGGGCCTTGGAGGACTCTCCAGGGAGGAGGAAAGGATGGTGCTAGGGGGAGGAGGCTGGGGGTGGACCTTGTTCTGATGCCCCTTGTCTCATGCACGAAGTTCTTCACCCTCCTCCAAACCTTGACCTGGTGGGAGCAGAGACTACCCCCTCCCTGGGGCCAGGGATAGGATGCTCATGCCTGGGAAGGCCAGCAAGCCTTCCCCGCTTACTCAAGGCTCTGCAGGGTTCTGGGGGCCGGTGCTGTCTTTGGTGCCATCCGATTGCTTCTGCTTGTGGGCCTCACCCTAGGGCTGTTCACCAAAGTCCTTCTTATCACAATCCTGGCTTGAAATAAGTGGGTTTCCAATTTTTTATCCCTGATCTTGCCTGGATCTTGATTCTGAGACTCCTCCCATCCCACCCTCTCCAACAGCAGAGACCCCTCCCATTAGCTGCACGCGATTGCTCCGAGATAACAAAGCATTGGCAGATGCTGGTGGAGCAGGCCTGCCCTTGACGTGGGCAAGAAGCTTGGGGAAAAAGACAATTTCCTGCTTGTCTTTTCTTGTCAAAATACATGGCCACACCAGGGGAAGGACAGGAAGAATTCTCTTACCAGCCAGCAGCGGCAACTTAGCAGCTACAGACACAGAGCGCAGGGGACGGGCGGGAATGACTGGCCATGGAGGAGCCGAGAGAGTCGGGACCTGCAGGAGCTGCCTGCTGAGGCGGTCTGGCTGGGCAGGTGGTCCCTGTGCTGGGGCCTCCGGGTGGAAGGCATCCCAGCCCCCCGAGGGAACAAGTTTGGTCCGAGATACATTTTTGAAAGGTATTTAATTCTCTAAAAACATTTTTAAAAGAAGTGAGACCCACTGGGGAAAGGGAGCTGCTGGCTGCCAGGTGCCTCTCTCTCCTTTTCTCCCGAGAAAGACCTGGCAGCCACTCTGCCGGGGAGACAACCGGGGGCTAGAGGGGCAGGCCCTGGGCCGGGCGCAGTGGCTCACGCCTGTAATCCCAGCACTCTGGGAGGCTGAGGTGGGCGGATCACCTGAGGTCGGGAGTTCGAGATCAGCCTGACCAACATGGAGAAACCGCATCTCTACTAAAAATACAAAATTAGCCGGGCATGGTGGCGTGTGCCTGTAATCCCAGCTACTCAGGAGGCTGAGGCAGGAGAATCACTTGAACTTGGGAGGCGGAGGTTGTGGTGAGCCGAGATCGCGCCATTGCACTCCAGCCTGGGCAACAAGAGCAAAACTCTGTCTCAAAAAAAAAAAAAAGAAAAAAGAAAAAAGAAAAGAAAGGCAGGCCCTGGACACTCATGGGGGCTGACCACTGAGAGGCTCCTCTCGCCTGCTGGGCCGGGTGCCTGTGGGTTGAGCAGCCCCTCAACGCTGACACTCCAGCACCCATCTGGACAAATCCCTCATCCTTGACGATGGCCTTGTGAAGACCCAGGGACCCGTGGCCTGTCCCTGGAGCTGCTGCTGGGACACCAGCTCTGACCTGCTGCCTGGGTGGAGGGGTGGCTGGGGCAATGGGGCCGGCTGAACCCTCTGGGAACACGGACTCCACGGGGGCCCAGCAAGTTCGTGAAACAGGGAGGCTGGCCTCGAGCTGCAGGGGGCTGCCTCCCGAGTCCTCCTAGGGTTCTCCCATCAGGAGGCATCTGTGCATCTACACGGGGCCCGACTCCGGAACCTCCAGCCTTCCCACGTGCTCCCCCATCCTAAGTTGGTCAGCAGTCCCAAGTCGGTGGGAGGAATGCGAGGCGCCGGCCGGGTGAGTGCTGTGACCAGGCTGACGTCGGGGGAAGAGACAGGAACACATCCCGCCAGGACACCGAGCTGGTGCTCACCTAACTTGTGCTCCCTGCCGCCCTCTTGTGGGTGGGCAGACACCAGCAGCTTCAGTCAGTCTCGTGTCACACAGCTGCGCGAGGTAGCTCCACACGCACCTACGCGTCTGGAGGATGCTATCCCTGGCTACTTTGGGGACCACTCAATACTGGCAGCCTCACCACGGTTCAGGTGTTGACTGTCCAGGGAGGCCCTCAGCCCCATCCACCTAGTCCTGAGCCACCCCACCCTGGCCCCACCCTGGGCCCCACGGCTGGAAACAGCCTGCTCCAGTACTGGATGTGCACTCTGTGGCTCGGACGCCGCGGGGGCATGAAAAGGGGCTGTGTGTGCAGCACAGGGACTGTCTTCCTCCTCCGTCCTGGCAGTAGGTGGCTTCTCTGGCAGTGTGGCTGTGGCACATGTGGCCTACCCACAGCAACTGGACTCCTCTGCCTTCCCCGGCAAAGCCCCCGCTGCAGGAAGACCTTGGGGCAGGGGGCACACGAAGAGGCTGCTGAAAAAGCTCCTGGTGAAGCTGAGCAGCCACAGGCTGTTGGGAGGGCCACGGGCCTGGTCTCATAGGCTCCTGTGCTGTGTGCGGCAGGAGGCTCCGGCCCCCGGCCAGTGTTTGGGTGGTATGGCCTCACCCTCCTCACTGGGCATCACTGGGGAGGTCATCCGAGCAGGGGACACGAAGAGGGGAGGGTCTAGCACGTGGGCCAGTGTGGCCAGCTTATAAAATGGAATAAAATGGCATGTCTTGTCCCTTCATTTTTGGCTGATTCTTAAGATGGGACTATGTGAGGATTCAGGGTTCAGGAGGGACTTTGGAGCTGTTAAAGATGTGGTGGTTCATGAAAGAAGAGCTTCTTGTTTTTTGTTTTAAAATAGTTTTTAAAATTTAAAAATGATAGAGCCTATACTTTTTTTTTTTTTTTTTTGACAGAGTCTCACTGTCACCCAGGGTGCAGTGGCACAATCTTGGCTCACTGCAACCTCCACCTCCCAGGTTCAAGCAATTCTCTTGCCTCAGGCTCTCCAGTGTGCCACCACACCCAGCTAATTTTTGTATTTTTAGTAGAGACGTGGTTTCGCCATATTGGCCAGGCTGGTCTTGAACTCCTGACCTCAGGTGACCCTCATGCCTCGGTCTCCAGAAGTGCTGGGATTACAGGCGTGCGCCACGGCGTGTGGCCTTTTTGTGTGCTTCTGACAGTGGCTCTGGCCTGGCCCAGCAGCCTTCCTTTCTGGTGTCCTCCCTAAAGCAATACTTATCATTTCCTGCCACCTGAGGTGGCTGTGAACTGCAGCCCAAGGCTGCCTGGTGCAGCTCTGACAAGCAAGCCCTTCTGAGGAACAAGAGCCTGGGGGTCAGGTGACTACCAAGCCCCATTTCCTTTCCCAACAGGCAAGTGACCCAGCTCTCCTTGTACGGGATGTCCTCTAGGGCCACAGGATATGCACTTTGAGCTGCTCATCCATTTTTGTCCTCTGTTCTACCTGACACGCCCACATTTGTCCCAGCCAGGCCTTTCTTTGTTCTGGAATAGCTGGGAACGCAGCTGGAAGGACTGGGAGCCAGCTTCCACTGAGTGGCTTCTAGCTGCCTGTAGGCGGTGTGGCTCACGTGCACAGAGCTGCTGCGGTCTTTCCCTCCCTGCATGGCGCCCCTGGATGGTCACAGGGTCAGCCGTGCTCCCAACAATGCAACACACCGAGGGAGGGGTTAGAGAGACAGCTGGGGCGTGCCTCGGAGGCTTCTTAGAACAAAGAAAGAGGAGCTGGCCAGGACTGTTCCCTGTAATCTCCTGGGGACAATTTTCAGGCTAACGAGCAGTGACCCTACGCACTGAATGACCTCGAGATCGTTGAAACATCTGAAAGGTTTAGGCGTGGGTGCTGCAGACCCCATGCCATGGACTCCCGGGTCAGCTGTGCTGCAGGACAGAGCCAGGCAGGGCTGGAAGGAGGGCTGCCAGGACCACAGCATCACCCTGACTCAGAGTATCTCCAATTCAAAGAGCACACTTCCCTTCCAGAAGCTACTGGGGCTTCGTCTGAAGAGTGGCTGCTTCTCAAACTTGGCTGCCTAAGACATTTACTCAAGTGACAGCAGTTGTGGCTGAGCCAGGATATTATGGAGGACTAAAAAAAAGCACGAACTTAAAAAAAACCATGTATTCTTTAAACCGTCTTGCACGCACCCAGGCACGAGCTAGATGCGTCATACCTTGCACCTACACCATCCACCTGAAAAATACAGTAAAATGACTTAAGAAACACACTATTTATTTGAAAAACTTTTATTTTGCATAAAACAGACCCATTCCCTTTGTGGGTCAGATGTTACCACCTTTAAAAAAATGTTTTTTAACTCTCCTTTCTGTCCCACTGAAAAATTTATTTTGAAAGGGTTAAGAAGAGTCTATCATTGCTGGTCAAAATCGGCCTGAGGATGGCCGCCAGGGACAGAGGCCTGAAGGCATCATCTGGGCAGGCCTGGAAGCCCACGGGGTGCAGCATCCTCAAGCCCAGGGGCGGGAGCGCCTCCGGCCTGCCCTCCAGGGAAGCTGCATGTGGACCTCCACGGTATTCAGCCTCCAGTTTAGTCAGCCTTGAGTCTGGGCTGCTCCCGCACCTGGTGTTTTATGCGTGTGATATATGTGTATCCATCCTGCTTCCCTGCCTTCAAGGGAAGACTTAACTCTCCGAGAGAAAACCTGCCTGGAGCTGCGCACATTCTCACAGCTTGAGAACGCTTGACGCAGGAAGTCACCAGAGTACTCAAGTCAACCGCAAACTAGTGGTTACAAAATGGGAGCTTTAAAAAAAGTGCTCTACTAGAACTGGGTGTCCTCACAGTCGGGAGCAGAAGGCTGGGGCGCAGGCCTGCGGCTCTGCGGCGCCTCTCTGCAAAGGCTCGGGTCCACCTTCCAGACTGCAGGCTGCCGTGTGTGCTGTGGAGGATGCCACAGTGTTAAGGCTGACCAGGACCAGAAGGTGACACTGGGCTCTCCTGCTACGTCTGGCCACTTACAGCAGATCCCTAGGCCACACTCCTTCCAAGCCACTTTGCAAACTGTTTCCCTGTTGTGGGGCCAGCAGGAGCTACAAGGGCCGAAGGCGGCTCTGCCGGGGCTGGACCGGTTTTGTGGCATTCGAGGAGAGGTCTGGGAAAGGCCACGCAGGCAGTGAAGGTCTTTTCCCACGTCCAATTTTATGGGACGACTGGGGTTTGAAGATGGAATCTAGAAACCCTCCTCTCCCCTTTTTTAAGTAAAGAGAAAAGAAAAGGAGACCTTTGCCTCACGTGAGAACAGGTGGAGAATCAGCGCTGTGGCGGCCACTAGCGGCGTTATCTCCCGGATGTGCATGGGAGAGAGATGGCAGCTTCTGGACAGACAAGGATGACACAGGTTCTTTGCTCCTTTGCAGCTGGGATGAATGTTCAAGTTGAAGCACAGTGTGGTTCCCATGGAAAGCCCAAGGTCAGCACAGCCACTCAGCCTGCTCCACTGCGGGACGCCTTGGAGGGGCCAGGCCTCTGCTCCCAGCTGGCCCCAGCCCACGGAGGCGGCAGGCGGCTGGAGCGCCCCTGGCAGGCGGGTCTGGTCCGGATGGCTCCTCGCTGGGCTATGTGCTGACTGCTTTGATGGACAAGCACCCCACCCCGATTAGCTCAGTGGCTTGATGAGCTGTACACAGCCAGGCTGGTGCGGAACCGTGAGAAAGGAACAGTTTGGCTATAGGAGCTAGTGATTCGGGGCTCGCCCTTTATGTCCCCATGAAGATCCGGCACAAGGCAGGTGCCCGTCGCCTTCGGAAGGAAGGGCGGGAGTCGCTGATCTGCTTGAGAGGCACCAGCCTGCATCCCAGCATCCACTGCAGCACTCGCGTTTCCGTCTGGGTGAATCTTAGGCTGGGAGGAGGGAATTCTCACCAGCCACATGATTCCAGGGTCCCACCTTGCACCCTCTTGGCCTGTGTGGATGAGGGCCCATCCTGAAACCTTCTTTAACATATGTGCGGAGGAAGGTGATGCCCTGGCCCCCAAACTGAGACAAGGGCGAGTTCTGCAGAGCCGGAATTCTCACTGGGAGGGTGAGAGTGGCAGCTCTGCTGTTGGCCTGGCCCAAAACAGAACGGAAATGCACCCTCATCACATGAGTGGTCCAGATGGTCTAGCGCCAGGGTGAGGCAGGCACCGGGTGGAGGAGGGGACAGAAAGCTGTGAGGAGGACCCACACAGGGGTTCTGGGCAGCTCCCTGATGCCAGCCAGGCCAGTGATACGAAGAGAAAGGCTAATAAATAGATGCACGTGAGGAGCACCGGGCAGCCCCGGACCAGGTCGCGTAGGACGCACCAGATGCCGCTGTGGCTCCCGCACCCGGGCGCAGGTGATCAGTTCCTCTAGTAAAGATACACAAACGAAGTTACTTCTTTTCAAGTATTAAAAAATAAGTTAATTGACAAAAAGGGTTTGAAGCGGCTGAGCGTCTTGCCAGGTTGTCAGCTTCATTTCAACGTGCAAACACAGGAAAAACACGGAGGAAAAGGTCATCTCCTGTCCCGACATAAATGTGGAACAGGGACAATGCCTGTCTGCCAACTGGGGGCTTAGAATGTAGGGCCTCATCCTGTCCCCCAAAGTCAGCATTTTCCAGTGTCAAAATGGTTGTGAACTACAAGCAAAATGCAGCAACCCACAAGCCTCAGGCCACAGCCAGCAAGCGGCCCAGGCATTTGGCCACTTAGGGTCCAGTGTGTGGTGTTCGGCTGGAGGGCAGACCCCTCCTGCGTCCTCCTAATTTGCATAATAATTCAGGAGCCTGCCCGCACCTCCATGTCTCCTGTGATGCTGGGGTGGGCATGACTGGACGCCCCCATCCTGGGTCTCGATCGCACCCTGACCCCTGACCCTGCTTTCGTGGGGTATTGTTTACGTTTCTTTGGTGGTGCTCCAGGGAGCATGAAGAAGACAGTGCCCCTCGCACGGCGCACTGTGGTTCTGACGGGGAGCAGCTTCCCTCTCTTACCAAATGTGCCAGTGGAAAAAAGGGGCACAGCCAGCACATCCTCAGGGAGCGCGCGGGGTGGTCCCCTGCGTCATGCCATACACGCCGTGCTGCTCCTCTGAGTGGGAGGTCCAGGTGGGCCTCCTCCCAGGAGGTGGAGCCGTCTCAGATAACCACTGTCACCTGGGGCTCCCCACTGCACGCGGGACTCGACCACTTTCCAAGCAGCACACGGGCATCTGAGCGTAAACTCCAAGGAGGTGCCAGGCCTCCTCAGATCGCGGCTCCGGGTGGTTTGGATGCCACTGCCTGGCCAGGCGGATGCCAACAGAAAATGGAGCGTTGGGTGGGAGCTCAGGACCAGTTAAGGCTGAAGCCCTTGGACAGCATGGCAGCCTCCAGGTCCTTGTCCTCCTCTCTCTCCCGGAGCCGCTGCTCCTCCAGCAGCGCCACCAGTGAGTCTCTCTGCTCCACCACCTCCAGCATCTCATTGAGAATCTGCTTCTCTTCTGACAGCTCCTCCTCAGTCTTAAGGTGATCTTGAAGGAGAAGAAGGCATGAGGTGAGGGGCCTGGAGGTGGCACCCACCCTGGCCTCCATGGGTGCCTTACCCCACTCACCTTCCACTGCCATGCGTTCCCGGAGCTCCTGCTGCAGTCGACTCTGCCGGTCTTCCAGCTCCAGCTCCCGGGCACTGAGGAGGCAGGGCAGGAGGGAGACAAGCCACAGTGACTGGGGACCACCCCTCACCCCCAAATCTGGAAGGACCTCCATGCCGGCTGTGACAAGCATAGCGCTGACGCCCCCTACCCAAGGCCACTCACAAGATCATCAGCTCCGACTCGTAGCGCACCATGGCGTTCTTCTCCTGCACTAGCTTGAACCACTCCTGCATCAGCTTGGGGTCGTCCTTCTTGCCCATGCCTGCCGAGAGAACGCTTGTGTCGGGTGCAGGGAGTGCCGCGCCCACCCTGGCCCGCAGGAATCACACGGGGCAAATGTGCAAAGAGGGCCGAGCAAGATGCTGCCGGAACTTCCACTCCCAAGCCAGGCCCAAGGTTTGCCTGCAGCCATGGGGCCCTGGCGTCCCCCTTCCTGGGGCCTGCGCTTTCCCGTGTCCTGCCATCCCTGTTCACCCCGTCAGCGACCTCGCCAGCAGGGACCTTGCCCTCCCCGGGGCTGGTTTCTACCCCTCCTGCTCTGTGTGCTCTCTTAGGATGACTTACATTGCTTTCCCTCTTTTTTGCCACTCAATGTTTATTTGGCACTTGCTATGTACTAGGTCTCCTTGGAGGAAACCCGTCTTGTTAAACGAGACAAATGTGAATTTGTAAACTGCACCCTGCCCTCAGGTCATGCTCATTTAACTCAGCTCTTTCTTGGGCTACTGCCCCTCTCCAGGGGCCACCAGAATAGATGCCTTGTCCATTTGTTTACCTCCTGACCAGGAAGAGAAGATACCACCCCTTAACTTGTGGCCTATCAAGCTTCCGGATGCTCTCCCGCTGGATCCCGCATGGTCGATGCAGGGCATCTCAGGATGGCCGCAGGGTTTCTCACCAAGAGCAGAGAAACACTAGCAGCCCCTGGGGATGGAAGGAGGTGGCCACGCCCTGCCCTGGTCCAATCCAACAGAATGCCTGTGTCTGGTGGCTGCCTGCTAGCTCAGGCTGCCTGAACCAACAGGTGCCGATACCAAACCTCCCCCAGGGACGGCCTGACCACTGGGCTTCACTGTGGCAGGAGGACAGAAGGAAGAAGTCTCCAAGGGACCAAGCCACCCAACGAGAGAACAAGGTCCTTTTCCTTGGAGCACAGAAGTTCATGGCAAAAGTGTGGTCCTGCCTAAAATACATGCTGTGTCAGTGGCTCTTCAATATTTTTGGATTACAAACCACTTTGAGAATCTCATAAAAGCTAGGGACTCTCTTCCTAGAAAAATGCTTATGTGTGCAGAGCAAACCATTTGATGCAGAGTTCCAAGCTGCTCCTGGGCTTCCTGGGGTCCATCCATGGGCCTCAGGTTAAGGGGCACTAGACGGGGACATCTTTCAGAGGCCCTTGCACTCTCTGCGTCCCTTGGCAGGGGGCGTTCTAGGCCAGTTAAGACAAGCCCAGGAGTGTGAGGAACACAGCCTCAGAAGGGCCAGCCACAGCCCGAGTCCTCCCTCACTGCTAGCTGCCTTTCTCCACCTGCCTTTCTGGCACACGGTACACAGACACACCTCTTATCTGCAGTGGTGTCTGCTAGACAGTTAGTCTCTACCCAGTGGCCACACCAAGGAGGCAGAAATGCACCATGTTCAACAAGCAGGGGTTAGTGTCTGTACTGTGCCCTAGTGCACATGCGGTTCTGCTCCCAAGGGGGTTCCTGCCCCTGAGCCTCCTCTGAAGGACGGAAACCCCCCAGCCTGTCCAGCCTGCAACTGTGGAGTGTGTGCCTGAGGGTCAGGGGACCAGCGCTCTCCTCACCCAATCCAATAGGCTTGGGTTTTGGCCTTTAAGCCAGCCCCCACTCAGTTCCATGCATTGCTTTCGGAGCGTCTCTGCACAATGTGCCCACATGGCCGTGGAGGAGGGGCCCGAGGCATGCAAGCTGTCCAGTGCGCCCGGCCACGGCGGCACCAGGGAGTCTCTCCCGCTGCCCACCTCCCCACGAAGATACAGAAAATGCCACCGGAGACGTGCGGACAGCGCTCACTAGCTATGGAGAGCTCGCCCACGGCCGCCAGGCAGGGGCTGTGGTGTGTGAGCGAGAGTCGGGTGAGCGCTGTGGACGGCAGGTAAGAGTTAGCAGGGTTAGTCACGGCCACACCCCCCACATGCCTTTCAACGACAATCTTATCACCACAACAGACTTCAAATCAGACAAACTTAAAACACGCACACTCAGCAAGACACGAGGTAGAGAGGTTTGCTTTCAGTGGTTGTTTGGAAAGGGGCCCGAGGGCACTGGTGTAGATCAGTCTTTGTAAGGACAGTATTCCTTGACTCTCCCATCCAAATCGCTGCACGCAGGCGGGAGGCTCCTCACCTGCATGCCTGCCCCTCTATCTGATGGATCTGAGACTTAAAGCCCCAGCCACGAAGGGCCAGCCAATGCTGCAGCCCTGAAGGACCCAGACCTGGAGGCTCTCTGGCTTTACTCTGCACCCTGGTCCTCCCCATAGACAGTCAAAGGGATACTGTACCTTTAGAAACTGCCACAGACTCATGACATTTTGTAACAGGACTATTGAGGGTCAGAGAGAAAGAAAGAGAGAGAGGTAGGTGGGTTCTGGCTCTGTGTTTGACTAGTGTTGCTACACCCCCTCCGAGGCAGTGGGGATGGGGTTGGCGAGGTTACGTTACCTTCCTGGACACAGCAAGGGCAGAAGGAGAGAGGTCTACGTCGTGGAGTCCCGCCACTGGGCTCAACTTCAAAAGGGACCAAGCAAGGAAGAGGAGGAGACGGAGAAAGACAAAAAAGGAAGAGGAGGAGAGGAGCAGGAATTTGGAAGTGGAGAGGGACAGGGAGAAGGTGGAATAAAAACAAGCAGAGGACAAAAAGCATAAAAAGTGAGAAAGGAACAACAGGAGGAAAAGAAAATAATACAAGAAATGGAGAAGCAGAAACAAGGGAAACAAAGTCTACAAATGAATTAAGTCCTTTTTTCAGCACGGAACTGAACGAGAGCAGATCCAGCTCTGGCAGCATCACAGAGGGGGCGGGGGGCCAGAGCCACAGTGTGGATTCCTCCAAGAGGGATGATGTGTTCCCTACACAATGATGGCAGCACTCGGGCCACAGGGCCCTCCTGCCTCTACTCCTTATCAGGAGGGCAGTGGCATCTGGGTTGTCATACCGGGGCCTTTGGGGCCTTGGGCCCCCTCCTCAAAGCCCCTGGATAGGTCTGCCTGGCTCTGAGACAGACTGCATTCAATAAGTGGCCAACATGGCTTCCAGGCTTGCAGGTGACAACCTGGGGTCACCTCCCAGACCCACGTGGAATCCTCTAAGATGTCACCACAGGTATGTGCCTGAGGCAAAGCTGGCCTTGACAAGTGCAGGGCAAGGAGGGGCCTCTGAGTCTGTGGGGGCAGCACGCCATCCGGTGACGGGCCTCCAGGACGCTCACACCTGCGCTCCTTCAAATTCTGAGCCAGGACAATTTTGGGGAAATGTACAAACACAGAGGTGACTTCCACCCGTCCGTGTCACTGTCCCCTCTCTCCCCCAGGAACAGGGAGAGCCAACCACCCCCTTTCCTTCTGGCCCTTCTATGGCTGTGCAGGGACCCCATGCTGCAGCTGGGGGCTGTCACACTCTGGATTGTGAGACCAAAGGGGTGAGCTGACAGGACACGCCAAAACTTACAGGAACGATGCTGGGAGGAGTGCTGACGGGGCATCGAGAGACAGTGTGCAGAGAGACATCTCTAGATCTGGGGTCTGATGGCTACTCAAGGACGAGGGAGAGGAGTTTGGCAAGGGACCATCACAGAACCACAGAGCACACACAGGGACAACAGAGCCCAGGAAGACACGGGGCCTCGGCCCGCGGGGAGGGCAGTGTGTGGTTTACAGAGAGAACAGGGTTGAAGAAATGGCCTTGTTTTACTCAACAGAAGGCCAACAAGACAAAGAGCTGGCTGAGAGGCCGCTCAGCGGTGCAGCTGCATGAATACAGGTGTTTTCTGTCTTTGAACCCTTCCAGCGTGGCGTACCTTGGGCACACTGAATCTGCTATTGGGTACAACTTCAAAACCAAAGCCAGGGACAGTGTGCATGCGTGTGAAATGCTGAGTGTACCCAATGTGCTAAGCACACACGGCACAGCCGGCCGAATGCATGGGTACGAGGGAGGATTTCTTTCCTCAACAATACACTCTGCCTTACAGCCGACCTACAGTCAACCTCGGCTTCAAAGTGTAGTCTGTCTTCAGGCTTGGAACACCTGGATGAATCCCATCAAATACGTCAGTGAACAGTCCCTGCCACCTCCTGGGACTGGTGTCACAGGTGAATAGGCCATGCTGTGGAGCGGAACAGCGCCCATGTGATACACAACCAAACACATCCAAAAGGAAGAGGCAGGCGCCTGCACGGGTAATAATTACAACACGTGTTTCTGCTTTCTGGACAGCACAAAATACAGCTTTCAGCTGTTTTTATGTAGGCCACATCCTCATACGCCCTTCCCAACACAGAGAACAATATAACAGAATACTGGGAACAGAATTAGGAAATGAAATTAGAAAAAGGGAGCATCAGGTAAAGCAAGCATTTAAAGAAGCCAAAAAGGCTTTCTCCTAGCAAGAGGCAGAAGCGCGTGTGAGCGGCCGGCGAGTCCGAGCTGCGCTGCGGGGCCGCTACCTTCGGACTTCCCTGTACGCTCCACACTTCCACAACGGGCGAGGCTACTTTTATAATCAGAAAAAATGCCCAATCAATACAATTTTCAAAAGAAGAAGTGGAAGGGAAAAACCAATCCAACAAGGGGAGTTCCACCTGACTGGAACCTGACTGAGCATGCATGGGGCGGGGGTGGGGGGTTTATAGTAAATGCTTTGCCTTTTAGGGGGATGTAAGAAATAGAAGACTTGGTTCACTGGTTCTAAGAACAAAGATGCTGTCAAGCTTCTGGCAAATGGAAGTTTTTTGGTTTTTCTCAACATCAGGGTAACGGGTTTCCATCTGTTGCTAACAGGTGCTATAATTTACCACTTCTCAAAGCACTCCTGCGTGCCCTGGGCGCTGGCCACCCCTCCTGAGCTCCCGAGCAGTGAGCGGGTCCTGGTCAGAGGACCCCTCCTCCCTGGAGCACTCTGCTGCGTCTCCAACACTCGGGGGCACATCTGCTCCATCTTTCCCTCTGAAGCAGCACTTCCTTTGGACGTGTGACCCAGGGGTGGCTCTTTAGTGCCACTCGCTTGACACCTGGCGGGCAGGCAGTGCCTGTCACCAAATTTCAAAAAGCAACAGTACACCACCAGGGAGTGAGGCCTGTCCAGAGCAGCGCATGAGATGGGCACGGATGGCACTCTCCGGCTTCAGGGCGCCCTCGCATGCACCACCCACGTGATCCTCACACCGGCCAGGTGTGGCTGCCAGGATGGGCAAATTCAAATGAGGGTTCTGAGGCTCAACGGAGTTAAGTGTGGCAGAGCCTGGAAAAGAAGCCAAATCTTCTTGCCCACTCTGAACTCAGAGCTTTCCCTCTTCAACACAGGCTCCAGGCAAATGTAACAAATGCTGGCGTCTCAGGCAGCTCAAGGAAGAGCAGTCCCACAGACCCTGATCAGAATGTCACACCTGGAAGGGAGGCCCGATGTCCCTTCCTGCCTCGTCTTCTGAAGAGGCCCTGAGAGGGTAAGTAGAGTCTGTTTTGTCTGTGCCTGGGGAGACAGTGAAGGCAGGACCTGAATCCAGGCCTGGCCTTCCTAAGTCGGGGTACCCCCTACACTACCACCTGGCCCTTGGCGCACCCGAGCACCTCACTCCAGGCCCTGCCTCTCATGGGCCCAAGACCCAGTGTGGGGTAGAATGGCCAACAGTGTGGGGGAAAGAGTGGCCAGCTGTAGGGCAGGTCCCCTTCTCTGTACTTGTACTTCTATATTCCCACCTTCTCTCCAACCAAGACTCTTCACCTTGGCACACTGCATCAAGAAGACACCCGGGCAGCTGGAAAAACAAGCAAGCAGATGAGCCCACACACTGAACCTAGATGGTCATCTGGAAGGCAGGCAGGGCCTACCTTAGTCCTTCTGGTACTCGAAATCCAAGAGCCATAGCCCTGAGACTGGGGAGCAGAGGCTTGAGTGCCTTGCTCACAAGGATTAGTGAGGATGCGGTCAGAAAGCTCGGAGGTACGGGGGCTCACACCTGTGATCCCAGCACTTTGGGAGGTGAGGGTGAGATGACTGCTGAACCCAGGAGTTCGAGACCAGCCTGGGCAATGCAGTGAGACCCCGTCTCTACAACAATTAGCTGGGTGTGGTAGTGTGAGTATCTATAGTCCCAGCTACTCAGGAGGCTACGGTGGGAGGGCTGCTTGAGCCCGGGAGGTCAAGGCTGCAGAGAGCCGTGACTGCACCACTGCACTCCAGCCTGGGTGAGTGAGACCCTATCTCTAAAAAATAAATAAATAAGTAATAATAGCCCAGAGGGGCCAAGACAAAGGCCCAACTCTGTTCATAGCCCGACAACCACCAGTGACAATCTGTGTGGCGGTGGGTGCTGGCTTGATGCTCTGCATTTCCGACTCAATCATTCAATTCTGCCTGGTTCTATTTGACCCACTGGCTTCTACATGGATGCTGATATCAAAAACAGCAATATCATACATGAATCATGGCCTGTGGTAAGGATGATGCGGGAGACTACTAATTTATGCCAGAAATGTTTACTGAGCACCCCAAACGCACCGGCCACCAACGCTAACCACGTGGCAGCCAGCAGAGGACGCAGAGGTGGGCACAGCCACAGCGGGCAGGCACGTCGGCGGGCCGTCCTCCAGGCCTGCTGGACAACTGGCCCCGGGGACCTGCCTCATCTTGGTATCCACCTCTGCCCACTAGACAGGCTCCCAGCTCCCCCTGGTTGGACAAAGGCACCATCACCACAGAGCTGGGGAGGTCCCTAAAGCAGTGTCCAGCAGACCAAAAGAGGGCCAATGAGGGAGACTTCTAGAGCCCAGAGGCCCCAGCCTGGAATGCTGCATTTCCCCAGGGAACACGGGTTAGGTCCTGGAGTGTCACCAGACTAGTACCACACACAGAGGTGTAATGAGGAAAATGGGCTTTTTATGAGCCGAGCCACCATTTACAACTCTATTTCCACGTGAAAATACAGAATCCCAAATAATCAGCTTGCAAGCGTTTTAGAATACCAGACTTTCAAGAGGTGGAGGCTGGCCCCACACCCTCCCTTCTGATATGCTGTTGTGTGTTTCACGCACACAGAAACTCTGTAGAGCCCCAAGGTTAACGTCTTCCCCTTTCAGCCACACTTTTGGAACATCCTGCGTAGATAGAGATCATTTTTGGTTTTCAGTTCCCTTTGGTCTCTGAGGATCACGCTCCAAGGCGTCAGGGACAGGAAAGAGGCTCGCTTATTCTCAGGCATATTTTGAGGCTCCACTTTCCTGCCTCTCTGGGCAGCCACGTGCAGCCCTTAGCTTACCAGGGTGGACTCTCTGGACTCTCATTTCTCACACTTGTTTTGGCGGTGATGCCACTATATTTACTGCTAACTATAGTACCACTATAAATAATAACATAAATATTATAATGATAAATAGTGTTGGAGCAATGCCTTTTTTTTTTTTTTTTTTGAGACAGAGTCTCCCTCTGTCACCCAGGCTGGAGTGCAGTGGCGCGATCTCGGCTCACTGCAAGCTCCGCCTCCCGGGTTCACGTCATTCTCCTGCCTCAGCCTCCTGAGTAGCTGGGACTACAGGCGCCCGCCACCACACCCGGCTAATTTTTTGTATTTTTAGTAGAGATGGGGTTTCACCATGTTAGCCAGGATGGTCTCGATCTCCTGACCTTGTGATCTGCCCGCCTCGGCCTCCCAAAGTGCTGGGATTACAGGTGGGAGCCACCGTGCCCGGCCAGAGCAATGCCTTTTTATTGAACTCCTGTCGGAGACACCAAAGAGCTTTTGTCACCTTTTCCTGGGAAACACAAGGGGAATTACCTGTCATGGCTATGCCCAACTGACTGGATTAAACTTTCAGAAAGCAGCCAAGTGCGGTGGCTCACACCTGTAATCCTAGCATTTGGGATGCCGAGACAGGTGGATCACTTGAGGTCTGGAGTTCAAGACCAGGCTGGCCAACATGGTGAAACCCCGTCTCTACTAAAAACACAAAATTAGCTGGGTGTGGTGGCGCACGCCTGTAGTCCCAGCTACTCAGGAGGCTGAGGCAGGAGAATTGCTTGAACCCGGGAGGTGGGGGTTGCAGTGAGTGGAGATGGCGCCACTGGGTGGGTTCCAGCCCGGGTGACAGAGCCAGACCCTGTCTCAAAAACTTTCACAAAGCAAAGTGCTCAGGGCTGGAATTCCTTGGCGGCTCAGGTTTACGGAGTGGGGCCACCGTAGATTTTCCACTCTGCCTTGCTCAGGTTATGCAGCCTGGGAAGTGTGAGGGAAGACTGACCAAATGTGTTGCTGACTAAGAAGGCACTCGGCTATTCTGAGTCCCCAACCCAGGAAGCCTATTTGGTGGGCACCACCAATGCCATGCTCCTGGCCTGGGGCAGCCTTGGCACTGCAAGGCTGAGGTCCAGTCTAAAACCTCGGGCGATGACAAACACCATGGCCCTGACAGGGGTCCCAGCTGGCTGGTGTGCAATACTGCAGACATGCAAGCAGCTGTCATGACAGGGTGAGGCTGGTCCGGCAGGCCCAGTCTAGCATACACATAGTGGGGCTGGGAGACACCTGGTGCTACACAGACTTAATGCAGAGATAAAGCTCCAGGTTGGGAGGAAAAGTGAAGGCAAAAAACCAAACAAATGCATGTAAGAATTACAATCTAAAACACACAAACACACACACACACGCGCGCTGGGAAACCTCACTCTAAAACACACACACACACACACACACACACACACACACGCGTTGGGAAACCTCGCAGGTTCCAAAGTTCCTAAGCAAAGCAGAACCAAGCTGATGGTGGACTGGTCAGGCAAACCAAGAACCTATCAACATGAAACTCAGAGAAGCAGAGAGAACAGGAAGACGGCTGCTCAGAAGGGCAGGGGCTGGCGTCCCTGCACCTCCATCTCACAACAGCAAGAGGCCACCTCCAGTCCTTCATGTTACATTTCTAAACCTTTTGTGTTCTTTAAATTTCCTTTGAGACATATAAATCAAGAGATGAGGTCCCCGAAAACTAGAAATTATGTGTGTGTATTTTCAATCAGTTTTAGAAGAAATGTGGTTTTCTTCTAGATTTCCAGTCATCTGTCTGTTCTAGTGCAATAAAGCAGGCTGGGCCGGCCTGTTCAGGGTCCCAGGGCAGAAGAAAGAAGGGGAGTGGCCACCTGGGGACCCTTCCTCTCTGGTCCAAGGGTTGTTTTGAGTCTTTTTAATGATTTCTTTGGAAATCACAAAGTCCAGCTATGTGAGGAAGGGAAATCTTCATTCTTTATACTCTGTGGCTGAAAAAAGGAACTTTCAGAGCCTTTAGGTAGTTCACTGAGAGCCACTGAAAGAGCCTGGAGCGTGACACACAGAGCACAGGGCAGGGGTAGGAGTCGGCCCCTCTGGACAGGAGGTGGCATTCCCAATGCTCCGAGGGCTGCTTGGAGCTTTGCTCTGCCCATGGGAGAAATGAGACGGGTGCTATGGCACAGAAATGGGGCTTCGGGGTGGCCTTTTGGGGATGCAGGCACAGAGGGGCAAGGGCAACCAGGTTTTACATATGAGGCTCCAGATCTCAAAAGGGTGATTTTCCCTCCAATTAACGAATATTACTAAGTGCTCTAAGAATGACACAAGAGCAGAAACAGAAAAGAAACCTAATTCTGGCATTGCCGTCGTCCTCACGGGCGTGGCGAGAACAGGGCCTAAAGTCCACAAGAGACTCCCTGCAGTGGGGAACGTCCCCTTCAAGCAGCAGCCCCCACGTGGTGGGCAGAACCCGAGAAGTCTTGAATTTACGCAGCATAATGGTCTGGGAAAGGGGAAGTGATGAGCTGATGAGCCCACCTTCAAAGGGTTATGAGTGTCAGTGGTGGGGCACTGTGTGATTCACAAGGCATCCTGAGTTTCCTTTTTCTTTTTTTTTTTTTTTTTTTTTTGAGACGGAGTCTCGCTCTGTCGCCCAGGCTGGAGTGCAGTGGCGGGATCTCGGCTCACTGCAAGCTCCGCCTCCCGGGTTCACGCCATTCTCCTGCCTCAGCCTCCCAAGTAGCCGGGACTACAGGCGCCCGCCACTACGCCCGGCTAATTTTTTTGTATTTTTAGTAGAGACGGGGTTTCACCGTTTTAGCCGGGATGGTCTCGATCTCCTGACCTCGTGATCCGCCCGCCTCGGCCTCCCAAAGTGCTGGGATTACAGGCGTGAGCCACCGCGCCCGGCCTCCTGAGTTTCCTTTTTCTATTTATTTCATTTCCCCCTGGAACTTGCTGGAATTCTAAATCCAAAAAGCTAGTAGCTGCAGTCCGGGAACCCAGAGGAGAAAGCAGCTCACTACCTCTTCTCACTCGAGCAAGGGCGGGTAAAGAAAGCAGGAGATGCGGGCTGGGCGCGGTGGCTCAGGCCTGTAATCCCAGCACTTTGGGAGGCTGAGGCGGGCGGATCACCTGAAGTCAGGAGTTGGAGACCAGCCTGGCCAACATGGTGAAACCCCGTCTCTACTAAAAACACAAAAATTAGCTGGGTGGGGTGGTGGGTACCCGTAATCCCAGCTACTCGGGAGGCTGAGGCAGGAGAATCGCTTGAACCCGGGAGGCGGAGCTTGCAGTGAGCCAAAATCGCGCCACTGCATTCCAGCCTGGGCGACAGAGCGAGACTCCATCTCAAAAAAAACAAACAAACAACAACAACAACAACAAAAAACCCAAAAAACAAAGAAAGCAGGAGATGCGATGGTGTGTTACCGGCATCTTGAACTGGGAGGGAAGTGTGGATACAATCCTAAAGAAACGCGTTCTGACGGCCCCTTCCAGGAGATTCTGAATGTAAACAATTTTTTTTTTTTTTTTTAAGAGACAGGGTTTTGCTTTGTTGCCCAGACTGGAGTGCAGTGCTGCGATCACAGCTCACTGCAGCCTCAAACTCCTGGGCTCATGTGATCCTCCCACCTTAGCCTCCCTAGTAGATGGAACTACAGGCACGTGCCACTATGCCCAGCTAATTTTTAAAATTTCTTTATAGAGACGGGGTTTCACCATCTTGCCCAGGCTAGTTTCAAACTCCTGGGCTCAAATGATACACCTGCCTTGGCCTCCCAAATTGCTGGGATAACAGGTGTGAATTTTTTCACACAGTGAAATTCACTTAGAATAGACATAAACACTCCCGAGGTGGTGTTAGGAGAAGGCAAGAGGCATTAGATGGGAAAAGCGTCTGTTAATTGGAATGTAAGCACCGGCCCTTCTGCAGCACCAGTGGTCGTTGAGTGTGGAGGTCTCTGAACACACCAGAAGCCCTGGGACACTGAGGGAGTCTCCAAGGGCGTGGGTCCGTGGGAGCGTGGGACTGGAGAACACAGGAAGCACAGACAGCAACAGTCTCTCTTCCCAGGGAGGTGAGAGCCCCGCCTTGGACGTGGCACTGTCTGATAGGTGGAATCACAGAACTATGACATTGGTTTTTAAATGAATGGGCCAAGAAGTGACCCTCTTAAAGGAATGGGGTCAGGGTAAAACACGAGACAATTATCTTTGCCATTCTTCTGTTTGAAGACCACCTCTAGGCATGGAGCCTCCACGGGGAGATGAAGGGGGTAGACTGCCAGATCAAGGACACACGGACAGGGAGGAGGAGCCACAGTCCCCAGGATTCCCCTCAACAGAATGACAGCTGCCCAGGAGAAAAGCTGCCTGAAGCTTAGAAATGAGACATGGGGGTCAGCCATTCCTCTGAACTAACACAAATGGCAAGATGCCAAACATACTGCAACCTCTAAGCTAGTGGTTCTCCTGCTCTAGAGGGCATCAGAACCCACTGGAAGGTCTGTTACAGCAGATAACCAGGCCTCACCCCAGAGTTTCTGATTCTGCAGGTCTGGGGCAGGGCCTGAGGCTGTGCCTTCCTAACAGGCTCCTAGGTGATGTTGCTGCTGGTCCAGGGACCACACTTTGAGAACCACGGCCTGGAGCTTTTCCTGTCTTCACTGAAAAGAAGTACAAAGTGAGCCCCAGGACAGAGCAAGGAGGGAGGGACGTTGTTATGGGCACCCGTCAACCTGGCTTTGAGTTTGGTGACTCCGGGCAGAAATCACTACAGAGAAGCCTTTCCCTCGCACTCAGCTCTTCTGGGAGAAACGAGACCACGACCCAGTGAAAATGGTCGGGCTGAGATCTTGGCATGTTTGCTTCTTTGCGTAAGTGTGGCAGGCAGTGAGCTCCCTAGCAGATATGATTCCTACAAGCAGTGAGGGATGAGATTCAGGGCAAAAGCTGTGTTGGAGTGTGTGTATTTAGGGGACCAGGACGCAGATGCAAGGCTGGTGGAGTCGGGTGGGCAAAGTTTTATTATAAAAAATTAAAAACGACCCCAGGCAGCAAAAGCAAGCTCAGATCTTCCTCTGGAGCACATGTGGGCAGCGGGGAGATCAGCACGCTGCTCTGTTTTGAGCTGGAAAAGGGTCTGTGCTTTTGCCATTTGGTTATTGGGTTGATTTCTCCTTGTTTTTGTGAGCAGGGACTGGGAAGCGTGGGTGGAGAAAGGGCGTCAGCGGGGTTAGTGTCAGCACAGGCGCTGCCATACATACCACCCAGATGCAAGTCGATGAGGTCACTGTAATAAGACTCTCCCCAATAGTCTACAACAAGGAATCGGTGAAGAGAGAGTTATTCCATCAGGTAGTCCTCCTGTCCCCCCATACCCAATCAATGATATGATATGGAGCAATCAATGATATGGAGCGCAAGAAACACAGACACAGCGAGGCGGCAGAGGAACGGCTGGAAGGCATGCGTGCCTAAGTGCATCACATACTGCATGTCCACACATGCCGTATCTGCATACTGCGTGGCTGCGGGAGGAGGGCGGTAACTAAAACTCACTGTGGGGAGTCAATGGTCACTATCAACATGATCCCACGTACACCAGGGATCAGCCAGGACAGAGGCTTTGGCTTTGCTGGGAACTCCTGCCCCTGGGACTGAACCTTCTCTAACTAAGAGTTAATAGAGCGGGGCTGCCTGCGTGTCAGTTGCTGATACTGGAAGCCCCAGGCTGAGGGCCTGGAGGCAGGAGGCAAACGTCCTACAGAAGCTCTGAAATCCTTAGGTTTCGTGCAGTCAGTGCTCTCCCAGGAATTCCCACGACCCCACTGCTGACTCTATCAAATGCCTTGCAGACCCACTTTTGCCGAATGGGTTTGAGAGAAAGGGGATCCTGTTTCGAGGCTTAGGCCTCCAAATTCAGTCGGCCTTCTTAACAACAGGAAACGAGCAGAGACTCATGCAGAGTTCTTCCCCCAGGCACTCGGCCGAAGGCTCCTGGAGGTGTGCTGGCCTGGGGCACTCCTAGCCTGGTAGTTCCACAGCTGTCTGGCCAAGAGCGCTATGTAATTTCCACGCCTGAGATGCAGACTGGGCACTGCCGAGAGGCTGGGCTTGAGCAGGCGGTCCTCATCTCCCCAGAATCATAAAGACACACAGAGCACAGCACTCGGCCGCCATGGTGTTGCCCTCTCTCCAAACCCCGCATTCTGAATGCAGATCCTCACAGCCTCCGGTCCCACCTGAGGGCCTCCCCTTGAGAGTGACACAGCAGACACAGTGGTAGAATGCGGTCCTGCCCCAGTTTTTCAATGCATGCTCAAGGCTGAGTCAGTGTTTTTGTAACAAAAAGGCTTCCCAGGTGCCCCAGGACTGGAAATTACCTAAGTTGTGGCCTGGCCCTAGGATCAAAGGTGCTGAAGCTAATCCTTGCAGCCTGGCCATACGTCGTCATACCTTAGACAAACGGAGAACGGGATGGCAGGTCCATGCTAGAGCGCTTCTCTGGAAAGGCAGCTTGGCTAACAAAGTCTGACGCCCTCAGACGGTGATGGAAGCTGGAGACCCCCAAGTGAGATGATGGCAGGTTCCAGCCAGTTTACTACAGTCCCCAGGGAAGGGCAGACTGCCATGATGAGAAGACTCCAGATTATTATCATGCCCAGCTGCCACTGCCTTCTTCAGGGCTCAGCCAGGTGCCACAAGACTAAGAAGAGGAACGGGACGCAGAAGCAGGAGAGAAAGCAGCAGCAGCACGCACACCTGGGCTTCAGAGACGGCATCGGCCAAGGAGGGGCAGGGCCACGGGGAACTGTGATGGGAGACCAGCTTGGAAGGGATGTATTCACGTAAGAGAAGGAACATATTTGGAAATTCTTATATTCTTATGGTAGGAACCATAATTCCTGAAAATTCCAGAGAGTTTCTCAAATGCATCACAACGAAATATCCCAACAGAGCTACTAAGGCCCATCTTGAAAAACAGAACAGAAACATCTTTGGATAGAGATATCTGCTGAAGACTCATCTAAAGGAAGGAGTTTGCACTACGACAGTGGTTTTCAAGCCTCTGTGGAACCCTAAGGTTCTTCCAAAGGCATTCCAAGGGGTCTCCCAAATACCTGATGTACAAATACTTGTAGCTCTTTCAAGAGCCCTTATTAAAATAAGACACACCACCTTCAAATGTTTTTGTTTTTGAGACAGAGTTTCGCTCTTGTTGCCCAGGTTGGACTGCAATGGCGTGATCTCGGCTCACCGCAACCTCCACCTCCCAGGTTCAAGCGATTCTCCTGCCTCAGCCTCCCGAGTAGCTGGGATTACAGGCATGTACCACCATGCCAGGCTAATTTTTTGTATTTTTAGTAGAGACAGGGTTTCTCCATGTTGGTCAGGCTGGTCTCAAACTCCCGGCCTCAGGTGATCCGCCCACCTCGGCCTCCCAAAGTGTTGGGATTACAGGCGTGAGCCACCGCGCCCGGCCCAAATGTTTTATATGCCAACTTTTCACCCACTGGAGACCATCAACCCAATAATTTGTGCTGCCAGGTGAGCTTGATTTTGTGGAGCCCTCAGGATCAAGTTTCCGCCTCTCTCTGTGTGTAAGTGGCTGAACTCCCTGTAAATGTGTTAGTGAAGAGGACATTTTATTCATTTGTTTATTTAAATTCTGGCCTGCAGCATAGTGCTCACCTGCCACCGTTCAGGGTCTGTCCGGGAGAGCTACAGCTCACTGACAGCACGCACGCCTGTCAGCGAGTCCCTTTATGTAGGTGGGTAACACGTTTTGCTGCGGTATTACAGCATGGCTGGGTTTTTGTTTACTTTGTTTGGGAGCCTCTTGTTTGAGACTTGCTTGTCATGAGGAATAGGAACTGCTGTTAGATTTGCTGTGATCCAACTGTGGAAAAAAAAAAAAAAAAGCTCTTGCCTCATTTTAAACTTCTAGTGTCTACATCATTTAAACTGCAGAAATCCTGAGATTTCCAAGTAAGCTGTTAAAAAAACCAAAAACCAACCAAATAAAAAAAACCATGTTGTCACTTATAGCAACTACAGTTCTTGTGTGTACTGGCTGGATGCCGGGGCTTGGTCATGTCCACCACTCTCTGCTATAACCTGTGTTTTCAAATCTGTGTTAATTATTAACATTTGAGAGTAATTCTTTTTGATTTTAAACTTGAACTTATCATCTTGTGAAAAGAGGTCTGCTGCTAGTTTTTTGAAAACCACTGACTTAGACGGCATTTGGGTTGTGTATGTTTGAGGAAATGTGATTATCTAATGACTAGAAGAAATAATTCTGGCAAAACCCTAACGCCAATCTTCAGTGGTATATTATTTTCCGGCCCTTTGGCAGAAGCTTGAATAACAGGGCCCGTGACAGGGGCGTCGAAGCACTGTTTTACACTCAGACTTCACGGAGGCCACAGGCGCTCAAGTGCTTTACGGAAACCACCAACCTTGATGGCACCACCACCTCAACCTCATGAGTAAGGAGGGCAGGGAGCTGTCTTCTTCCTGAAGGGCTTAAACCATGAAATGCGGTTATTCTGTCTGTGTGTTGAGATCTAATCCACTGCTTTCCATCTTGGCAGAAGTGATTTGTGGAGAAGGGCAAGAAGGAATGAAGATGAGCCTAGGCTCTCTCCTGATATCTTCTGCAAGAAGAGAAATGGCACGAGGGCAGGGCCCCATAGGCCCGGACGCAGTCGGGCACAGGTGGGCTGGGGCCAACTCCATCTGGGCTCAGGCTTAACTGAGGAGGCCAAATCAGAGTGCGCAGAGCAGGGCAGGGGGGCAGGGGCACCGCAGGTTCGCTGGGAAACCTCAGACCTTCTTAGGTGAACCCAAATCTCCTTGCTGTGCTTGTCTCACAGTAACACATCCCAGTCGTCTCAGCCTATCGGATGCTAAGTGCTTCAAGTTTTTGCATTTCCTTTGGTAGCCTGGACTTCATGCATTAACAGCATCAGGTGAGCCCAAACCAAGAACATCCACATCCTCACCTTTCTCCCCATCCCATCTCTTTGACTGAAGGTCATCACTGAGTAGCCCTATAAGCTGCAATTTCCAGGCCTTAAAGGGCCTGGGAAAGGAGACCTACTTCCATTCTGGACTCCCTCACTCCCCACCACACAAACTTCAGTCCTACAGGCCACAGGAATTCATCTTGACACCAGGCACTTCCCATGAGCCCATGGGTCAGTCTTTGAGCAAGATCAGATGGCAGCAGCTGGCCCTGCTCCTGGCCGCCTCCTCCCAGTTCGTCCATTTCACAGAGAGCCTGCCTGTCAGCAGAGGCACCCTGCTCCCCTCTGCCACACTAGAGTGAGGAAGTAAGAGGATACTCCTTTTCTTCATCCCCAGCTCACAATTTAAACGCTGAACCTGCAGGCTATAAAGAGACGGAAGTTCCCCCATCCAGAGACTAGACGAAGATTTGTGGATGTTTGAGAAGGCAGAGTGGCCACTGCACCCCCGGGGCTGGTCCTGCAGCTTCAAGGTCCTGAACCAATAGGACTTCCTGGGCCGTGGGGCCAGAGATGCCTCAGGCACTCCCTTGCATTCTCTGTGCCCAACTATGCTGAGCGCAGCCGCGCAGGTTCCCTGGATGGAATGGCAGGAATGAGCGCACCACATTCTCCAGGGCTTCCCTGCCAGGAGCAGCAGTCACGAGCACAGGGCCCTGCCAGCCACTCCCCGGAGTCTGCTCCACGTCGGCTGGTCACATACCCTGAGCCTCTCCAGCCCTGCCCTAAGTGACCAGCCTTCAGCAGACACAGGGCCTGGGTGCCCTCTGGAAATCTGTGTGTGCCGAGGGTGGCCACATGCTCCCCGACCAGCGGTGTTGAGGGCTCTGTGGGCAGGAGGGTCCCAGGGAACTAACGACATGAGGGGGTCTGGGGGTGCAGGCTGGGGACCTGCTCAGTGCAATTCTGTGATGGTTCCTTGCGGTTCAATCTCCCTCACTCCCAGTTATTCCCTCCTAGAGTAAATGGTGGGGTGGGAAGGAGGGGGAAGAGCCAGCGCTCGCCATCAGCATGCCGGGGACTGAGTTTCACTCTATGGGAAATGGCAGCCCAGAGGGGCTGTGGAGCAGGATGGGCCTGGGGCTGTCTCAGACAGGTATTTTCTTTTGCTTAACAGGAAGCCCCAAATCTCAGAGATGAAGGGCCCCAGAAAATCCTGCTGGAAAAGGAGCTGAATTCCAGGTGAGGTGAAGCAAAACTAGCCTACCACGGCGGGAGGGAGGGCTTCCTCCAGGAGCAGAGCTTAGGAGGGAGCCCGGCAGTACCTGCTTCGCCCCGGAGCGCCTTCTCCACAGCCACGCCCCTTTCCTCCAGCCGCCGCTGCCTCTCCTCCACCTGCTGCAGCTGCCGCTGGATGATCTATGACAGACAGCACAGACTGAGCACCCGGCTCTCCAGCCCTGCTTCAGGAGGACACACAACTCCACACCCACACGAGGGGAAACACAGGAGTTGCCGCTCTGGAAAGGGCTCTAGTCTGTGGGCGGTGCGCTCAGGGTGTGGCGTGGAGACCACCTGCACCAGAACCACCTAGCTTGTGTAGACGCCAGGCTCCGGGCCTTGCTAGTTAGCATCAAAGCGCGTGGACGTGACTCAAGTAGTGACCACCCTCCCAGGAGTGTTGCAGAGACAGGAAGTGGATGTAATCTGTGGCAGGAGGGGCCTGAGTACCAGAACCTCAGACTGTTCTCACGGCAAGACTGCTAGAGTGCTGGAGGGGGTTCCTGAAGAGTGCAGTGGAAATCCCATCTTTACGATAAAAATTTAAAACAGAAGGCCAGGCACGGTGGCTCATCCGTGTAATCCCAACACTTTGGGAGGCTGAGGTGGGCGGATCACAAGGTCAAGAGATCAAGACCCTCCTCGCTAGCATGGTGAAACCCTGTCTCTACTAAAAATACAAAAATTAGCTGGATGTGGTGGCACAGGCCTGTAATCCCAGCTACTCGGGAGGCTGAGGCAGGAGAATCGCTTGAACCAGGGAGGCAGAGGTTGCAGTGAGCTCAGCGCCACTGCGCGTCCAGCCTGGCCACGGAGTGAGACTCCGTCTCAAACAAAACAAAACAAAACAAAACAATAGAAATCTACAGTGGTCTAGATTCAGGGTCTGTGCAGCCTGAAAACAAGCTGGAGAATGGGAGGAGAGCTCTGACCTCTGACCTCTTCCCACAAAAATCCCAGGCCTATCAGAGGCTGAGGGGCCACAAATGGACTCCTGGTGACAGTCCTCACAATTGAATGAGGTGACTTACAATGATTATTCTACAACAAGGGATTCGGGAAACTCAATGCAGGGTTCTTCCTTTTTTTTTTTATTTTTATTTTTATGAGATGGAGGCTCGCCCTCTCACCCAGGCTGGAGTGCAATGGTGCAATCTAGGCTCACTGAAATCTCCACCTCCTGGGTTCAAGCGATTCTCGTGCCTCAGCCTCCCAAATAGCTGGGATTACAGGGGCCCGCCACTATGCCTGGCTATTTTTTTTTTTTTTTTTTTTTTTTTTGAGACAGAGTCTCTCTGTGTCGCCTAGGCTGGGGTGCAGTGGCACAATCTCGGCTCACTGCAAGCTCCACTTGCTGGGTTCATGCCATTCTCCTGCCTCAGCCACCCGAGTAGCTGGGACTACAGGCACTTGCCACCACGCCTGGCTAATTTTTTGTATTTTTAGTAGAGACGGGGGTTTCACCGTGTTAGCCAGGATGGTCTCAATCTCCTGACCTTGTGATCCGCCCGCCTTGGCCTCCCAAAGTGCTGAGATTATAGGCATGAGCCACCGCACCCAGCCAATTTTTGTTTTTTTAGTAGAGACGGGGTTTTGCCATGTTGGCCAGGCTGGTCTCGAACTCCTGACCTGAAGTGATCCGCCTGCCTCAGCCTCCCAAAGTGCTGGGATTACAGGCATTGAGCCACCACGCCCAGCCTGCTCTTCCCTTTTGACTGACAGCTCCACCAAGGCAGGGCCTCTGTGGCTGCACCAGCCAAAGGTGACCTGGGTGGCAGGGAGGCCCGTCTACCTCTGCTCTGCTCTGCACTGTGCTTGTGTGGCAGGGAGCAGCTGGGTGGATAGGGAGATGCTGCCCAACCCTCCCATGCATGTGCCCTGGTCCCATCCTCCATGGTTTTACCTGGGCTCGATGCAGCCGCTTAAGCTCCTCCTGCTTGGCCTGTCTCCGAGCTGCCTTTTGCACACGCCGGGTCAGCTTGGCATTCAGTTCCTCCTCCGTGTAGGTTCTTGGCTGGAGAGAACAAGAGAAACTTCCTCAGTCAGGTGCACGGAGGCCTGGGACAGGGGTGGGCAGCAGGCCAACAGGGGCCTGGAGAGGTCTGTCCCCCATGTCGGAGCTGGTACCCGGGCAGATAGGACAAGCTGTCCTCTGTAGAGTAGAGTGCTAGCAGGACGGGGGTGCTGATAGGCAGAAGGCATGAGGTCTGCAGAGTCCCCAGCCTGCAGCAGCCCTCAGTGCCACGGGCACACCTAAGATCCACAGAGTGAGACATTTCCCCACCTCTGCACAGGGACAGGAGGCTGAGTGGGGACCGACTGTTAGGCAGTTAAAACAATAAAGGGACACACGCTCCTTTATCACTGAGATCACCTGCTTCCCAAATAAGGATGTCTGGTCATTTTAAAACTTTGTGGGAGTAAAAACATTGGTAGGCTGTTTCACCAAGCCTCCTGCTTCTAGGAGGCTTACAGGGGAAGCAAAGAGAAATCGGGATCCTTTTATTTTCCTGTTTGGTATCAAAGGTCACTTTCTTCAGAAGAGCAGTATCCATGAGAGTCTTCCAAGAAATGACACCCAAGTAGAGAGAACAAGGATGTTTCTCTTTTAAGTCAAGTACAGTCTGAAGAAGGAATTGTGGAGGTGAACCTGGACTGACTCTGGGGTCTGCAGAGGCAGCCGCTGGCCGCTAGGAAGAAGAGAGGTTGTGGCCTGGCCAGGGCTGTTGCGCCTAGCGCCATCGAGAACAGAAGAGGCAATGGCCCAATCCAGTGCAAGTCCACGGACTGGACAGCCACAGCCCCCTGCCTACGTGGGTGCCAAGGGCTCAAGGGAGCATCAGATGCTTTGAACAAACCATGGGCAACAAGAGGGGCAAAGATTGGGGATTTGCCTTTATTCATAAGACCCTCTTTATTGCCTCTAAGAAAATGAAACAAGGAGACTATATAAAAGTTCTTTTTTGAGAGAGGGTCTCATTGTCACCCAGGCTGGGGGGCAGTGATACGATCATGGCTCACTGCAGCTTCAAACTCCTGGACTCACGTGATCCTCCCGCCTCAGCCTCCCGAGTAGTCAGGACTATAGGCGTGTGCCACCTCGCCCGGACAATTAAAACAATTTTTTTTTGCAGAGACGGGATCTCGTTATATTGCCCAAGCTGGTCTTAATCTCCTGGGCTTAAGTGATTCTCCCACTTCAGCCTCCCAAAATGCTGGGATTACAGGTGTGAGCCACCATACCTGGCCAACAAGAAAACTTTTATAGACTTCAAAGAAGACAAACATGACTTGGGGTCTATACTCATAATCTTCACTCGAAGAGCTCAAATGACAGAGGGTCCCCTGAACAGTCAGTCCCTAAGGGTCATCAGTGGTGTTTCAGCGCTGCACCTTGCTGATCAGAGCTGAGGGCTGCTGAACTGCCCCTCTCTGGGGTGCCCAGCCCCACAGCGGCAGCTGTGTCCCGACCCGAGGAACCTGGAACAAAATGACCACATGCACTCCAGCCGGTGAGGAGCAGGTGTCTCATCCTCCTTCCCACTCATGACGTGGCTAACGGAAGTACTGCTGCCAGTGTGTGCCACAGCCCCATGCACGCACAAACACAGTTAGTGAGGATGTGGCTGGAGGGCCGGGGCCGGCGCCGGGTGGTTAATCACAGACATGCATGCAACGGTGACCAGCTGACAGGAACGAGACACTACCTTTGATGCACATGATCTCCTGAATGCCAAGGCGTGTGGTACATAAATTGACTTTTAAGCGGATGGCATCAGAAAACAAAACAGAATAGTAATAATAATAATGATTAACAAATTAAAAATTAAGAACACAGAAATGGAGCAAAATAAGTTAGAAGTTGAAAACAAACACACAAGACTTAAAACACGAGATTATTTTTCACGAAGTCACACAGGACTGCCTAGGTAGGAATCTGGGTGTGAAGATCCTAGCGGCGGCGTCTGAGTGGACCTGGTTTTGAATACGGCCGGGGTTCACTCTTTTATTGGGAAGAAACAGCTTCTTCCTCACCACCCCCAAAACTCGCCTCATCTCACTGTCCCTTGTGTAAAGTTAAAGCCGTTAAAATATGTGATTCTAGATGCTTTTCTCCTTGAGTGACCATGTGCTTGTGGAAATTCAGCCCACTTCTTCCTGCTGAATGCTCCGGGGGAGTAGAAGTGGGGTGCGGGAGGAAAGGGGGTCCTGCTCTCAGAGACAGACGCAGCAAAACTGGGAGGGAAACCACCCATCTCTCCCAAAAGGCCCTCCGCTGGCAGTGTTCCTGTGTGCCACCCAGCTGCCATTTCTTGATTGTGCCCAGTAAAGGGAATTGAACTACCATCAGTAAGTGCTGTTCACCAAAAGCACGTCAGGCAGCAGCAGGAGCCTCTTCTCATTCCATCACACCTTGTGCAGAGCCGCTCTGAGGGTCAAGGTGAGTCACATCTGCTCTTGTGGTCTCACCAGCCATATTAAACGGCTGAAAGGCATTAGGGAAACCAGGGTGTGTGGTGGCGCACAAGACAGGGAAGTCCTGAGAATTCCAGGCAGGCTGCAACCACAGCCGCGCTCCCTGTTGCTCCATCCATCCCATCTGTGGGGCGGCCTTGTGCGGAGCTGTGCTTCCCAAGCCTACAGGCGAGGGAAGAATAAATTTGCCTCCTTCAACTTTGAGCACTTGTGTCCCGCCTGCCTCAGGTGGACCCACCTCTCCCACAAATCAGAGCAAGAGAATGTTGTTATGAGAACAAGCCGGTTCAGAAAAAGAGACAGATGATTTCCCGAAGCGGCTGCAAAAAGCCCACAGGAACTATGGACCACACCCTAAGGAACAGCACTAACATCTTCACCTATGGCTGATGTCAATAGCAATGGGGGGCAGTGGCTGCCTTCCCACAATCTACCCATTTTCTGGGCTGGGAGGGGTGAAGTCACCACCCGTCCCTGTGTGCCTGAGGTGGTGGTCAGCCACAGGAGCTGACATTCTGCTGTGAATCTGGATGCGGGGTGGCAGGGTACCCAGGCCACACCCTGGTGGGCTGCAGGGCTCAAGAGGCAGCTGCGTTGCTTGTATTTAAAGTCAAATGGGAGCAATTAGAAAAGAGGTAAACGCAAGTTCTCTCTTGTAGGTCGGGCTACAGGTGACTTTTTAAAAGTCTGAATTATCCTAAATTTTCTATAATAAACATTTTAAATAAAAAATAAGTATTTTGACTGGTTTAAAAGTTTATAACAAAACAAAACCCAGGCTCTTGTTTCACAGATGCTGTGAGGCGGGAGGAGGCGTCTGCTGCTGGAGTGGCCCCAGGATCCTGGCCTGGCAGAAGGGGCTTCCTTCTTCCGAGGCAGGTCAAACCCCATCCTCACTTTAGAGCCCCTGTTCCCCACACTTACTTTGAAAGATTTAAACCCACAGGAAAGTTGAAAGAGGAAGACAATGAACACCCACATGCCTCTCACCTGTGTCTGCCAAAGGTTACCATTTTGCCACACGCTTCATCTATATGTCATCTTTTATATGACCTTTTGTAATGAATCATTGGTAGATACCACGACCCTTCGTCCCTAAACGTTTTAGGATGGACTTTCTAACAACTCAGACATTTTCCTATATAACTTTCCTACATAAAAGTACATTAACAGTGCCTTTATCACTTGCAAGGAACTTAACAATTTGATAATATTACACATTTATACTATCATCCAGTCCTCAGTTGAATTTAATTGTTCCCAAAATGTCCTTTATGGCTGTTTTTGTTTGGTTTGTTTTCCTCTTTAGCATCCATGTCTTGAATAGGCACAGCACCCAGCCCTCGCTCAGGCTGACTCCATACCATGCGGAAGTCAGGTCAGCTGCCCGTGGCTCGGTTGTCTCCCATGTCATCTGTCTCCTAGGTTGGCCTTCCCCTAGGTCATTCATCCCCTAGCCTGGCCGTCCCGTAGGTCATCCATCCCCTAGCTTGGCCATCCCATAGGTCATCCATCCCCTAGCTCGACTGTCCCGTAGGTCATCCATCCCCTAGCCGGGCCGTCCCGTAGGTCATCCATCCCCTAGCTCGACTGTCCCCTAGGTCATCCATCCCCTAGCTTGGCCGTCCCGTAGGTCATCCATCCCCTAGCTCGACTGTCCCCTAGGTCATCCATCCCCTAGCCTGGCCGTCCCGTAGGTCATCCATCCCCTAGCTCGACCGTCTCCTCGATCCTCAGCCGTCCTCTAGGTCGGCCATCCGCTAGCCTGTCTGTCCCCCAGGCTTGGCTTTGGCTTTAGTATTCCGTATGTGACGTCTAGCAAACGGCTTTGCCTCTGTGGGTGCCCCTAGAGCGTGAGGCCTTAGAGGCCGCCCTCTGGCTCTAGGGTTCCATGACTGGTGTCCATGGCTTGTTCCTGGGGTCCTGTTCCTGTTTCTCCCTTGCTCCTTGTATCTGCTGGGCCCTGGGGAGGCTCACCAAGTACCAGCCTTGGCACAGCCAACCCAGGCAGTAGGTGCTTCATGGATGGAGAAGCAGTGGGCATACTACCCACCACAGCAACGTGAGGGAGGTGGGTGGCCAAGCTGACACAATAGGTTGAATGTCCACACTGTCACCACTGAGGCAGTGAGCTTGGGACCACATTCTCCATTCTTTGCTGACCCCCTAAAGCAGCACCCATCACCAGTATTGGGATGTGTTTAGGGACCCACATAGAAACCCAGGGGAATTCTCAGCTCAGCCCCAGTGCAACTGGGAAAGCTCGACTGGAAGCCTTGATGAAGGCACACTCTCCCTGTCCCTGAGAAGGCGCAGATCCCAACCCTAACTCAGTTGCTGGCCTGGCTGGGGCACCAGGAAGCCTGGCTCTGTAGAGGGTGGAGCAGGAGGAGAGGCCTGGCTCTCTAGAGTCTTCTAGGAGAGGGGCCAAAGAGCCGGAAAGGCCAAGGGAGACGAATGCACCAAGGAGGGGATGCGAAATAAAGCGTCTGGTTTGCTGAGTTATTTAAAGAGGAACTGGATCAGGCTGCAGGAGCCATCTTCACCAAATGGGCACGTGACGGGCTCAGGCGCACCAAGGCCCGCCCTGACTGGGCTATTGGACGGCAGGAGAGGGCAGACTCAAGTCCAAGCCCTAGAAGCCTTGCAATGAAGGCATGCTACATTCTCGGGAAGCTTTTGACGCAAAAGGGAGGCAGGAAGCAGGAGACAGCCGGGTTGCCCCCAGCCAGGAGGAGGAGCACAGGCCCCAGGGCTGGACAGTGGAGGTGGGGTGACATGATACTCCGCAGAGCTCCGCCCACCCTGTATGCTGACAGGTGCCTGTTAGAGTGTGCTCTGATTCCTCTCCCTCCACCTTCACTGGATCCACCCAAAGTCCTGGGCTCTGGAAAGTGAGGGGCTGAGTCAGACCTAGCAGCCCTGCAGGTCAGTTCCTGGACCAGTCCTTTAAGACGACAAACCCTCCCTAACTATCAAACCCACCAAACGGGCAGGACCAGGCACAATGCTCTGTGCCTAAGGTCCCAGCTCCGCCAGCAGCCCTGGACTGCGCAGTGTTCTCCAGGCCCTGGGGCTGGTGGGCTGCTCCCCGCGGGATCACCTATGAAGAAAGACAATGCCAGGCTGCCTCCTCCAGAGAAGGGGAGTGTGACACAGGAATGGCTCCAGTCTTTTCTTCTTCACAAGAAATCAGAAGCCCTTGCTGTGGATGCCAACGGCCCTAGCTCCCATGTAGAAAGCCCAGCGTGACCGCCTCAGTGCATAGGGCTGGGTCAGCAGTCAGCTGGCTATGCGCCACTAGCTGTCCATCCCTGGCTTGCGGTTTGCTCTCCCTCTCCTCTACCCCACCAAAGCCCAACAATGAACAGACAGGGCCCCAGGCCCTGTGAAGCCCCCTGCCTGACTACCCACCTCTCGCCGGGACTTCTGTGAGGACTTCTCAAGGACATCGTCGCTGGAGAGGTCTGAGTCCTCGGAGAAGCTCAGCTGGCGCCGGAGCTGCAGCTCTGTGGAGAGAGGGAGGCCACGTGAGGACAGCGCCAGACAGCAGGCGCAGCCCTCTCCTGCTCCTATGCTCCCATGTGCAGCCAAGGAGGCCGGGTGGGGGGCTGGATTCATTTTAGTTTAAGGGATCCATCCCCCATCCTGGGGAGCCAGGAGCTGGGACACCAACCTTTGCCTGGGCAGGGCAGAGCTGACGCCAAGCGGGTGGCACCTAGGCCTGCCCAGCCCCTCCTGGTAGCACTGCCCTCTGCCCTGTGCACGAGTGGGCCCCTCTGGGGTCGTCTGACTTTAGGAAGGGCACAAACCTCCACAGTCTTCCTGGTCCGGTTTCAAGCTGGCTTTGAGAATTCTGTTACTAAGCTGGCTATGCCCTGTGAACCCATGGTTCAGTCCCTTCTCCAGGTCAGCACGGCTCCTGAGAACCCTCGGCGGGGAGCGTGTGAGTGTGGATCCTGAGAGCCCCAGTGACCCCAGCCCCTCCCGCACCCCTCCCGCTCTGCCTGCACGCGGACCCGGCTGCTGACGCACCTGCCCTTACGACGGGAAGCACCCTGTGCTTTCCAGAGTCCACCGTGGCCCCGCTGGAGGGGGTGCTGGGGCAGGACTTGTCGTCGGCCTTCTTCTTCTTGTCCTTCTTGTACCCGGAGAAGACGGACTTCCACAGGGACTTGGGTTTGGCGGCGGCTTCTTCTAGGAGGTTGGAGCTGGGCTTCTCCGGGGGCCGGCCCTCGCCTTTGGACTTCTTCTCCTTCTTGTTTCTGCGGGGGGAGAAGAGTGACGACCTCTTCTTGCTCTTCCCACTGGAGCCCTCGGATGAAGTGAAAGAGCCATCTGGGCCCCCTGAGTCCGACGGCGGGGAGAGGACCTCCTCGCTGGTGGCTTCATGCTTCAGGGTGGGCTCCTCGGAGCCCCTGAGAGTGGGGCGTGTGGGGGAGTCAGGCCGGCGCTCCTTGCCCTGGGAGGGTGCTGAGGACGCCTTGCGGGGCCTGGGGGCGCCTGAGGCCAGCTCCATCTGCTGCATCCTGCTCAGCTGCCTGGCCATGGCGTCCCGCAGCGCCTGGCTCTTCACGGACTTCTCCCTGGCTCGCATGCGCTCCTCGGCCAACTCCTTGGCTTCCGCGGACACCAAGGGCAGCCCCCTCTTCTGTGGCTGCAGCGTCCCCTCCAGAGCAGGCAGCCTCCCGTTCTCCTTGGCCAGGGGCGGGTGGCGAGGCTTCTCGGGGCGCGGCCAGCAGGACGGGGGCGTGAAGAATTTCTCCTGCAGGCTTGAGTCCTCAGTCTTGTCGTCATAGGTGTCCTCCACATCATCAGCAAAGGGAATCTCCTCCACGCTCTCCACAAACGACTTCCGCACCTCCTCTCTGGGGGGCTGAGCAGGCTCCCGGGGGGGCCGCATCCAGGTGGCGGGCAAGGGCGGCGGGACCACCGAGGCATTGGGCTCGGCCTCCCTGAGCTTCCTCCGCAAGGTGGCGGGCTCCTCGCCCGGGGGTGGCGGTGGGGGCGGGCTGGAGGGGGGCGTGAGCATGGCGGAGTCCGAGGTGTTGAAGCTCTGGCTGCCCAGTGTCTTCATGTTGGAGGAGCTCCCGTGCAGGCCCAGGCCAGAGCTGCTGGACAGCTCCCTGCGCTCCTCCTGGGCGCTGCGTAGCTCTCTGTCGGACGGGGACCGGGGGGTTGGCAGGGACAACGGCTCGCCTTCCGGCTTTGGCAGGCCCAGCCTTTTGGGGATGGACAGAGGCTTGAGAAGGTGGAGTCCCTCATCCTGGGGGGACTTTTCAACGGAATAGGATTTGAGGGACACTGGCCTGAAGGCAGGCGTGGGGAAGCTGGGCTCGGGCCCCTTGCTGCGGTCCACAGGTGTGAGCCCGAGGCTGCGGCGGATCTCCGCACTCTTCATCCAGAACTCCTCCACCAGGTCGCTCCGTCTGAGGGCCTCATCCACAGCAAGGGGGCTGCCCAGTCTGTCCTTGGTGTCACTTTGGCTTTGGACAGGGAGAGGGGCCAGTGGGGTGGATGTTTTGGCCGGGGCAGGCTGGAAGCGTATGGGGGACTGGGTAGGGGATGGGACAGTGGCCTCGGTGGAAGGCTGGGGCTGGGAGCAGATGGGGAGTGGGCTGGGTGGGGGCGTGGAGGCCGCCACGGGTGGCTGGGGCTGCGGGCTCCCTGGTGAGACAGGAGTCCTAGCTTCTGGCAGGGTCACTGGCTGTGATCGGATGGGAGAGTGCACAGCTTTCAGATCCGAGGGGGCATCAGCTTTGGGCTTCTCTTTGGGGAGCAAAGGCTCAGGGAAAAGGCGCTCCTCAGGTGATTTCTCCTGGGTGGCGGCAGGGACAGGTGGGAGTTGGGGCCCCTACAGGGAAGGAAGACAGAAGCCGCTGAGAAGGTGTGGGCTTTCACGACCAGCAGCATCCTCGGGGAGCCTTCTCACTCAAAGTGCCTGCACCTGTGCCTGCTGCAGGACTTCCCCGTCCTTCCAGCTGTTATTAGAACAGCTCCAGGAAAACCCTTTCCACTTTCTGCTCCAGGTGTTCAGTGTTTAGAACCTTAGAACCACTCTGCTTAGTTTAGACAAACTGGGTTTTCAGGATTTGGTTCATCTCAAATACATCCTATATTCTTTGTCCACTCACAGGAACACTGGCCAAAAGGACATAGAGGAATGCAGTTCTCACCCTCCAGGAGGCCCCAGAGCGCCAAGATCCCTGACGTACGTACAGAGGGGCCAGGACTGTAAGAAGACTTACCACAGCTATTTATCACGGTGCATTATGATCAAATTGTCCTCCCTAGGAAGCTCAAAGATGTGCAGAGATTCCTGCACCAGCCCTTATATCACCCCATCCAAGAGCCTCAAACAAAGCCTCCCCATTTCACAGACGGCTGAGCGCAGTGGCTCACACCTGTAATCCCAGCACTTTGGGAGGACGAAGTGGGCAGATCACGAGGTCAGGAGATCGAGACCATCCTGGCTAACATGGTGAAATCCCGTCTCTACTAAAAATACAAAAACAAAATTAGGCAGGTGTGGTGGTGGGTGCCTACAGTCCCAGCTACTCGGGAGGCTGAGGCAGAAGAATGGCGTGAACCCGGGAGGTGGAGCTTGCAGTGAGCCAAGATCGCGCCACTGCATCCTAGCCTGGGTGACAGTGAGAGACTCCATCTCAAAAAAAAAAAAAAAAAAAAAAAAAAAATCCAATCAGTGAACAGGCTAGGTACAGTGGCTCATGCTGTAATCCCAGCACTTTGGGAGGCTGAGGCAGGAGGATTGCTTGAGCCGAGGAGTTGGGAGGCTGCAGTGAGCCATGATCATGCCACTGCACTATTGCCCATGCCAGTCTGGGCAAGAGACTGAGACCCTGTCTCAAAAAAAAAAAAAAAAATCACTGAATAGTTCCATGCTTCCTAGAATCCCAAAGACTAAATCAAGCAGATGCAGGCCTTATATTCCAGCTTTCTCCCTGATCTGACCTGCAGACAGTATTTCCCAAACCATGTTCCACAGGACCTGCTGTCACAGTTGGCTTTGCAGCATTCTCCATGTGGTTCACACACCACAGGCTGTCTGCATGGACGCTGTAAATTTCTTTTTTTTTGAGACGGAGTCTCGCTCTGTCGCCCAGGCTGGAGTGCAGTGGTGCCATCTCGGCTCACTGCAAGCTCCGCCTTCCGGGTTCATGCCATTCTCCTGCCTCAGCCTCCTGAGTAGCTGGGACTACAGGCGCCCGCCACCACGCCCGGCTAATTTTTTGTATTGTTAGTAGAGACAGGCTATCACTGTGTTAACCAGGATGGTCTCGATCTCCTGACCTCGTGATCTGCCTGCCTTGGCCTCCCAAAGTGCTGGGATTACAGGCGTGAGCCACCGCGCCTGGCCAGATGTTGTAAATTTCAATGGTTATACATTTATTTTAACATAATGTTAAAAATGCATTTGTCATATCAAACCAACCATCCCATCGATATTATTGCTTTAATTTAAACAAATTTATTTTTAATAAAATATCAAATGTTTTATACCATTTATCATAAAAATTATATTATTTTTAATATATTATAAATTTATAAAAAATAAATTTGTTCTAATAAATTTTAATAAATTTATATTTATAAACATAAATTTTAATAAATTTATATTTATAAACATAAATTTTAATAAATTTATGTTTATAAACATAAATTTTAATAAATTTATATTTATAAACATAAATTTTAATAAATTTATATTTATAAACAATTTTAATACACCTATGTTTATTATACATTTATTAAATATAATAAATTATTTATTTTTAATAAATTTGTTTAAATTAAACATATGGTGTGTGGTATGTGGACCTAACACAGTGACACGGGGTAGAGGACTCAGGTTTGGGATCAGAGTGGGGCAGAGGTAGTAGGTGCCACCCAGACGGCCTCATCCCCAAGAGTACTGAGCTGGAACTCCAAGGCCACTCCTGTCATCAACAGCTCCACTTAGTACAAGGAGGATGATAGTTTTCAGTCTTCCTCAGAATGAGGAGGCCAGCAGGCTATGTTAGCCCCAGTCTTGGTGGGACCCACACCATGGGCCCTGAAACAGAGAAGTTAATATGTGTCCTTGGGGTCCCATTAGTTCTCTGTACCCCACAGCGAGCCCCAAACCCTTACCTCTGTTGAGGGGCTGTGGACTGGAATGAACAGAAGAGCTGATTCCTGGGGAGACCGGATGGGGCTGGTGGCTTGGGAGGGACCTGAAAAGAATGAACACAGGGACTTACAAGAGGAAGCCCCCCCATGTGCCAGGAAGGCACCCCTATCAGCCAGCCCCAGAGGGTGGAGGGGAGGGTAGAGGGCGAGTCGCTGAGTCGGCTCCCAGTTCTCCTGGAAAGCACAGGTTCTCTCAGAGGCCAGGGTCCTGGAACCGTCTTCCCGGGGCTGCCCGGCACTCTCTGCAGGTGCTCCTGTCAACACCAGGTCAGGCCGTGGGCTTCCTCCATGTGCAGACTCTGCACACAGAGCTTCAGGACAAACCTTCTACCTTCTCCCAGACCCAAACTATGCAAGGAAAGGGCCTTTGGCCAAAGCAACTGCAGCAGCCTGTGGCACAGGGAGGGTGGACAGAGGAGGAAAAGGCAAGGAGCTGCCCACACCTCGGAGGCTGGTGTGCACCATGGCTCTGCTCTGAAGCGCCTGGCCCCTGAGCCACTCTTGTGTGCATATGGCCCTCGTAGGAATTCTGAAAGTTGTTTCTCCCATCAAAGACAGGCTCACCTCTCTCTTGGTGCTTCGGTGAGGCGGGCAGCTTCTCCTCATCTTCCGACACCCTCAGCTCCAGCTCTGCTTCCCCCTCAGCTGGGCACGGCAAACGCAGCTCTCTGTCAGCATCCGACGGGCTGTCAGACCAGTGCTGATCTGGCAGAGGGAAGGGGCAGAAGTGGGTGCACACCCTAAGTGAGGCCAACTCCTTTTCCACCTGAGAGCAGCCGCGCCACTTGCTCATTTGCAACACAGCTGCTCAGGTGCAGGCCTGGAGGCCCTTCTTACGCAGGGACAGACCTGCCTACCAGACCACCCCCGCTCCTGAGGGGCCCGGCCAAGAGCACCCTCCTGCCTTTGCAACGCGGGGCCGCATCAAAGCCTGTGGGGCTCTGTTTCTTTTAAAATACAGCAACAGTCACACATGATGGGCTGCGACAGACAAAGACAGGGTGTGCCTGTGGAGGGCAGGCCTGGCCTCACGGGCCCACTTCTATGCACCTCCTCCTCTCAGTAGCCCTGACTGCCACCCCAACTCCACAGCTGAGGCCTGCGCCCCCTCGCAAGCTTGGGTTCTTCTCATTCTTCCCAGCCTCGTCCCTGACCCCCTCAGCCCCCCACAACCAGACTGCGATGCAGAACCCATCTCCAGGTATGTAGCTTTGGGAGCCAGTCAGCAGAATTAAAGGCCTTGTATAAAGCCACAGGTTGGCTCAGGCACCCAGCTGCAGCTGGATGACTGCAGGCCAAGTCGCCTGGTGCTCGTGGGTAGGTGGTGGTTGGGTGGAATGAGATGCATTCCAGCCATGGTGGAGCCAAGAAGGAACCAGGAGGCCCAACGGCGGCCTCACTGAGCTTGATTTTGCTGGAAAGCATATTGCCTTCATCTTCCCTGAGCTCCCACCACAGGGGCGGGGAGGGCGGACCCCTACCATCATCCAGCTCAGCACCAGTGTCCCCTGGGTCCCCATCCTCTGCTGCCTCCCCTTCTATCTCGGCTGGTTCTGAGTCCACATCTTCCTCTAGGTCATTCTCATCCAATGGGGCTGCAAAGCAGAAAGGTTCAAAGGAAGGAAGAAAAGGAGGACAGACAGACAGGCTGCATCTTCACGGGGGCGAGAGGTACTGCCTTTCTCAGGGCGCTGCCATGCAGGCCCCAGGAGAGGGGAGATGCTGCCAGGCCCAGGGGGCTCTCCACACGTAGCATGGGTGCTGGGGGGGGCCCGGGGCCCCCAAACACAGGAGGTGGGCATTTCTCAATGCTAGGGGCCAAGTGGGAAGAGAAGAGCGGCTGAAGGTGGGGGCATTGTTCCTCTTCCCCCAAAGGTTGCTGTAGGAACCTCAGTTGGAGGAGGGTGGAAAGGGAAATGCTGTTTCTCTGGGCCTTGGCCCAGCAGCATCTGCCAAAGCCTGGCTGTGTGCTGACCGCCTCACACACCATGGGTCATTCAGCCCTCATAATGCAGGCTGAGCATCCTGAATCTGAAAATCCAAGATCCAAAATGCTCCAAAATCTGAAATTTTCTGAGCACTGACAAGAGGCCAAGTGGAAAATTCCACAGCAGACCTCGTGGTGACAGTCACACCTAAAATTGTTTCATGCATAAAATTATTAAAAATATTATATAAAATTATCTTTAGGCTACGTGTACAAGGTATATATGACACATAAATACATTTCGTGTTTAGACTTGTGTCCCATCCCCAAGATCTCTCCTTATGTATATGCAGAGATTACAACATCCGAAAAAAATTCGAAATCCAAAACACTTCTGGTCTCAAACATTTCAGGTAAGAAACACTCAGCCTGCAACATAATTAGAGGGACCGTTTCTTTAGCGAGAAGTCTGAGGTCCAGCCAGCTGAGGGGGTTGTCCACAGCGCTGTGTGCAGGGGCACCAGATGAGCTTCCCTTGCAATAATTTAGAGAAATACTAATACTTTGGGAGAGCATTGGGGGCTGAAGGTACGTAAAGTTCATCCTCTGGACTCCAAGTGGCCCTTCAGGGCTGCAAAATGAGGCAAAACCCTCGACAACTTCCCCTCCCCAGGAGCCGGCCCCTAAGCACGCACACACCGTCCCCACCTCCCACACTCCGAACTTGCACCAGCAGGAAGAGGGCGGCACGCTCTGCTCTGAGGACACTGTGAGACCCGCACCACCTGAGACCCACAGGACCACTGGCCGGGGGCCTGCGGGCTCTCCTAGGGTTCAAGCCCAGCCACCCTCAAATTACCCCTAAGGGTTTTAATTTCAGGAGAAAGGAGTTATGCTCTGATGTCCATATACAAGAGTCCGCACGGATCAAAGCCCCAGGCTGGGGAGCAGGGAACTGATGGCGCCCGGTTAGGTGGATTTCTTAAAAAGCCATGTGGAAATGGGAGGGCGCAGCCTCGGAAGTAGCATCTTCTCTCCACAGGCCAGGCACTTAGAAGATGCTGGCAACGTTTTATCCCTTGAACAGGGTGGCAGTTATATGATTTTCTGTTTCTTTAATAATTCCTTAAGCTTATTTTTATCTTTTATGCACAGTTTGTAAGATGACGGTTCAAATCTAGTGTTTGAAGAACTGTATGAAACAGGTTTGGAAGGGAACAGACGGCCCACGTCACAGGGAGAGATAGGCGGGTTCCCAGACTAGCTGACAGTTAGGGCCATGTGCCTCCCTGAGATACCAGAGTGGCCCACGTTGCTGGCCGTGCCAAATGCTATCCTACAGCATCGGCACCTGCTGGGGGAAGCAGGGGGGAAATGCCTCAAGTATTTCTATTGGTTAAAACCTCGGTGTGAGAACACTGCTTTTGGCCACTCAAGGAAGACAGTTCATCAAACACCAGGGAGTGGGACTTCTGGAGCAAAGATAAAAGAATTCATGGCTGCACTACACCGATTCTGAAAAGGAGGAACAAACGCCCCGTTTGGAACAGAATCTGGCCCATCCCATGGAGAGGGCCACTGTGCCTGACAGATTTGTTGGGGTGAATCTGGGTGCCCAGGGATCAATATGGCAACTCTACACTCTTGCTGGCGAGGGAACTGGAGGCCAGCACCAAGGAGACCCAAACAGGCCTCCCAGCCAGGCACAGCCCAGGGCACCCTGGGTTAGCCTGATCCCGCCCTGGTGCCTGGGTCCTTCACGCGGCTCTCCTGTAGACTTTCTATTAAGAAATGCCTGTGGTAGAGTCAGGCGGGTGAGAAGTCTACACTCCTTGGCAGTACCTTGAAAGGAAAAATCGTCACAGATAAAAAAAAATAAACAGGTGAGAAATATCAACGCAGCAGCAGCAGTGTTGAAAGGGACACAGCTTGAGGGGTGGATCTGGGGGTGAAATTCAGGTTAAGACGGAGTGCAGGGTGCTAGAAGCTGCCACGCAGGTTGATGAGCCACGTGCTATGAAAGCCAGGAGCCACTGACCCGCTCAGCTCTTGGTTTCCTTCAGCCGCCAGCTGGGAGGCTCTTGCCCCACCGCCCTAGGGACCCAAGCTATCTAGAAGAGGAGCCAGCCGTCTCTGCGCAAAGAGCAGTGGCCCTTCCCTGCGGCTGTGTGTGCCTGTTTCTCCCACTGCCGGGAGGACACAGGGACAGGCTGCTGAAGCCCCACGAGCTCCCATGTCCGCATCCCAGAAGTGACCGCTAGGACAGTGGTGCTGTTGGCGATAACACTGCCCTTCCTCCAGCAGTGTCTGACAACTCGTGGAGGGATTTTTGGTGTCTTCATAGGTGGTGGAGGCTGCACGGACACTCCAAGGGCCGAGGCCAAGAATGTTAAACCTTCTGCAAGGGAAAGAGCTGTCCTGCCCCAAATGCCAGTAGCCCCTCGGTGAGAAACACACACTTCCAGAAACATGTAGGAAGGACAACTCAGGCTGCTCAACGATCTCTTGTACTTGAAGAGACGCCTGCAGCTCGGGCTGGATTTGACTGGTGTCACCCCTGGTCACACCCAGCCTGTCCCCACTTTCTGCTGAATAGCACCCGCCCATCCTCTGCTCTTCCCTCTCCACCATCATCCTCCCATAAACCCCCTGGTTTTGACAGCCTCCTTCTCTGATAGCTTGGTAGGCTTGTGGAATATCTTCTGATTCCTCCCCTTTCACACTCAATCGGTAACCACCTCATTCTCAACACATTTTAAAACTCTCAGTGCCAAAAACGTTCCTTTGGCTTTGGCCTTTTTATCCGACTCTTATCAATAAAAACCTGCCTGTGTCTGTCCTGCCTGCCCTCACGTTTCCCTCTGAGCTGCCCTGAAGGGGGGGTGTGCGTCTGATCCATGCAAGGGCGGGCTGTCTGGCAAGGCATGCAGGTACCCCCACCCGCCTCTGCCGCCCTGGCATGCACTTGCAACAGGCCCAGGAGTCTAGTGTTAAGGTACCAGCAGAGCCGCCTAGAGAGAGGTTACGGTGAGTGGGGAGAGAGTGAACATCACCAGACTACCTCCGGAGACCGTCTCCAGCCAGGCCTGCACCGCCGCGTGGCGTATGGAGGGAAGGTCGGGCACTGAATTTAAAACAGACGACAAATACAAAGTTACACAGCAATATGCGTTCCCAACGAGGAGAGCCAAGGTCATCCTTAAAATCCCAAAGAGAAAGAAAGTGAGAAGGCATTCAGGACAGACGCCTGTCTGGCACCAACAAGGGGTGCGAGCCCTGATGTTAGCCTGTGTGATGGAGAATCAGGATGAGAAGAGAAGAGGGAAAACCCAAGGTAGGGCCACCGCCGGCCCAGGGCTGCAGAGCGCTCCCCAGCTCACAGGCCAGCCCAGTGATGCGGGTGCTCATGGTGCCACCACAAGCCGGAAACGGAGGTTGGTCTTGCCTACAAGTGAAGATTTGGGGCCAGGGAGGAACAAACGTCTTATTAATGCTGTTTTATGATGGCAGGAAATGCCCCTTTTGTATGCTCAGAGCCTGGCAGGGGGTGTGGCCCGTGACCGGCGCTGAATGAAAATGTGCACGCACAGAAGTGACAGCAGAGGTGACTCCGAGGGTGGGTATTTGGAAGACAGCATGCCAGGAAAGATGGCACAGCGGCCACCACGTCCCTCAGCAGTCTCCACGGTCCTTCTCTTATTGCTATTCCTTTATTTAAAAAAGCCAGAATAAGGTTCATCTTCATCCTACTGTGTGACACAGACCGTCACACCTAAAGCCTGGGGCTGGAGACGATGCTACTGTGGAGGCCTCCTGGACAGAAATCTCTTCCCAAGACTTCATTTCACTTCCAAACATGCCCCTCCCGCCCCCTTCCTGCCAACACACATTCACGTCCAGACACACTCTAAGAAAAGTACCAGAACGTTTTACGAAGTGAGGAAAGAGCAGCGGTGACCAGAAACATGAGAGAAAGACAGAAAATTCTTGGTTTACCCAAGATCAGGTTCATTTTACCATTTTGCATCAATGGAGAAAGAGTCCACAACCTCTTAATCCACAGAGAACTTCACATATCCTCAGATGAAAAGTACAGGTGTCACAACTGACAGCAGCAAAGCGGGATGCGCCTGGCTCCCGTGTGTGACCTCATGGGTGGCTCTGCCCTGACAGAAAGGCCCCCTGTGGCGACAGAGGCAGCAGGCGGGTGGTGCTCGGGGCACACTGCGGCCTGGGGCTGGGAGTGTTTACCTCCGGAAGCAGAGGACTCAGAGGCCGGCGCCATCCTCTCTTCCTCCTCTCTCTCACGGATATGAGTCCAGTGCACGTCAGCCTGGATCTCCAGAGGATCCGCCGCGTGCATGACCTGCTGGAGCCTCTGGTTCCCGGCTAGTGTCCCAGGGTCAAGGGGTGGAGAAATGAGGTGGGGAAGGAGGGGATGAAATAGCATGGGAAAGGAAACAGAAAGAGAAGTTACAGCATTGGCCAGGGTCAGTATGAATCAGAAAGAAGTAAAAATTAAGAACATGTATGCACATGTATACACACACACACACACACAGACGCATGGACACACAGACACACACGCACAGTCCTTCTGCTCATTCAGTGTGACCTGGTCATTTCCAGCCGTATATGTACCATTCAATTCAGTGAAGAGAATCACACATTCCTTTCTGAGGCTCCTTTCATCCTGAGCTGCATTCAGGGGGCCCATGCACCAAGATGGAAAAAGAGCAGATTCCAGCCTGCTTCTGCAGGCCCAGCCCCAAGGGGTCACAAGGACCTGCTTTGTCCCTAGCACAGTGTGAGACCCCAGGATGCACTATCCTGCCCCTCTGCTGGTCACACAGCAAGGTGCCCACCACCACTCGCCCAGCTGATGGCCAGGTGACGAGAGAGGTGGGAAGAGATTGTGTCATTCTGCCGCCAGCCGGCCAGCTCACACAGGACAGAGATAGACTTTGCTGGCACTTCGGTTTGCATCTTCTGCAGCTGGAGCTGCTGCTGGAGAGAAAAAGTCCCCGTCCCTTAGTGGGCCTCATGCTGCATGCTGGGTCTGAGGCAAGGACACGGATCCCAGTGGAGGGTAGAGTCAGGGGAGGTGATGGCTGGGAGGGAAGCAGAGCTCTTTCATGTACGTTTCCAAACCCTTGGAATTTCACAGGCGAGAATGAGACCAACAGCTCTCTGAGGTCAAAGCCCTCACCTGAGAACTCCATGTGGTGCCCTGCTTATCACCTCTGGAAACAAGGCCTGGTTTCTCAGCTACATGGAAACTCACCAGTGGCCCCTCTGGATCCCTGCCCTGTGGGATCCCTGTACTTAGTGCTTGGACCGTGCCACACAGTTGGGTTAAGATAAAGGGACAGCTAGCAACTGGGAAGGGAAGGTGGCTGTTCAGCAGGTGCCACCTGATCTGAAGGATTCGTGTTCCTGCCAGGAGCCAGCTTCCATCTGGGAATGGGTGACATGCCTCCTCTGAGTCTAACCAGACAATCTGGCCTTGGCTTCAGTCACTATGACAGCCTCTTCAAGCAACAGGGAATGTGAAATGGGCAGAAAGGACCAGCAAGACCACCCAGTGTGATGCTGGCCCTGTGCTCTGCCGTATGTGGGGTATCAGCCCATTGTTGGAGCTGCTAGTCTCTATAGATTTGTTGCTGGCCCTGCAAGCCGTATGTGGAGTATTAGCCCCTTGTTGGAGTTGCTGGTCTCTATAGATGTTGCTGGTCTCTATAGATTTGTGGACTTTTTCTGAGGTGAATTTGCCTTTTTTTTTTTTTTTTTTGAGACGAAGTGTCGCTCTTGTTGCCCAGGCTAGAGTGCAATGGCACGATCTCAGCTCACCGCAACCTCCGCCTCCCAGGTTCAAGCAATTCTCCTGCCTCAGCCTCCCAAGTAGCTGGGATTACAGGCATGTGCCACCATGCCCGACTAATTTTTTATATTTTTTAGTAGAGACAGGGTTTCTCCATGTTGGTCAGACTGGTCTCAAACTCCCGATCTCAGGTGATCCACACGCCTCGGCCTCCCAAAGTGCTGGGATTACAGGCATGAGCCACTGCACCCGGCCGTCAATTTGCCTTTCTTTATGGTGCTGGGTGGGACTAAGTCACAGCAGAGTCACCTAACAGCCTGGATGCACAGGACTGAGGAAGGTAAGTCAAAGAGTGCAGGGCCTTTCTCTACCTTCTCAGCAACAAAGAGAAGAGACACATTCTTCTCTCAGAGTCCTGCTGTGCTTCCTGCTAATACATGCAGCCTTGGGGACTTATCGACAGCACAAGCCAGCATTTCCTCCTTTCTCAGAGAAACATTAAAGGCACCTGCACTGGCGATAGGTTTCCTGCATCAGAGAAGGAGCCAAGTCTTGGCTGGAGATGAGCTTGCAGTAAAACATATGCGGCATAGATGGGGCCGCATTCCATGAGGCCACTTCTGGAGCCTTCTCCAACTTCCTCCAGAACCTCTTCTGACTCACATGTTACTTTGCGCCTGACTGTCTGGGCAGGCTGGGACCAGGGAGAGTAGCCCAGTGAGATGTGTGCAGAGCCCGTCAGCACAGTTCCATAAAACACAGACCTTTGTCTGTGAGACATGCTCTTGGAGGCAAATTTTGGATGGCTGCCAGGGAGCTGGGGTAGAAGGTGGGCACGGGGTAAAGTGGGTACCTTTAAATGTCCTCAAATCTTCTTCCTGTGGGAGGTACCTGGCGCCACTGGCCTTGCAGTTCTGTGTCCCAGGGGCAGTACTCCCCTTCTACAGCAGGGGGAGCCAGAGACCCACACAGCATCAGGAATCCCACAGCGCGATCAAGCAGGGAGGGAAGAGAAGGGAGTAGTGGTGTCCAGCCACTGCCTGCACAGGCACCGTCGGCTGCCCGACAGACACACCTGCGCTAGGGACACAGGCTCCGGTCTGGGACTCTCGGAGTTTGGCTGAATCTGTCAGTATGTGTTTGTGTAGTTAAAGCTCTTTTCCTACAGGTTTGGTCTTGACGTTAGCACTAAGTCCAGGAAATTAAGTCTGCGTGAAGGAAAGCTCGGCTCAACTCTCCTGAAAAGGGAACGTGCTTCGACCCGAAGCTGTGCCAGGGCTCAAAGCTGCCGAGTGATCATCATCAGATGGAGATGACGATGTCTGGAACAGTGCAAACAAAACACCGTGCCCTGGACCAGCTGTGCATGCTCACTCTGCTGGCTAGCAGAGGCCACGCCGGCACCTGGCTCCGCAGACACGGCAGCATGGAGGGAGAGCCCAGATTCACAGACCCCATTTCTCCTAAGGCAGACAGGGTGTGGAGTGCGGGTCACTAAGGGCTGCCTGTGGGTCCTGCCCAGCCTCTGCCTCAGAGGGAAGAGTAGAGAACTGGGAGAGCAGGTCCTTAGGGAGCCCGAGGAAGTCCCTGACGCCAGCTGTTCTCGCGGACGCCCAACGGTGCGGTTCCTTCTGCTAACCCACCTCACTGGGGCCAACATCCTGGAGCTGCACAGCTCCCAGGGGACTGGATCAGGAACATGAGCCCTGTCAGGCAAGGGCTCAGCCCTGTGTGCCAGAGAAAACAGACCCCCGGATGGGACTGGGCAGCAAGCACACAGGTGCCAGGAGAAGCAGAGATGAGCACAGTGCCAGCTCTGCAGGGCCTGGGGTCACTGAGAACTCAACCGATCCTCTGACCGCTGCAGGGAGTCACTGGTGCTCAGAAATTAAAGGTCATGTCCTTCCTGCTCACTCCACATCTATCTTTTGGGGACTCAGATCTCCACCTGCCCTGGCTCCGTCTTCACCACCCCCCAGACTTCTGCGCTGCTGGAGCAGAGAAAGAATGGCCTTCTCTCCTGCACAGGCCCAGCAAGTCCCTCCTCATCACTTGAGGCCACACACACCCAGAGATGGGGCAGAATTGAAAAATCTCAAGTCCAAGGCAAGAGACTATTTCAGAACCAGCCAGAGTGGCTGGCCCCTGGGCCTGAGTATCCCTTCAGGACACTGTCCCCAAAACGCTGCCCTGCGTGCCATCAACTGAGCCCCATCCAGTGGGCACTAAGCTCATAGCCACCTCCGAAACCCTAGACTAGGATCAGGGAATCCTCTAGAAAGCTAAATTCCCTTTCCTTATTAATTTTTTCAACTGAAACTACAGGGCAAAAAGAGAAAACGAGGTGGAGACAAGTAGGAGTGGCCTAACTTGGATGAGTACTTGGACTGGCTCTCTGCCTTCCACTTCCAGTTTCTAAACCAATGTGCACAAGGGACATTACTTCCACTGCCAACCGCCTGCTCAACGCTACGGTGTCCTCCCCTCTGCCCCCCATGTCTTATGTCAGGAGGGGTGGTCCCTGGGCTGTGCAGGAGGCACGTCCGTGTGACGTCAGCCCCAGAAACCTCTTACACTCACGCATGAAACAGATCACTTTGGGGGGCAGGGCAGAGTTCGGAGCAGAGATTTTGTTCTGACCTTCACTGGACTCTTCCTCCTCCTCGTCATAGTCCTCCTCCTCCTCCTCTTCATATTCTTCCTCCTCCTCCTCCTCCTCTTCATTCCCAGGCCCAAAGCTCTTTGAGGCCTCTAGCTCCTCTTCACTTTTCCCTTTCAGAAGGGCATGGATCCGCACGGCCTCCTTCCACGGAACACCACCCAGGTCAGATGGGGGCAGGCGAGGCTCCTCCTCCTCCTCCTCTCCCTCCTCCTCCATCTCAGACTCGGAACTACTGTGAGGAAATAACCACATAGCCAGAGTGAGGGAATGAAGAAAAACTGAGAAGGGGAAGGGGAAGGGCCACCATCAGAAACAATGCATGTCAGGCAAAGCAGCTGCTGAGCAGGCGGAGAGAGACAGGAGGGAGGAGAGAGCGGCATCAGCAGGACAGGGTACCTGGGCATGAGAAGCCACCTACCCAAGCCCGACTAAGGGGACAAAGGGAAGAATGCCTCCTGCTCACAGACCTCACGCACTTCTCCTCAGGTGGATGGGGTAGGGAGGGGACCACCGAAGGCTGCCTGTGGGTCTGGCCCAGCCTCTGCCTGTGGAGGGGAGTGTGCAGAACTGGGAGAGCAGCTCCTCACGGAGCCCATGGAAGTTCCTGACTGCAGCCGCTCAAACTCAAGCCACAGCCCCATCCCTCAGGGTGCTTCAAGCAGCAAACACTGAGATCGCTGGTTTACGTTTCATAGACGGCCTCGAGGGCACAAGCAGGGCAGTGGACTCATTCTGATATAAACCCATGACCCTGGGAATTGAGAATGGAAAGTCTTCTCTCATCCTGGCCCACTGTCTAGTTAGAGGAACTCAATTCTGTGTGACTGCGGCCTGTCAGAAGCCTCTCAGGAGAGCTGTGGGTGTGGTGGGGGGAGGGGGGACCCAGAAAGGCCTGGACTTAACTGGCTGATGATCAAGGTCTGTGTGCTGGGGTGGGGCGACAGATTCCATTTCCTGGCACTCCTTAGAACCCTACCACGTGCCAATCCCTGAGCAGGACACTGTGGGGACACACAGGGAAATGACGGCAAAGGCACCGCTCACTGCAAAGCCACAGGACAGAGACGATGGGGAAAGGGTGGAGACAAACCTCCAACCCCAGGGCCATCGCTCCTGCCAGCTGCTGCACTGCCAAGCACTCCCCTCACAGCTGCAGGCAAGCGTGGCCGACATAGGAAGCCGCACACCTGTAAGAATGCACATGCCACAACGGACACTACCCAAACCGTAGCTCCTCGCTCTGGCCACCCTCCTGCTGCAGTGTACCCCACTCCTGCCCTGTGGAGGGAGGCAGGACAGGAACAAAACCGGGTTCCTTGCAACCTGTGGGGCTCCAATACACGCAAAACCCCAACATTGCTGCACAAATGGAGATGTTTCTGAGTGTTTCGTGGTCTGATAATTCCCAAAGCATCTTTTTCAGGAGAGGCCTTGCCTGCAGTGAGAGGCCGGGGGAAATCAGCTTTCACGTTAAAGCCATGGCCCGACCTCTGGCCCAACAAAATCCAAGAAGCATCAGGCACGAGAGGGCATCTGCCCTGACCTCCTGCGAGGGTGTGTCCTCTCTCTGCCCAGGCAGGCTCTCCCCTAGCCTGCTTGTGTGTGAGAGGGCGAACCAGTAAATACACCACGATGAGCACTGAGGGGCACTGCCAGGGCGATCACTGCCAGGTGAAGAATCTCGCCTTGTCCAAAGAGAGGACTCCAGCCCTTGTCCTTGGCTCCACGAAAGTAACCTAGACACGCCTGGGGTGCCCTGCCTATGGGGCTGTCACTGTTTGCCGGAGACCCCGGTTCATGTTGCATAGTCTAGTAATGTGATTAGGGTGAGGCTTTGGGTAGCACGGTATCCAGTGACCCGGAGACTGAGATCAACCATGTGGATAATCAATCAATCATTGCCTATGTAATAAAAACTCCAAACACAGGGTCTTAGTATTGCTCAGGTGAGCAATACTCCTGGCGTATCGTCACACATCGAGACCAAGAGAGTACAGCTGTCCTGGCCCCACAGTGAGCACAATGGAAGCTGAGTCTGGTTCCTTCCTGGACTCACCCTATGTACTTCTTCCCTTGGCTCACTGACATCTGTACCCTTTCCCTGTAACGAACCATAACCATGAGTACAACAGCTTTCAGTGAGTTCTGCGAGCTCTAGCAAACTATCAAACCTGTGGGTGATTCTGGGAGACTCCGGAATTCGCCACTGGGGTCAGAAGTGGGGCAGTCTTGTGGGCTGTATTCCCTCTTTTCAGCTGGCCATTTCCTCACTGTGCCACACCAGCTCTGCTACTGGCTGGCTGTGTGACTGTGAGTTGATTATTTGTGCTCTCTGAGTTTGCTCAATGACACATTCATTCATTCACTCGGTGAACATTTCTGAGCACCTACAGCTCAGCCAGTGGACAAAAGAATATACTGCAAGGAGCTCAGGGTAGTGAATCAGCTTCACTTGTTCATTTACCTGGATAAAATTTATTCAATTATCTTCCCCTCACAACGCACTTGCTAGACACTGTAGGGAACACAAAGGTGACACAGAAAAGACTCTTATGCTCAGCTGGGCCCAGTAGCTCACATCTGTGATCCCAGCACTGTGGGAGGCTGAGGTGGGTGGATCATTTGAGCCCAGGAGTTTGAGACCATCCTGGGCAACCATGGGGAGACCCAGTCTCTACAAAAAATAAAGATAAAAATAAATTAAAAATAACAAAAGCTCCTTATTCTCAAGGGGAGGAAAGGTGTACGCACATCATGCTAAAGCGCAGCAGAACACAAGCACGGTGGGCGGAGGGCCAGGAGGAGAGGTCGAAAGTGGGCAAACCTAAGAATCTGGGCCACGGAAAACTTGGCATCTGGATTTTGGTTATTTTTCAGCATTACCTTTATTGGTATTCTTTCTGCCTTACGCTTGTGTTTTCATTAATTTACTTTCTTATTAATGAACAACAATACATAACCTAGTGCATGTCATTTAACACTGTTTGAACATAAAATAAGGCTAAGGATGCATCTATGCTCATCTTAAATCTTCGCTGGGCCAAGGGAAGGCCCCCTGGTTCCTCTTTCCCAGCTGAGCAGCCGGGGCCTGTGCAAGGCTGCCCAGCAGTTGGCAGCAGGGCAGGGCCGCACTGCAGTTCACTGGGAGGGGGCCTCAGCACAGGCCTGTCCTCACCCTGCGCCATGTCGTGAGGATAGCTGCACAGGCACAATGTGGGCACTGAATAGATGCCCCGAGATGAGGCCAGCGAGGCCAGCCCACAGCCGTGTCGCACCAGCTGGTTTCACAACAGCTCAAGGACCACGGGAGCACAGAAGACAGCAGAAAGCAACCCTCACCTCCGTGCATCAGCTGGTTTCACAACAGCTCAAGGACCACGGGAGCACAGAAGACAGCAGAAAGCAACCCTCACCTCCGTGCATCAGCTGCAAACCCAGCCCACCTCCCAGACACCTTGGCGCTTGCTTCTGCAGCTCCCAGACAGGCCACCCTCTCTTCATGAAGGACACAGAGGAACCCGGCAGGAGTTTCCAACTCCTTTCCAGTCCATGATTTTCAAAGGACTAGGGCAGTCTCTGGGTTGGCCCAGGTCCTGTGCGTCACACACAAGATTCACAGTGTGAATTCAGTACCTCGAGGCTCCCAGCACCTGCATCTCTGGAGGAAAGGTGCAGAGGAGGGAGGAAGCTGCAGTGTGGCCGACCCTTTGGACCTTAGCCTGGAAACTTCTTAAGCACAGAGGATCACTATACCAGAAACAGATGCAACACAGACAACTTCTCCCTCCCTCTGGGGAGGCTGACTTTTCAGAACTGCCTCCCAGGAGGGACGGGGTCAGATCTAGTCATCAGGATCACCTTGCCCTCCTCACAGGATCTGTTTTGGCACTGGTGACAACGCACTGTCCTGTGAGATTGCTTGATTGGGGTCTGCCTCCCCCAGGGTCACACTCTCTCCAAGGGCAGGTGCCGGGTCACCACTGTGCTCCTCACAGGGCCAAGTGTGGCCAGGACAGCAGGAATGTGCCAGGGGCTGCGGTGAAAGCCAGGGCAGGCTTACGCTACTTTCAGAGATGTCAGAGGTTGCACCCCGACTGTCCCCCGGTAAAGCCTCCATCAGAAGGTGCTGGCTATTCCAGTTAGAAGAGCGTCCAGCAAAATCCCTCCTTGTCTCAGTTTATACCCAGCTACTCAACTCAAAGCACCTGCTCTGAATTTCCCCCCAGCTGTCTTCTCACTGAGACACTGGCAGACCTAGCATGGGAAAGAAATCCAACAGGCACATGCACTTGATTCTAAACAGACAAGGTTTGCTCCACTTCACGTGCTCTGCAGTCCTCTGCTGTGTCAAGAGGGGCGGATCCGAGGATGACAGTGATTGACGGAGGGCAGCCCTGACCGCGTGCCCGCAGCACAAAGTGCTTCCCATGGGTAGCTCATTTAATCGCACAAATGCTCTAGGTCACGGGGCTGCGCTGCTTTTATAAATGACAAGACCGAAGCCTAAGGAAGTTGGGTCATTTGCATAAGGAGAAGTCGGGATTCCCACCAGGGTCCACACGGAGTCATGCTGTGCCTTCCTGGGTGCTTCTCCCAGAACCCAAGAGTTCCCAGCCAGTAGCCTCTGTCAGGGTGGCTACTGTCAGGAAGAAGGTCTTGATCAAGCTCCTGCCTGCCTGGATGCAACCTGAGAAGTGCAGACCAGGAATTCAAGCAGACCCTACCATGAAAGAGCAGGCTGCTGCCAGGAACCACTTGAAGTTCCTGGGTGGTTTTTTTTTTTTTTTGAGATGGAGTCTTGCTCTGTCACCCAGGCTGGAGTGCAGTGGCGCGATCTAGGCTCACTGCAAGCTCCGCCTCCCAGGTTCACGCCATTCTCCTGCCTCAGCCTCTCGAGCAGCTGGGACTACTCGGCCCGCCACCACGCCTGGCTAATTTTTTGTACTTTTTTAGTAGAGACGGGGTTTCACCATGTTAGCCAGGATGGTCTCCATCTCCTGACCTTGTGATCTGCCTGCCTCGGCCTCCAAAAGTGCTGGGAATTACAGGCATGAGCCACTGTGCCCGGCCCCTGGGTGGTTTTTAAAGGGCAATGGGTAACCATGGTTTTCACTTTTAAATTAACCTGCTCATAATCAGAGGGACTCAAATCCTCTGTCCCGTTGGGCCATGCCCCTAGGTTCCCTTCCCTGACAACTGTGCAAACCCTCTCCTGCTGAGGAGGCGGCTGGAGAAGATGCACATCATGCAGCAGGCTTTACACGGTGGAAATGTAATCCATGCTAAAACTAGCATCCTGCTCGGCAATGGCTCAGGAGCTGCCTCTGCAGGAAAAGGGAGTGAGGCGGGAGGGAGAGAACAGGCAGAAATCCCCATTTATTCATGGCCAGCCCTGAGGGAGCGGCCTTCTCCCACTCGTGGTGTTATTCTGAAAGAGCGGCCTTCTCTCACTTTCGTGTTATTCTGACAGACAGCAACGCCTGCCATCCACTTTTCTGTGACCTCGCCTGTGCCATCAGAAAACATACCTGTGTGTGCTAGCCCTCCTGACTTCTCTCTAGAGCCAAGAATGTGGAAATGCTAAAGAACTTCAGCACGTGGGCACTGCACCAGCTGCCTTTGCTGCCCGGGGCACATTCTTCCAGAAAGGAAGGCAGTCAGGGAAAACAACACAAACATCACAAAGCCAGCCCTCCCTTGGTTTTGGCCCACTGGCCTTTCCAGTGAAAACAAAGCTGCTATTTCCAGGGTCTCCTCCAGGAGACAGGCCCCACCTTGCCTGCAAGGTAGAGGCATGAAGCTGATTAGGCCTGGGCCAAGGGTCTGTGACAAGGCTTGGGATTTATAGGCGCTTGTGTGACTAAACCATGAATTGATTATGAGACTCACCTGGGGGGTCTGTTGGACACTGACATTCCTGGCCTCCACCCCAAACCCACTGAATTAGATACTCCAGGGTGCGCCTAGAAGTTACATTTGTTTTGTTTTGTTTTTGAGCCAGGGTCTCACTCTGTCACCCAGGCAGTGAACTCCTGGGCACAAGCGATCCTCTTGCTTCAGCCTCCTGAGGAGCTGGGACCACAGGAGCGTACCACCACGCTGGCTAATTTGTAGAGACTGGATCTTGCTCTGTTGCAGAGTCTGATCTTGAACTCCTAGACACAAGCAATCCTCCTGCCTTGGCCTCCCACAGTGCTGGGATTACGGGTGTGAGCCACCATGCCTGGCTGCAATTATATTTTTAGCCAAGCATCCCAGGTGATGTTTATTATCAGAGAAATTTAGAAACATTAAAGTGGTGTTTCTCAAATTGTGGTCTTTGGACCACAGCATCACCTGGGAACTTTTGAGAACTAAAAATTCTGGGGCTTTACCCCAGAGGCGCTGAATCAGAAACTCAGCCCAACGTGTTGTGCTTTCATCACAAGCCCTGGGTGACTCTGGCATGGGAAAGCTTGGTTACCAACATTCTCGGACAGGGTGAGCTTGAGCCAAACCCAAGTCCCGGCATCAACCCCGTTTAAGGAAACCAATACAAGGCTGCCTGGCCCTGCCCCTGGCCCTGTGGTGAGGGAGACCTGTGCTGTACCAGGAGAGTAACAGGAGCAGTAACTCCGGGCATCAAGGCTTCGTCCGTGCTTTATACGACTTAATCCTCAAAACAAACCTATGAAGTGCAGCACCTTTGCAGATGAGGAAACTGAAGCAGGGAGAGGTTAAGTAAATTGCCAACAGCTAGCAGGTGGCAGAACTGGGCTTCAAATCCAGGCTTTGTTTGACTCCAAAGTCAGGTTCTGAAACATCACGCTGCTGTCCCCTGCAGCAGAGGCCAAAGTTAAGAGTTCACTGAACTTGTGAAATGAGAGTTCCTTGGCTGGAACGGTTAATGCCTTAAAATGATGCCATTTCTCATCTTCCAGTCTAACATCTCAGCAAGGAAGGACCGACGGCTGGAAAGGCACCCAATTCTGTGCTTGGTGCTGTAGGGAAGACAGAGAAAAACACCACGCACTTCCCGTCCTGTGTCCTACGGCCACCCAGGGAAGTAAGACAACATTTATAGCTCCTTCCCCTAGATGCTTTTTTTTTTTTTTTTTTTTTTTTGAGACAGGGTCTTGCTCTGTCTCACAGGCTGGATTGCAATGGCATGATCCTGGCTCACTGTAACTTCTGCCTCCCTGGTTCAAGTGGTTCTCCTGCCTCAGCCTCCTGAGTAGTTGGGATTACAGGCAGGTCCGGATAATTTTCATATTTTTTGTAGAGACGGGGTTTCATCATGTTACTGCTGCTCTCAAACTCCTGGGCTCAGGTGATCTGCCTGCTTTGGCCTCCCGGAGTACTGGGATTACAGGCATGAGCTACCGCACCAGGCCGGGCTCTTCATTTTTTTTTTTTTTTTTGAGACGAAGTCTCCCTCTGTTGCCCAGGCTGGAGTGCAGTGGCACAATCTGGCTGACGGCAACCTCTGCCTCCTGGGTTCAAGCGATTCTCCTGCCTCAGCCTCCTGAGTAGCTGGGATTACAGGTGCGTGCCACCACACCTGGCAAGTTTTTGTATTTTTAGTAGAGACAGGGTTTCACCATGTTGGCCAGGCTGGTCTTGAACTCCTGACTTCAAGTGATCTGCCTACCCCAGCCTCCCAAAGTGCTGGGATTACAGGCATGAGCCACCACACCTAGCTGGGCTCTTCCCTTTTTTTTTTTTTTTTAAGATGCAGTTTCGCTCTTGTTGCCTAGGCTGGAGTTTGATGGCACGATCTTGGCTCACTGCAACCTCTGCCTTCTGGGTTCCAGTGATTCTCCTGCCTCAGCCTCCCGAGTAACTGGGATTACAGGCGACCGCCACCATGCCCGGCTAATTTTTTGTATTTTTAGTAAAGATGGGGTTTCACCATGTTGGCCAGGCTGGTCTCGAACTTTTGGCCTCAAGTGATCCGCCCACCTCAGCCTCCCAAAGCGTTGGGATTACAGGCGTGAGCCACCGCACCCGGCTCTTCACTTTTAAGAGACTGTTTTTCATTCTGTATAGCACTGAATGCTACTTTTAATTATCTTTTTTTTTTTTTTTTTTTTTTTGAGACGGAGTCTCACCATCTCCCAGGCTGGAGTGTACTGGTGTGATCTCAGATCACTGCAACCTCCGCCTCCCAGGTTCAAGTGATTCTCCTGTGTGAGCCACCGTGCCTGGCCTTTATTTTATTTTTTGATTTTAATTTTAATTTTTTTTGAGATGGAGTCTCATTCTGTCACACAGGCTGGAGTGCAGTGGTGCAGTGGCATGATCTCGGCTCGCTGCAACCTCCGCCTCCCAGGTTCAAGCAATTCTCATGCCTTACCCTCCCAAGTAGCTGGGATTACAGGTGTGCACCACCATGCCCAGCTAATTTTTGTATTTTTAGTAGAGACAGGGTTTCATTATGTTGGCCAGGCTGGTCTTGAACTCCTGACCTTAAGTGATGTGCCCACCTTGGCCTCCCAAAGTGCTGGGATTACAGGCATGAGCCACTGCGCCCAGCATGAATGCTAGTTTTAAAATCTTTTTTTAACTTCAATCTGAGTAAGATGAGGCATGTATTGCATTGCATAGATGCTGACTGATTTCATGTTTTCTGTGCTGCCCTCCTGTCATACCTGCCATAAATGCCAGGGGTTAGCCTTCCTGGAATGTCCTTGCTACATTACATGAACTTGCTGCCCCACTGCCTCTCACAATTTATAAATTACAGTGGAGAAAATGGTGCTGACCCACACTCAGCCCAAGGTCAAGCCAGTAGCTCTGCTCAAGGGTTTATAAATGTGTTTTGACACACAGCATCTCTCACCCTCACTGCAGGGTCAGTGGAGAGAGAGAGTGGGCTCCCCCTCATCTGGGCACAGTGGGGAGAGTGGGGCCTCCATGGGTGCTCTGGATAGGGAAGCAGAGTTCTGGATGAGGATGCACCATCAGTGACAGCTTTGGAACTGCAGACACCAAGGCAGAGGCTGCCCCCGGCATGCACGGAGGAGCGGTCTGTGAGGCAGCCCAAGAATGAATCTAGGCAGAGGGTGTCTGACATGAGGGCTGAGGTGGCGGGTGCAGCTGAAAGCAGCTCGGCCCAGCAAACACCTTCTGGAAAGCGTTCTTGGACCTTAAAAAAACTGCTCTGCTCTCCTTATCCCCACATGTTCCCTTCATCATGGCTAAATCAAGGTGTGTGATTCAAATGCTCTCCAAGGCCACTTGAGGCCTCTGCCCCTCGGGTTTGCAGCCTGTGTTTCTGTCCTGAAGCCCCACAGGACACCGGACCCCCTTTTGATTCTTGGCTCTCTTGATCATCTGTAATCGGCTGAACACTTTGAAGCCTTCGCTGATACTGGAAGCCCTGGGGTGCAGGGCAGTGGATATAGGGAGTCCTAGGGTTATAGCATGCACATCCCCAAAGGTGTCACCCAGCTGGATGTGATTACAGCTCTGGAACTGCCTAAGCATGCATCCACTGGTGCTGCATGCGGCCCCTGGGGCACACATTTTCAGTCCCTTTCTTTACCTACAGGAGAAAAAAAGATGCCTGGGGGACGGACTAGGCCTCCCTCAAGACGGCCCGGTGCACTGGTGGCTGAATCACCCAGAGTCCCTCCCCGTGTGCCCGTCCTTCCCTCTGCTGAATCTGTGAATAACCCGGGGGCAGAGCCTGCCACTTTCCTTCCCAATGACAGACTTGGAGCTGGGGACATGTCAGGTCCTCAAGGAATAAATACTTCCTGAATCTCTGAATTGAGTCTGATGGAGGAGTCCTCACTGACTAGAAGATGAGGCTAAGAACCTAAAAGGGACTGGGGAGAATGGACTGCGGGCAGCAGGAAAGACAGGAGGCCTCCCTTCACTGAGAAGAAACCGAGACACACAGAGGTGAGGAGGCTCTTAGGGCCGTGTGGCGGGTGGGCGCCCTGCAGCCCTGCGTGCTGACCTGCTGGCGACGTCCTCCTCGGCGCCCGTGTCCAGCACGCTGCTCAGGTTGTGCTCGGCCTGAGTCTCCTCCGGTACCTCCTGCAGTGCCTCAGCCTGCCTCAGGGACAGGCGGTAGTTCTCCAGCTCGATCCGCTCTGGGGTGCCCCTCAGTCGCTTGGCGATGCTGGGCTCCTCCAGGCCGTTCACGCCTGAACCTGCGGGACAAGCACAGAAGCACTGCACTGAGGTCCAACCACAGACGGGGCGTGGGGGTGGGGGCTGACACCCAGGCTGCAGGCCCTCCTGCCAGAATGTGGGGCAGGACAAAGGTCAGAGCATTTGCAGAGTTGCCAGAGGCCAGAGAAGGACCCTGGCATGTGAGAGGGAATTTCACTCTGCAGGAGAAAGGAAGGTGGCCCTGTCTGCCCTCCAGGTCAGAGCGTTCTCTCTCCTTCATCACCCTGAACCCGGCCCCCAGAGGGGAGACGCAGTCTCCCCACAAGAGTGACTGGTGGTGAGGGGTGTGGGCCAGACCGCAGGCAGCCAGGAGCCAGGTGCCCCTGAAGCAGCCTTGCCTGAGAAGGGCATCCCCGGTGCAGTCTGCCCCAGGGATCCAGGCCCCCACCAGGTGCCTCCCCCAATGCCTGCCCCGGGATCCAAGTCCCCACCAGGCACGTGCCCCACCACTGAGGGGGCCTGGCCAGCTGCCTGAAGAACGTCTCATGCTGCGGATCTGTCTCCTCACAGTTAGATAAGGCACTTTCGGTTTCATAAGGCCACGTGGGCGATGCTGCCCCTACCGCAGCACCGCTGCTCAGAGGAAGGACACCAGGCCCGACCGCTCACAGAGGTGGCACCCAGGCCTCTCTGCGATGCACAGGCACACTTCCCCATCAGTCCTCCGTGGGCTTCTGAAGCCACGGGGTGCCCTGCCTGCGTCCTTTCACCCTGTGGTTTCAGCATCGTCGGCGATCTTGGCCGGAGTCCTTTGTGTGCACAGGGCGTCACACCAGGTGATTTTAAAATCCCATCACTCTGGCTGGGTGCGGTGGCTCACGCCTGTAATCCCAGCACTTGGGGAGGCCGATGCAGGTGGATCACGAGGTCAGCAGATCAAGGCCATCCTGGCTAACACAGTGAGACCCCATCTCTACTAAAAATACAAAAAATTAACCAGGCACGGTGGCGGGCGCCTGTAGTCCCAGCTACTCGGGAGGCTGAAGCAGGAGAATGGTGTGAACCTGGGAGGCGGAGCTTGCAGTGAACCGAGATTGCGCCACTGCACTCCAGCCTGGGTGACAAAGCGAGACTTCATCTCAAAAAAAAAAAAAAAAAAAAAAATCCCATCACTCCTCCTCCACTACCATTCTTTGGTAAAGAAGCACTTTTCCCATTTTTAACTTTATACTTTCAAGTACTGCTATGGACTCGGATTTTTGAAAATGTGTTTTACAACTGTGCTTTGGTCTCCTTTAACATGGAACAGTTCTGCTGCCTCCCTTATCATCACCACTATTCTCTGTTGACGTCCCTTGTCCTCCTGATCCTGGTCAGAGGAGGCTGTCATGAGTCCTCTGGTGTGTCCCCTGTAATGTGAGTAGCACCGGGTCCAGGTGGAGGCGGGCAACCCCAGGTCAGATTTCCTCATCTTCCAGATGCCTGGCTCCACCAGTAGTTGGCTGAAGGGTCTTAGAAAATTTACAGAACTCCTCAGAGCTCGTTTCCTGATAGATAAATGATGGCACCACCCACCTCCCAGAGCCGTCATGGACACCGAGTGACACGATGCACACATACTCATGTGGGGGTGCGTGTTGACCCTGCACCCCACACACACGGTCACCTTCCTCTTCCACTTAACGCCTGCCACCTGGGGAGTGCCCAGGAAACATGAGTGAAGCAGCAAGTCTGGTGTCCAGTAATATTTCCCCACCACTGTGTGCATACTCCTGGAAAGCTGCATCCACAGGCTCTGGAGAGCGAACAGTCGTTACTGAGAAACAGGGCTGAGGCACAGTGCCATGTGGTAGCAGCCTGGTGTTACCAGACATTTTTTTTTTTTGAGACGGAGTCTCGCTCTGTCGCCCAGGCTGGAGTGCAGTGGCACGATCTCTGCTCACTGCAACCTCCGCCTCCCAGGTTCACGCCATTCTCCTGCCTCAGCCTCCCGAGTAGCTGGGACTACGGGCGCCTGCCACAGCACCCGGCTAGTTTTTTTGTATTTTTAGTAGAGACGGGTTTCACCATGTTAGCCAGGATGGTCTCAATCTCCTGACCTCGTGATCCGCCCGCCTCGGCCTCCCAAAGTGCTGGGATTACAAGCGGGAGCCACCATGCCCGGCTGTGTTACCAGACCTTCAAGGAGGCAGAGAAGGGGCAGAGGTGCTGGAGGGAGCAGGTCATGACTGGGCTGGCATCCTGGCTGGGCAGGTCACCGATTCCTGCAACATTCTAAGCTCTAGGAGACAACGCTGGGTTTTGGCATGCCACATCATACAAGCCAGTGTTGAGAGACAGGTGGTCCATCAGGCAAAACCTGGCTAAAGGAAAGCGGCAGGTGATTCAGCAATTTTTGTAGCACGACAGGTTGTGCACAAAGTGTTTTCTGAAGGCCTGCACTTCTGTTGTGTGCAGTGTTTGAACGTCTTTGTGGCAGCCTCAGACAGAGCTTTTAATGAACCCTGGTAGTCACAGGATAAGGTCTTGGCACATCTGTTGGAATTACTGGCATCCTCCACCAAATAGCATCTTTCGAATTCACTAGAGAATCTTTACTAACAAAGCAAGATCCAGTGGCGTATTCACATACAAATTCAGGTAATGGTGTGATGAAGGGGCAAAACACGAATACTTGAGTTCACTTGTGCCCTGTACACGTGCCCACTTGTTTTAGCCTTTGCATCCTTGCTGGGGGACCTTTTTAAACATCATGCTCCATTCTTCAACACCGAGCTCAGGGCACAAAAAGAATATGCTATGATGCTGGGCTAGGGCATCTTGAAGATGAGGAAATGTGGACTAGAGGTAATGGCAGAAAAGAGGCAGAGGGCAATCCTGATAGATCCGGCCTCAAGTTTCTCCAAACCTGCCCTCCCAGGCCTGGGACAGCAAAGGCCCTAACTGCACTAGCTCATCATTCCCAAATACCAGTCTTCCCATCCCTTCCTTCTCCTCATCAAAATCCATGGCGGCCACCCCATAATGAACAGGGGAGGGCTGAGGATACACTGTCTGTGGCGCCATTTGATTCTTTCCATCATTTATTTTTGACAACTGCCATTCAATGGAAAGCAGATGAGAAAGGGAGATAAAGTCAAGCAACTACCCAAGAATCAGCTTTCTGGGAATTCCATAAATACGGAACAAAAAGTGGTATTTCTTTTAGATGGGAGAAGAAAAACAGGATAAGAACTATCACTTCAGGGAAACAAACAACTAACAGCCATCAATTCAGAGGGAAGTGATTTTACAGTAGAGTGAACGAAACTTGGGAAGGAAAACATCCAAGAGGCGTCTGTTTGACGTGGGTAACGTGGGGAACGCATACTGTCTGGCAAGAATTCTACTAGGACCACGGGAAACAAAGCAGATTAAAACACTCTCTACTCTAAAAGAGCTTCAGTAGCACCTGGGAGAGGGCCCTGCAGGAATCCTTTCGGTACGACGTGTCAAGTACCATGAGCCACGTATGCACTCATGGGAGAACATAGAGAGAGTGAGTCAGCACACCTGGCAGAGTCAAGAAAGGTGTTCTGGAGGCATATGGAGTTAGCCGGCTGCAAAAAAAAAACATTCTGTGAGGTAGGCACTATCATTTGCAAATGAAGTAACTGAAGTTCAGGTCACACAGCTAGTGAGCCCTGGAGCCAAGATCTGAACATGAGGAGGAAAGGCATCACTCAGGAGATCACCATGCTGTCCCAAGACTTACAACAAGAAGAAAAACCAGGCACATGTTCGCAACAGCCCTATCTGCCTTCCCCTTTGGGCATCTTCACCATTGTCTCCTCCCCACTGTAATTTTCTAGGTGAGGGACACAGCACTTCATGAAAGCTTCTTGGAGCAGAGAATCTGGCATCTGGAATGACAGACACTCAGTCTTCCCACTGTTATTGCCCTGGAGATTCTGCAAATCCCGCAGACTAATGGGTTGTCAGGCAACAGAACTTGGCAGTCCAAGCCCAGGGCCAGAGCTCTGGAAGGGGAAATGCTGATTTAATTTTGGGCTTGGCTACAACCAACAAAAAAGAAACCAGAAGCACTGGGAACTGTTCAGATCCTTCACACGCCAGTCCCTGGAGAAAGCCTGCAGAAATGCTGTGCTGGGGACGGTGGAAAAGGGGAGCTGGGAGGCAGCAGTTGCCTCTCCTGTGCCAGACCCACCAGGCCATTGAGCCAGGTCCACACAGAGCTCCAGCTCACCCTGTGGAGAGACAAGGACACGGAAGCACACTGGCAGGCCATTGCCGGGGGTTCAGTGTTTCCAAAGGGAAGGTGGTACTCAGAGGACACTGGGCAAGGACCCCAAACTCACCAACTGCCAAAATATGCTCCACATTCCCAGCCCTTCACCTCAAAATACCATGGGAAATTAAAAAAAAAACCACACGCACAAACACATCGGAACAATCAGCATCCTTGATTCTCTGTCCTGAGCAAGGGGCTTTCTGTCAGATGAATCAGGCGGTGATGAGAAACCAAGATAGTGAGAGCGGTAACAGCAGGGGCCTGGGCAGCGAAGACAGCCCTGTGACCTCCTCCCTCATCAACTAATGGCAGAACCCAGGAGGAGAGAGCAGGAGTGCAGATGTAAACAAGCGCTTTGCAAGGTGCTGGATTGCCAAGCCGAAGTGCACCCCGCCTGTCGGGCTAGCTGGCCCTACCTCCCGCCCTCTACTCCACATGCCTTAGTGCAACAACAGCCCAACAGGGACTTTCCAGCTTAAAGCGGGATGAAAGATCTGCAATAATTTCCAAGGCCAAGTCTTCACTAAGTCAGGGCAGGCAGCTCTCAGGTCACAGGGAGGCCAATTACAGCCCCACACATACCACAAGGAAACAGCTCCCAGGATCTGGGCCATATCCTAAATAGGAAAGAGGCTCTGGGCCGCACCTCAGGTTCTGCTTTGGAAGAGTCACTGCCTGCATGAGCTCCACACATCATTCTGGAAGAAACGTTTCTCCTAACAGGACAACCTGCTCTCGGCTGCTGGGCAAGAGCTGGCAGGGGGCTTTATTTGCTTCCACCTGACTCCTGGAGAGGCATCGGCGGGTGCAGAGGATACTAAGAGGCAGGGTCTTCCCAGGGCCTCAGCAGGCAGCTCCTCTTCCTCCTCCCTGCAGTGGTGGCAAAGCCCCCCTGTACTCGGCACAGCAGCTGCTGAAGACACTTCAGGGCTCCGCGCCGCTGAGAAGGGTGTCGCGTAGGAAATCAGGATGTCAAGGGCCTCTTCTGCCTCTTTCTGGCCTGTCCTCCCACTTCTTTTTCCTTTCCTTCTTTATGAGCTTGGGAAAGTTTGAATGGAATCCGAGTCTGACAAGGACTGAAAGAAAGGTGCTGTGTACACAGACTGATTCCCATCCTGTTTCCCATGTCTGTAAGTAGGATGGCTGCAGGGGTTCATTCATCCAATCACTGATTCAACAAATGTTTCTTCACCACCTGCTTCCAGCCAGACACCCTGCAGGCGCTCAGGCACACCAGTGACACAGCAGACAAGATCTGTGCCCTGGGGCAGCCCACATTCTGATAGCCTATGGGTGTCACCCATCTGCTAAGAGAGGCTGATGACCTCAGGGAGATAAAAGGGGCCGACCGTGACCACCTTCCGGCGTCACCTTCCCGCAAGAATGGCGCTGATTGAAATGACTCATCCATTTGAGAAGTGTGCTCCTGCCATTTTGGAATTCAGAGATTCTCCTTAAGTAGTCCCTCTCATTCCTACTGTTTTTACCAGGCGGTACTGGGTATTTTCGCTGTGACTCTGAAGAAAGATCAACTAACATCATTTTAGCTTGGTTATTTCTCTTATTTACGTTTTTGTAGGAATAGGGTCTCGCTATGTTGCCCAGGCTGGTCTTGAACTCCTGGGCTCAAACGATCCTCCCAGCTCGGCCTCCCAAGTAGCTGAGATTATAGGCGTGAGCCACCACACCCAGCCCAGCTAACGTCATTTCAGCTACCTTCCCCATATGTCCTCCCAAAGCCTTCCCTGCCCCGATCTTCTTGAACTAAAGGAAGCACCAAGCCATGAACCCATTCTGAACCGCAACGTCTCAGGGGAGATGTAAGGAAGAGAAATGTGAAGAAACGGCCAGGTTGGCAGCATGAGCCTAAGTTTCCAGATCTGCAGCAAAATCGGTCACAGTGACGTTCGTGCTGCCTGATCCACAGTTCTCAGAAACTCACAAAATCACCCTGGGAAACTGGGGTGCCCTCTTTGCACAGAGTCCAGATCATGGACAGGGCTGTAAGCGGGATCCATGCCTCCATCTGTTTGATCCCGTTCAAGTTGGAAACAGTACAGTCCCTATGTTCTCCCACACGTCCTCACATACTGGGAAACGGGGATGACACCACGTGAAGTGTGGCTGTTCCGAAACATTCGGAACCATGTCTGGCCCAGACATTTTCCAGTTTAGGGCCAGGCCTATGGAATGTATGAAGCTGCAGAGGGACCCCACTGCCTTGATCTGGGCTGGTCAAAATACAGTGAAGAATCAGCTTGGATACTGGTTCACTCCTATCTTGCTTTGAGCTAAAGTTCCCACAGGAGATCCCATTGGCAACATGGCTACCATCCTGACTTAGAAACCTAAAGTAGTGGGATGGGTCACTACCTGCCTCGGGGACTTCACCACTCCTCTGGTCAAGCTGCACATCAACTGGTATCTGCGGGAGAAGGGCTCTAGCCTATTTTTAGGAGAAGTCACCCCTGGGTAGGAAAGATTCAGAGGGCTTATTAAAGGGCCCTACAGTGTACAAAAGGTCTTCCTGCACTTATTCTCAGGCACCTGGTGCCATCAACTTGGGCTTTTCTCCTCTGCTGCCCCATTCACTAGCCTTAGAGGCTGCTTGATGGGGCTCACATTTTTATACCGTTGACAGCTATGTTCTCATTCCAGGAGGGCAAGCCCCAGAGCCATGTGTGGAAAGGAAGTTTCTAAGCCACTGCTATGTCAGGGTGGTTTCTATCCCCACACGCTGCCCTCCAACAAACTTCTTCTGTGGCTTCCTACTGGCAGGGAGAGTGTGTTCACAAGAGTTTTCCAAGATCACATGATATGAGGTATTTCTTGCTTGTGAAGCAGGCGATGAGGGATAAGCAGCAGTGTTTGTTGAGCGACTACCTGTGCCGGGCACGACGACAGGCAGGCTCTACACACGGCCTTAAACATCACAAATCCCACAAGTCCCTGTGATTACATTGAGGGCTCTGAGTCAGTGATGTTGAATAACATGTCCAAAGACTCACATGAGCCAGAGCTAAGGATAACCCTAGTCTCTAAGAGTCCTTCCAATCAATCATGCAGGAAAGAATTTGTTTTTGACACAGGGTCTCACTCTATTGTCCCAGCTACAGTGCACCGGTGCAATCATGGCTCAATGCAGACTCAAAATCTTGGGCTCAGGTGGTCCTCCCGTCTCAGCCTCCTGAGTAGCTGAGACTACAGGTGTGCGCCATCACGCCTGGCTAATTTTTGAATTTTTTTTAGAAACGGGGTCTTGCTATGTTGCCCAGGCTGGTCTCAAACTCCTGGCCTCAAGTGATCCTCCTGCCCTGACTTCCCAAAGTGTTGGGATTATAGGCATCAGCCACTGTGCCTGGCCCAGAATGGAATGTGTGTGTGTGTGTGTGTGTGTGTGTGTGTGTGTGTGTGTGTATTTTTTTTTTTTTTTTTTTTTTTTGAGATGGAGTCTCACCCTGTCACCCAAGCTGGAGTGCAGTGGTGCAACCTCGGCTCACTGCAACCTCCATCTACCAGGTACAAGCAATTCTCCTTCCTCAGCCACCCAAGTAGCTGGGATTACAGGTGTGCGCCATCAGGCTGGATAATTTTTATATTTTTAGTACAGACGGGTTTCACTATGTTGGCCAGGCTGGTCTCGAACTCCTGACCTCGTGATCCGCCCGCCTTAGCCTCCCAAAGTGCTGGGATTACAGATGTGAGCCACCGCGCCCAGTCCCAGGATGGAATTTTTAACTGCCTGCTACACATGAACTATTCTTCATTTGGGGTAACTTTACTTGTATGTCGGGGCACTGAGAATAGTGGGAAAGCAGGTGACATGGGCTCACTGGGAAATTCAGTTGCTTTGAAGATACTTATCAGAAGAATTGGGAAATTCTGAGTTAAATACAATATGCTAGAGAGGCCAAAGAGGAAAAAACCCAATAGGGAACAAACCAGTTCTGTACCAGGGAAAACCACCCAAATGGGAGGGGGGCCACCCCTCAGACCCAAACACTGTTTCCCAAGCATGCCGAGGACACCCCTGCAGTGAGGACACCGCTAGGGGGGACAAGAGCTCCCCATCACCGCAGTCCTTTGCTCTCACTCTGTGTGACCCTGTGGAACTTTTGCTTTTGAATTAGTTTTTTTTTTTTTTTTTTTTTTTTTTTTGAGATGGAGTCTCACTCTGTTACCCAGGCTGGAGTGCAGTGGTGCGATCTTGGCTCACTGCAAACCTCTGCCTCCTGGATTCAAGTGATTCTCCTGCCTCAGCCTCCTGAGTAGCTGGGATTACAGGCGCCTGCCATCATGCCCGGCTAATTTTTGTATTTTTAGTAGAGATGAGGTTTTACCATGTTGGTCAGGATGGTCTCGATCTCCTGACCTCAGGTGATCTATCTGCCTTGGCCTCTCAAAGTGCAGGGATTACAGGTATGAGCCACCGTGCCTGGCCGAGTTAGTTTTTTACTGTCAGGTTATTTTTACTGTTATGATTACATCATCTCCCAAGGTGCCTTTTTGGCAAATGGAAATCCTGGTACACATCAATGTATCTGGTCAAGGCAAAGAGGTTTCTTTTAAGCTACAAGCCCGACTCTCCAGTAACATACAACTCACCAGTGTGTCATGCGGCTCTCCTGAAAACGTATTTTTCACGTGTTATACCATCTCACAGGTAAACCTTGACTTGATTTGTATCAACTGGCCAGGCCATCCTTCCTGATGGCTGCTTCTTGGCGTTGGGAGGCTGTGGACATGTCTAAAGCACTGGAATTCAGCTGGGTCTCCTCTTAAATTGCACGAGTGCTGCGCTCTAGCTGTCTACCTTCATTACCTGCCCACCTGGATGTAGCTGGGTAAGATCTCAGAAAGGGTAGCGGTTATGCGCTGGGATTTGAAATATTTTAACTCTTTGGTTCAAATACGTGGCTCGTGAACCGGGAGGTTCCATACAGTTACATAACAAGTAATCTGTCAAGTCAATAGTTGCAGGGCTGATCTCTCAAATCCTAAGGGGCAGGTGAAGACAGGAAGGATGGCTTCCCCCCTACTTCTGCCGTCGTTACCCGATCCTGCTTCCGGCTCCACTTGACACCCTTGAAGGGCTTTTATACACGTCTTTATTAGGGCATCTCTCCCCTTCTGTTCAGGTCTGAATGGACTTTAAAACCAGAGGCTCTGCTGGGGAGAGGGATTATTCTCATCATCTTTGTGTTCCTGAAGCCATCAGTGCATCAGGGTAGGCAGTCAATAAAGTGTTTTGAATAAATGATCAGGATAAAGAGTTCTAATCCTCTGTCTGAGCTTCGCTCCACTATAATGTTGAGCATATTCTGGCCTTGGTTTCCTGATCTTAACACAGAGACTTCATGACCACCATGCCTGTCAGGTAGCTTGGTGCTACGCAGTTCCCCAAGAACAAATGGGAACGGCCGCCTCATGAAAAGGGCAAGTCTACCAAGACGGCAAGAGTTCTCACAGCACTCAGGAGAGAAATTCTGACGAAGACGCCAATGGCACAGAGGACATCAAAGTTCTGAAAAGAGACTACCTCGAATGGCTCGATGTCCTGACACAAGCACTTCACTTCACGGTAGAGAGGAGTTTGGTTCCGGGAAGCAGCTTGCTCACCAGAAAGGGGCCCAGTGTTGACACGTGGCGGGTGAAGGGCAGAGGAGGACATGGGTCAGCACGAGCAAGTCCAGGCTGACGTGCTTTCCCCAAGACTCCAGGCTCTATTCCAACCCTCCTGTCCTCCAGAGCAGAGTGCCCCTGACACTCTCAGTCCGGAATGCATCCAAAGCCAGCTCTGATGTGACCCTCCTGTGAGCAGCCACACAGCCTCAGGCAGGCTCGGTCTACATCGCAGGATCCACAGAGACAAACCCACGTTCCAACAAAAGGCTTCTCTTAAATAGGTTCAGATGCCTTTCTTTTAAAGACACAAAATCACATATACATACTCCCTTGGCTAGCTGCAGATGTGTTTTTGGAAAGAAACTAAAGTTGCCTGCCGCAGTGCCCATGACTACCCTGTAAAACGTCAATCACAGTCACACTTCTGTTTTCACCTGTCAGAGGGCCACTGAGGCTGGCCTGGAAGAGAAACATCGATCACAGTCACACTTCTGTTTTCACCTGTCAGAGGGCCACTGAGGCTGGCCTGGAAGAGAATCATTAGTGTCTCGGAATGGAGAGGCTCTAAACAAGCAGACAGACACTAAGAACAAAGGCTGATGGTGCAGGAGCGCACAGCCCAGGCTCGGGGCACCCTTTCTACAGCATCAGCAGCAGCTGAGCAGCTGCGGGTCTATCATCACCCATAAAACACCCATTGGTGCACTGATTCCAAGAGGAAATCAGGTACCCTCCTTTCCTCCAAAGGGGCCACCTGAGGCTCCTGGGTCTAACCAGCAACCCCAGACAGGCCCTGGGACCACGCATAAACCCTTGCTCTGCCTAAGAGAAAGCTACCTGGCTCCTACTCACATTTCCGACTTTCAGGTTAGGAGTTGAAAATTTAGCTTAATGAAGGCCGGGGCTTGGTGGCTCATGCCTGTCATCCCAGCACTTTGGGAGGCTGAGGCGGGAGGATCACCTGAGGTCAGGAGTTCAAGACCAGCCTAGCTGACATGGTGAAACCCAGTTTCTACTAAAAATATAAAAATTAGCCGGGCGTGGTGGTATGTGACTGTAATCCCAGCTACTCAGGAGACTGGGGCAGGAGAATCGCTTGAACCTGGGAGATGGAGGCTGCAGTGAGCCAAGATCGCACTGCTGCACTCCACCCTAGGTGACAGAGCGAGACTCCATCTCAAAAAAAAAAAAAAAGGAATATTTAGCTTAATGTAAATCCTGTGTAGGACTGTTTGTGCTTTTGTTACTATAGTGAAGAGCCCCTAGGGTGTCATAGAATCAGTAGGTGACTTCACATCCCATTCACGCAGGCTGAGGGAAAAAGCAATGCCAAATTTAGCCAAGCAGCCATGGAGATTTAACCGTGCTTCACAACAGCTGGCACGCAACGAAGGTCCACTCCCCCAGCCCACTCTGCTGCAGCCTGGAGACAGCCAAGCTCTCACCTCTTCTGCTTCCCCCAGCTTCTGTTGGCTGAAGATATATCTCAACGGGCCACCTTGTCCTAACCCCACAGCAGGCACAGGCCAGAGAGGGAGGCCCGTACACAGCCAGTAGAAATGATTCTAATTCACCCTCACTCTAATTCTTCCAGAATTTCCTGGAATCCTTGCCAATGACAATCACATTTGATATTCTTGTAATGCTTTTAAATAAACAAGTTTCATACATCTTAACTTATGCGCTCTTCACAACAACTTTAGCAGACAGAGGAGCAGGTAGCATTTTTCTTCATTTAAAAATTTTACACATGGTGAAACTGAGGCTCACAGAGGTTATGACAGCAAGCATGACAGGTGGCAGAACTGAAACTCAAATTCACATCTTCTGTTTCAAGATCTGTGCTGGTTCCATTGAGACCCAGCTCCACTCTCTGAGGCTGGGGCCACCACCAAAGGGTGTGCACATCCACTGGGGTACAGAAACAACACAGGATCTCTGCTTTTATTTTGCAGGTCTGCCTTCTAAAATGATCTGCACCCGCCCGTCCTATGGCATGCAGTCTTCGTACAGGGTCCCGACGTGTGAGAAAGCACAGCCACTAGGAAGTGTGTTCACGGTTTTGTGGGGGCTGACAGGTCTGGAGGCCTGGGCTGGGAGCTGGCAACACTGTTCAGGATCACTTTTCTGATTCTCACCATCCTCTATCCTGATGGCCTCCTCTACCCCACGCCCACTTCTCCCACAATATAACTGAGGCTGACAGCATGTCAATGTCATGTCCTTTCTTCTAACCTTAGTCTAGATCCGTGATTCTCAACTGGGGTGATTTTTCCCCTGGGTCACTTGGCAATGTCTGGAGACATTTTCTGTTGACACAGCTTGGGGAGGGGGGTGCTACTGATGTCTGATGGGGAGAGGCCAGGGACACACCCGACACACCACAAGGCACAGGAAGCCCTCACAGCAAAGCAGGATCCAGCCCAAAACGTCCACAGTGCTGGGCTGGAGAAGCCCTGGCTTAGAAGTTATATCAAGTTATTTCTAATCTCTTACCAAACAGGCCGACCAACCAACTCTCCACAAGGTCTGACGTGGTAAGCTCACGACCCTTCACCGTGGCTGCCAAGGTGCAATGCCTGACCAGCAGGAGTGCAGTACATGGAGGACCAACCGAGAACTGCCTGGTGAACAGGTAGCTCTGGGCTTGCCGTCCACAGACAGGAAATCCATGAGAGAGGTGCATGCTGTGACAAACTTGGTCACTGCCACTCGCTGAGCACCTGCACCCCAAGTAGCTGCATGAGCCGCCTGAACTTTCCCTTGTCTCATGACGCGACTCTACTGATGGAAGGTGATTCTGCTCCTCCTGGCAATGCCCCTGGAGGGCACCTGCACATCCCCTACCCCTCCGTCCATGTTTGTCATGTGCATGAGGCCGCAGGAATTAAAGGAGACCACCAGAGATGAATCTGATGGGCTTCTCGCCTTTCACTCACTTTCTCCTGGCTGGATGCTAGAAGCCTCTGACAGACGGGACGTTCCACTTGGATATTACAGCAGGACGTCTCACTAAACCCAGGAAGAAAACTGACGGGAGAACATGGCATGGAAAAACACACCTACCTTTGTGCTGTGTTCTCAACTCCTCTTTTTCCCCATTTTCCAGAAACCTCCAACCTGAGAGCTCTGAGTGCCCCTGCCACAGTGTGCCTTGCCGAGGTCAGGCCAGGCCGTGCCACACATGCCCAGGAGGCTTCCTGAAAACCTCTCTATGCCGAACCATGTTGCAGCTGGCAGGCACAACCAGGACTTCCCATGCACACTTAGCCCAAAGACTTACGAGTCAATCACTTTACGTGTGAGTTCAGTACAGAGTGGCCCAAGCCTGAGTAGATCAGAATGTCCATATTCAGCACAAAAAGAGGTACAAAATCATCCCTTCCTTCCCCTATCCCTAACCCTACAGAGGCCCAGGGCAGGCAATGTCTTAAGAGGACTGTGAATGGCAGCTGTGAAGCTGTAACACAATGGAAGTGTCAGCTCCACCTTCACTCAGGCCTTTGAAACGTATCAGAAAATGAGGTGGTAGAGGAAAAGCCAACAGATTTATAAGCTAGAAGCAGTTACACCAGAACTCAAAGAAAAAACATCCCCCAAGCATGTTCCCCAATCCTCCACATCACTGGCAGGGCGGACGGATGGAGGAAGGGCTTACTCTTCATAACAAAACCTCAGGCTGGATTCGAGAGGACCAAAACGAAGGATGATATAGAGAAAATGAAGAGAAAGTCCATTTCATATTATTTACAGTCAATTCGGATGGTTGTCATTCTCTTCCTCCATTTCTTTAATGACTTCCCCCATTGCACCTCAGTGATGAAATCCTTTGCCTTTATTTAATGTGCTGTCTTTCCAGAGGCACATTCCCAACTCTGGGATGGTTGTCAAATTGGGAGACCTGTATTTTCCAGGAATAATGAAATGGAAACTCACTGGCTTCTCCAGGGCATCTACACATAGGGTTCTTGCCTCTCGCCCACGCTGCCGAGCCCAGGCTGCAGAGAATGATGAAGGGCAGCTCCTGTGTCCTCTGCACAGCCTCTGCCCAACTCTGAGTTTATTGGTTACGTGGCCTTGGCCAAGCCTGCCTAACTCCTATGTGCCTGTTTCCCCATGTGCAACATGGGGCCTGCCTCCCTTATGGCTGCTGTGAGGATCCAAGGTCAGCTACACAAAGCATCTGCTCAGGGCCTGTGCACAGTGCGTGCTACATGTTAGCGACCGCTGCTGCCGCTACTGTGTGTCTCCCAGCATCGTCTTCTGTGAGTGAGTATGGCAAGGGCCCCCAGGGCTAACTGATCAACATCAGTCACATGTGGGGAAAACAGCAGGAGTGACGGCACTGCAAGCTTTACTGTCAATTTTTATTTGGGGAAAGTATTTTGGCAGAGAAGAGGGCTTTCTTGGTTGCAAACACAGACAAGCCCTAAGCATGGTCTTTTGAGCAGCATGAAGGATTGCTGCTGGCTCTCGGCAACACAGCAAGCCAGTGCGGACTCTTACCTCCCTGGCCCTTCATTCTCCTCTCTAAGCACCCAGTGCTTCCTGTTTCTCTGAGATCGCAGAGCCCTCTTCCCTGCACCCTCCACCCCAGCGTTCCCGTGCCTCTACCAACGCCAATGCCCCAAGAAGGCTGAACTGGCCAAAAGGAAGGCAGCAGCTGGTTCAGAGTAATTCACGTTAGATGAAACTCTAGAAGAAAATGTTTACTTTTTTTTTTTTTTTTTTTTTTTTGAGACGGAGTCTCGCTCTGTCGCCCAGGCCGGACTGCGGACTGCAGTGGCGCAATCTCGGCTCACTGCAAGCTCCGCTTCCCAGGTTCACGCCATTCTCCTGCCTCAGCCTCCCGAGTAGCTGGGACTACAGGCGCCCGCCACCGCGCCCAGCTAATTTTTTGTATTTTTAGTAGAGACGGGGTTTCACCTTGTTAGCCAGGATGGTCTCGATCTCCTGAACTCATGATCCACCCGCCTCGGCCTCCCAAAGTGCTGGGATTACAGGCGTGAGCCACCGCGCCCGGCCGAAAATGTTTACTTTTAAAAGAACCTACTGACCTAGTCTCTCGGTAGTAAAATGATAGGAAAGAAATTTTATAGCTGGTCTCACTGTAACCTGGTCTTTTTAGAGTCTTAGTTCTGGGGAACAGGGCAACAATAAATAAATTGCTGCCATAATCCTGTTAATCGATACCAGCTCTTCCTTGGTCACCAGGTTGTACTTTGTCCATGAAAACTACTCTGGCAGGAGTCCCCACCCCCTGCGCTGTGGCCCGGGCTGGGTCATAGACCCACCGCCTGTCAGGAACCAGGCCGCATAGCAGGAGGGGAGTGGCTGGCTAGTGAGTGTCACAGCCTGAGCTCCGCCTCCTGTCAGATCAGCGGTGGCGGCACGAGATTCTCCCAGGAGCGGGAACCTATTGTGAAGTGAGCATGTGAGGGACCCACGCCGCATGCTCCTTATGAGAATCCAACTAAGGCCTGATGATCTGAGGTGGAAGAGTTTCATCCCAAAACCACTGCCCACCCCAGTCTGTGAAAAAACTGTCTTCCACGAAACCAGACCCTGGTGCCAGCAAGGTTGGGGAACACGGCCTGCGGCGTGGCTCTTCTCCCGCAGGTGCAGGAGAGTTGATCACAGAACACAGAATAAGGAAATCAGTCACTTAACAGTCACACCTGGGCAGTCTCATGTGATTAATGTAGAAGCACAAAGAGCTGGGTAAGTACAGAAAGAAATAGAGATAAAGAAAACACAAGAGGCCAAGAGAAGTTCTGTAAGGATTTTTCTAGTAGCTGTCCCAGCATGGCCCCAAGAGTCTGCAGCAAGGCGGAGCTGGGGCCCTAGATTCCCTGTCTGTGGAAGGGTGTTCCAAAACTTCCTTTCATGCCAGCAAGGGCCTTCTGAGGGGCGTGTGCCTTCTTCCCGTTTTAGGCACATTCTGCCTATGCACGGCATACTTCTTATTGCTGGGAGGAAAAGCACATCAGTGACAAGGTTGGGCTTAGCTAGCCTGAGTTAGGGTGAAGATGCTGGCAGTGATTCAACCTCTTGCCCACTGTCCTTCTTGGAGACCCATTAAAGGGCCCCCAAAATATTCAGAAAGTGTTCATAAACTGCTTTTGCAAAGTGATGTGGAAGTTGGCCCACAGGAAGTAAAATGGAGCTGGTGTTCACGTGGCTGGTAGAACCCGGAAGTAATTGATGGAGAGTCCCATCCACCTGGAGGCCCGCATCCCCTCCCGGGCAATGAAACGTGTTTCTGCGTACAAGCCTACCACCCCCTCCCGCCAAGGTAAGCGGTGAGGAGACAAGGAGCAATTATAAAGAAAGAGGTGTTGGCAGCCAACAGGGTGCTGAGAATTCCGGGCGGTGGTGAGAGGAGCCCACAGTGCCATGACCTGACCTGGGCAGGAGTGCCAATGGGCCTCACCACCCCTTGTTTCATTATGACTAATCTACTTGCTGGCACTTGTGAGGCGCTTGGCTGGGTGAGCTGCAAGGTAAGGGCTGGTTTTTGAGTCTAAAGGAGGTTTCAGGGCTTCGTGAAAGGGGCTGGAATTCGGAAAGACTTCTCCTGAAATCTCTGCCTGGCTGCTGCCGTTCAGAGCTCCACATGGGTGTTTTTATCTCGGGGAGCACTTGTGGGACCGGGTCCTATACGGCATCATCCTGCCCTATTTTTTAGCATGAAAATAAGAGTGGCCCATTTTCACAGCCGCTCTCCTTCCATGTGTGTGCCACGGCCTCCCTCTTAGGCAGTGTGTTAATTAGGGAAACTGACAGGGAATTTATGAGAAAAAAGAACAGATTTCAAGAAGTTTCAGAAGGAAACTGAGATCCAAAAGGGATTTTCTGGGGTGTTCCCAATGGGCAGCACAGAATCACGTTGGGTGTCCCCACCTTCCTGCTGGAAGCCTCAGGCATCGCTGTGAACAGCAGTGGTCCCCTCCCCTTTATTACTGGGGGATGGGCAGGCAACAGCAGCCAGGGGCTGAGATTTGAAAATTATGCACACGTATGTATCCATCCTTATTACTGACGCTTAGTTAATTTGTCACTTATTGCGCCCCCCACATCCCAATTCCTTCTCTCCCTTCTGCAGGCACTAGGATACTGACTGACTTATTTCAGAGAAAGGGGAGCCAGAGGCTACAGACCTGGGGGGCTGAGGGGAGGAAGGACATGAGCAGGCCAGGAGACACCGCCCAGACTCTCAGAACCATCGAGGCTCTGAGGAAAATGACGGTGTCACAGCAGAGCTGTGAGCTACTGGGGGGTGAGGCCCTCCCTAACCTGGACTGTGGTTGTCGAGAATGCCAAGCAGACCCCAGGGACCTGCTGCTCTGATCTATGGGGAAGCCAAGACCTCTTCACGTTCCAAGAGAGCTGCTTCAGGGGGACGGAGGCCAGAGAGGGCTCTTTCATGTGAGAACACCCAAGTGCCTAGGGCCCGGCAGGTGCAGACTCGGGGCTGAGTGCTTTGCCCACTACAGCACAGTGCCCTCTCTTGGGCCAATTCAGCATGAGGCTAGGCCTGTGCCCACTGCAGCTGACAAAATGCGGGAACAGTGCCACGGCTGCTAATGCCAGCAGCGGTGTGTGTGAGAAGGGAATAGTCTGTTTTTAATGCAGGCTAGTCCCTCCAGGCTGGAGAAGGGCCAAAAAGAATCAGATATCCCAGCTTAGCGTCCAGGTCACACCAAAGACAGCATGAGAGAGAAATCAGCTCAGGAAGAAAGAGCAAGAACTTTCAACCTTACCAGGAGCAAGGCTGTTGTGCCTGCGGGCACGCCTGGCAGAGCCTCCAGGCGGAAGACAGACACGCCCCTGGCCCCAGCTCCCTGCCACAGTTGGAGGGAGGAAGAAGGTGCCTGGCTCTATGTCCCTATGGTTGACCAGGCTCTGTGTGGCATTTCTACCCCTCCATCCGCCCAGCCTGCGGGCCCTCCTGCTGGTGGACTGCACCTGAGGCCCATGGGCACAGGTGGCATCCTTCTTGCTTTTCTCCACTTGCAGCTGCTGCAAAGCAAAACTTCGCACCACTCCAGCCCCTACACAGGAGTCCTCTGTTAACGGGAAGCTATGTCAGGTATAAAAACCTATTTCCCCCACTTTGCACCTCTGCTGTCTTGCTGACCCCCCGGAGTGGGAGTCCTGAGCCACAGTGGCCTCAAGCTCACTCCCAAGACCTGCCTGAGCCTCCCCCTTTCCCACCCTCTGGTCAAGAGAAAGGGAAGGAAAAGAAAAACTCAGAAATCCGAAGATTGTTTGGAATTTATTCTCTTAAATAAGAATGTAACATTTGTTAAAAAAAAAATTAAAAGCACGACAACTTGGTTTCACAGTCAACGGCAAAAACAAAGTTACACAATTAAATAAAAACTCACAAAGAAACACACCAAGAACTCACAAGAGCACAAGTTAAAAACAAAGGCAAAAATGGAAGTGGAGAGAAGGCGGGCAGTAGACAGGCAGCAGTGGCGTGTTCCTTGGCACAGCTAATCCTCTCCTGTTGGGCTCTCGTACCGCCGCCGGGAAGCCGGCTGGCTGTCCGCCCCTCCCGCAGGCACCCCAAGCTGAATGGCTCGGGAGAAAAGTGAACCCCTTGGTGCCCTGCTCGGACCTTAAAGGCTATGGTGGAACTCCTTTTGGGACAGCCTAGGAATGTTCCAGTGTCTTGCAGAAAAGAGCTGAAGATGCACTAACCACCAAAAGATAGGAGTGGGCTCAAACGGCTAACTCAGTGGAGCCAGACAGGAGACATGTGAGGCGGGTGCCCGGCTCTCCGTGGTGTCCTGGCAGCAGCAGCCCCCTGCGTTCCTAGTCTGCTCTTGGGGCCCTTTCTTGGGGGTGTGCTGCCCATTTTCTGAGACACCCACCCACTCACCTCCTTACAGGCGTGCTGCCCGTACGCTGCTGTGCATCCCCAAAGCCCTGACCTGGAGTACGGCTCCCCAGTGTGAGGCTCCCGTGGTTCTCAGAACCAGGAACAAGCAGCTTTAGAAACAGCTTCACAATTATTATAATTACTATAATTTAGGGTGCAACATATAAATAAATATCTACCCATATATGTGCAATTAGATCTATATACATACAAACGTGTACCTATATATAAACATTCACACATCACCGTCAGCTATGGCTCTTGGGGTAAGGTGGGAGGTAAGCTGGATTGTAGAATTCTCTTGCTCCACTAAAAAGCTTTCCATAAATGCCTAGAAGGGAAGGGGACGTGGGAAGCAGTAAGACTTCCGAACTTCCCTCTGTCAGGTGGGAACCCTAGGGTTGAATGAAATTCTACTGCCTGGCTACCCTTCTAGCTGGTGTGGGAAAGGCCTGCATTTCCTAAAGGCCCATTCAGGATCCGAACTATGGAACCTCATGGTTATCGGGCAAGGAATGTCTGGGGACAGGGGTCAGGCAACTGCCACTTGTGACCTTCATTTTTTAACTTCAGATCATCTTTTCCATAAGATGACAGGAAACTAACGTGCTTCTCCCCGTCCATCTCTGGCCGGTAATGAACCCGGTGATGAGCACTCGGGGAAAAAGCTCTTCTGTTCCTTTCCGGCTATGCCTTCGGCTTCCCTACTTCATTTTTGGTCATCAACCGTATCAGATAAAAAGAGGATTCCTCTGGACAAAAACGAATTCAAGAAACCTGTAACTAAACTTCTCATGTCCAAGGGGAAAATAATCCCTTTTGGGGATTTCCTTTCTCTGCCTATTGTTCAAGCTTTTTCTAAAGTCATGGTGGACAGTACAAGGCCAGGGTAAGAAAATCTGTGCCAGGACCACTAACACGCAGTAGTAAGTATAAGCTTGGAAACACAGCATTCATAGATTTAAGAACAAAAAAGAGGATTTCTATATTAAAAGCACATTACAAACAGAAATACTGTAAACAATGCCCCCAAACACTAAATTAGGCAGCAGGTACAGATTTGGTTACCAGAGAAAGACAATACTTTAAAGCCGACCTAGAGTGGTTCTTTGAACTGCAGGTTGTAATTGGGTGTGGGTGTGTTTTTTTGTTTTTGTTTTGGCAACAGCAAGAATTTTGGCATAAAAAGAAAAAGAACATAAAGGAGAAGAGAGAAATGCCACAATATAAAGAGGAGGCACAGAGTAAAAGCACAGCTGGGTCAAACACTGCCCAGTCATAGCTTTACCAGCCCTGCCTCCTGGGACGTGGGTCTAGGGAGGATGGCTGAGTTACACACAAGAGAATCAAGTGCCGTCATCATCGCCTCTACTGGTCGAGTGCACAGTAGAGGCGGTTACCATGGGCCTGAGCTAATGACTGTTCTCTACAACATACATTCTGGGACCCTGAAACACCTGAGCTTTCCCTTTTCTTCTTTTTTTTTTTTAGATGGAGTCTTGCTCTGTCATCAGGCTGGAGTGCAGTGGTGTGATCTCGACTTACTGCAACCTCTGCCTCCTGGGTTCACGCCATTCTCCTGCCTCAGCCTCCCGAGTAGCTGGGACTACAGGCATCCGCCACCACACCACACCCGGCTAATTTTTTTGTATTTTTAGTAGAGACGGGGTTTCACTGTGTTAGCCAGGATGGTCTCGATCTCCTGACCTCGTGATCTGCCCGCCTCGGCCTCCCAAAGTGCTGGGATTACAGGCATGAGCCATCGTGCCTGGCCACACCTGAGCTTTTCTGAAACTTTTCAAAAGGAAGTCTAGTTAAGTCCTCAAAGCTTCAGTTTCATATTTAAAGAAGGAAATCTCTATCAAAGGAGAAAAGGGTATCTATTTCATGCCAGCCATAAAATACTGCCCATAATCCTGTTCCTTTTCTACCAAGGCTAGCAGCAGAGTGAGCTCACCGGGAGGCAAGGTGCCCTGATTCTGAGCTGCCGGACTAAGATGTTCTGGACTCTGAGCTGCCGGAGGGTAAGCCCCTCAGCCCTGAGCTCACTGGCCTTTGCCACCCAAGCTGGGGGACAGTGCCTGTCATTAACTGTAAAGGTCCACACTGTGATTCCTTTGGGACACCACATTTTGAACTCCCGTGCTATACCAAGTCACCTTCTGGCTCAGAATCAAGAACCACGCGGACAGAGACGTCCTCAGGGCTCTGACTCTTTCTTGGTGGTTTTGCTCTTTAACCACACTGCCAACCCTCATCCTCTCTCCCCACTATGTAGAACATTCTTCCTCTTATTCTCTATGGAAAGCGTAATTCTTTAGAACTCCTAAAAACCTGAAACCCATTATACTTTCAATTAGATGGCAAGAATGGCAACCTCGACCAGATGGGAAAGTCAGCAAACCTGGCGTCATTCAGGAATAACCTAAACTTCACTGTGTTTAATTCTTTTTAAAAAATGTTCTGTACTCCAAACCGAAATGGAAAGTTTAGTTTCTTTTGAGTTGTTCTACTGAGTAGTCAGGTTCCTCAGAAAATCCATCTCTGATGAAATAGGGCCCAGACTAATAAGGTGGTGCTCTCTCCAACTGAATGTACATTCTATAGCATAAAGCCAAAGTCTCTGTCTAGACCCCTTTGGTTATTTTTCTCTACCAGTGATTCTGCCCATGCTCTGAGAGTGTCAGCTGCAAAGGCCTGTGGGTACTTCACGAGAAAGATGGATTATAAAGATCTTCAAGATTGTAGAAGGTTTAAAAGTCATTAATGGTTGAAACATGGCTATAAAATGTTGGTCCCACCTGCAGGGTACTTAAAAAACTTGCTCAGATGATAATAAGGGCACGTGCAGTAGCAGAAGCTGCGTTCACCTGGCTTGGCTGGGTTCTCATGGCTCCCAGGGCACACCGCCTAGCCTCTGGGCGCATCTTCCCTCTCCCAGAATGAGCACCACAAGGCCTACATGAACCAGCTGTTAGGGAAGGGAAAGGATGCAACTCTGGGAACCTCTCGTTGAAGGCCAAATGGGTAATTCTCTTGTCCCACCATGGAAATTCTATGACCAACTCCTCCTCCACATTTCCTGGCACTGGCTGACCATCTTTAATTTTTATGAGTTTTGTATATAGCTGCTTGAGATACATGTGTTTTGAACAAGAGGAAAGTGTGACAGACAGAAACACAGCCCTGCTGGCCCCCTCTTGCCACAGTGACCCTGGGCCGTGAACCACCTGGAGCTGTATGTGGGACATTCAGAACACCCAGCAGTTTGTGGAGCTCTGGACGCATCTCACAGGCAAGTTTTACAAGTTGCTGAGAGAGGCCATTTTAAGGAAAATCTACATAATTCTTCCCAACAGGCCTGGTACCCACAAACCCTGCGAGTCCTGTCATGCTATGACAAGAATAAATGTGTTTGTAGAGGTAGAGATGGTACTGTTCACCTCCCAACACAAGGAAGTGGTCATGAAAGTGGGACAGGTGAGGGCTTGGACCTCATGACAAGCCCAGTGGCCAAGGGGTCAGGACAGGGCATGTCCCATCACGGTGCAGGGCAGACAGGAGAGCAGCCACAGCTCATCCACACACAGTGACAGGGAACAGGACGCAGAATCTTAAGTGAAGGTGAACCCAAAACAAGACCACGGGGCTTAATCAACACAGCTCCAGGCCGTCAGAGGAGCTTGGAAGCAAACTGCATGAAGGCCGAGTGGCCTTGGCCTCACCAGGGCGGGTGATGGGAGCAGTGTCTGAGCGCCTGCGAGCTCCTGTCTACCTACACAGGACCTGGGCCGCCCTCAGGTGTGATGGTGCGGGACGGGGCTGAGGGACAGCACTTCACGGCTCTGCCGCCCACCGGACGGCCCCATCACTGGGCCACAGCCTGCCAGTGGAACTCCCCTCTGATTTGCACCAGCACCTCCGACAGGCCATAGAGAAAGGGGACTCCGAACGCAAGCAGCTGGCACATGAAAAAGGAGTCCAGAGGGTTTTGGGCCACTTGTTGCCCGAATGAAGAAATGTTGCTTTGGAGGTGCTGGCTCATGCCCTTGGCCTTGTCACAGAGGCCGAGGGAGTGACGCGCCACCCAGCCAAACAAGGAAGTGAGGCTACCTGGGGTTCTCTCAGTGGAGCTGGCCACGGCGTTGGCCCGTCCGTTTGCATCTGTGGTGGCGCCATCCTGCAGGGGTCCTTTGGCCTCCTAGGAAAGTTCATGAGAAAAAGAAGAGTGACTCTGACTGATGCACTCAAATCCTCAAATCCCTAGAGGCACTGACAATCTGACACGCTGGTTTTAAATTTTATTTATTTATTTATTTATTTATTTATTTATTTATTTATTTAAGAGACAGGGCCTTGCTGGCACCCAGGCTGGAGTGCAGCGGCATCATCATAGCTCACTGCAGCCCCGACCTCCTGGGCTCAAGCAATCCTCCCACCTCAGCCTCCTGAGTCACCCGGAGTCAAAGTCTAGATCCACCTAGGTGCACCTCTTCCTGCCAGTCCCTCTGCAGGCAACAGAAGCCCTCAAGGGGGACTGACAGGCAGGCGTGCTGACAAGGTGGCAACCATGCTGAAGAGACTGCTGGGTTCACCGCGACAAAGACAGGTGGAGAAGCCACCCTCATTAAAAAGAGGATAAGGAAGGAAAAAATTCACAGACAAATAACTCACAGAACTAGTGAAAGGCCCCGCAGGCAGGGCGCCCTTTGGGTGTGGGGAGTGAGGGTGGGGCCACCGAGGGATCCTCCCAACAGTCTCCTCTCCCACCCTGCCCTTCTGGAGGAGGCTCTAATCATGTGGAACATGAGGCGGCATCACCCCAGTGGCAGGGTGTCCTCTCAGAAAGATGTGTGTTGACGAAGGCAGATGTCTACGCAGCTGAGATGGAGAGCTGCATCATCTCCTGGGTCCGACTCAGGGGGCAGGTGGAGCCTTTACCTTAGCGAGGCAACCTCAGATCATCCATGAAAAGATGGTTCCCTCTCCACCCCGGACTGCCACTGCATTTCGGGCCCTCCCCGTTCCCAGGAGAGGCAAGGACGCAGGGGCATTTGCAGGTTGGCCGCCCCCGGCCCATAGCCACACTGCTGCAACACCCACTGCTTCTCCCCCACTTACAGGAGAGTCACCATTACCTTTCCAGACAGGGGAGCCACTGCCGGTCTCTTCCTTTGTGCGTAGCCAGAGAGTCGATAGCAGTAGTGTGGCTTACAGTAGAATTTACCTGCAGACAGCAAGAGGCAGGGACAGAGGCGATGAGCCAGGCACGGATCCTGAACGTGCCTCCCTGGTCTCAGCCACTCCTTTCCATCTCCTCCAGCCTCACAAGGCCATCAAGCCACCCAGCCTTCCCTGGGCCCAGCTTTCTTGTCCAGAGAAGCCAGTTCCTCCGGGTAAACTTTGATTCTAGCTCTCCTCTCCCTTGGCCTGAAGGGGGTCTTTTCCTTTGGGAATGTGAAGGCCATTGAGCCATCACCCAATCAGTGCCCAGAGCAAAGATGTGAGGCCTGTGTGGCAGGGCCAGCAAACAAAGTGGCAGTGTGTGAGGAACAAAGATGTGGTCACATGAAACGCTGGGAGTAGCATTGCTGGGGAAACCAAGAATGAATACAAGTGCAGGGTGGAGGCGTGGAGGCTGCAGGGGTGGGGCATCGCCTGGCATTGGCTCTGACAGGCCCATCTCTGCTGCTCCCCCTCCCGCACCCTATCTCTCACCCCCTCCCAGTCCCCTCAGAGGGTCAGGATCAGCAGGAAAGGACATTAGAAGACAAAAAATACTGCAATGGACTATGAGTAGGATGGAAGGGAACAGCATAGAACAGAACAGAATAGAATAGAATAGAATAGAATAGAATAGAATAGAATAGAATAGAATAGAATATAGAATAGAATAGAATAGAATCCAGAGTGTACTGTGGCATGATGAGAATAAAACGTTATTTCTTGGAACTTGCAGCTGTGTCTGGGTCTCAATGTAACGTGCATCCCCGTGGGGGGTGTCGTCAGAAAAATCTGAACACCACTGAACTTGGCTTTTCCCATGACTCTGGTAATGGAATTAACCCACGCAGTCATTTTTTTCTGACTCTTTTTTACTCTCACTTAAAGAGCGACTGACGACTTTTGAATCTCAAGTGATAAACCCTACTATAGAAACTGTTGAAACAGAAGTAATCCCATTTCATTTTCCTCATTTGTAGAGAGTGCTTCTTAGACAAATGAGCTTTCCTGATCTCAAAGCTACAATAAGAGGACCTAAAAGTCAAAGAAAATAAAGGTAAGATGGCATTCTTCCCTTTCCCTTTCCCTGATGATCTGATTATATCTTTCTTCTTTTCCTTCAGAGAAACTGACTTGTTTTACCTGCACTCCCTATCCAATGCTGAATAAATCTATTAGAAAGACACAGATTTTAAATAATTTTCATAATGCCTAGTATACTTTCTCAGACAGAATGTTTCACTGGCCACTGGCACTTGGCCAGGATGCAGAGACTCTACAGTGGCAACACCTGACAGCCAAAAGTCCGCCAGTCTTACCGCCTGTTTCTCCACCAGGGGAGTGGAGCCACGGGTTGTTGCCTGGAGCCTGGCCACAACTTCCTTTTCCCATCTGAATAAGCCACTCAGCTTTTGTAAATGTTGGCCACCAATAATTAGGATAAGGTAAGATGTATGAGTGCTTGGATCATGCGCTACTTGTTTTGGTCTGTTTTGTATCTCATTCTTTAAGAAATACCCCTCCTTCCTCCATGAGACTGACAGGGGCTGGCAACCACGTGGCCTGACCTTCCACCACCAGTAACACATGACCCAGGCCGCTCGGCAACTCACTCCCTCCACCCCACCCAGGACAGGGTGCTCTGGGGACTGGCATGTGGCCAAAGGCAGGCTCGCTGGAGACGTTATGGGGATGGTGAGGGAGGTGAGGGAAGGGGCAGCCCTTCCCTGGGGACTGCTCTCTGGATGGAAGCTATAAAGTTAAGGCTTCAACTGTCATCTGCATTGGGTTTCTATTACTTGTAACCAAGAGCCTTGCTTATTACAGTAACAGAAAACTAAAATGTTATCATGGCTTTCATTTCTTCCTTCTATTTTTTTCCTACATTAATTTGCTTGTTTTTGCAAAAGTGGAAACCCAGATCTTAAAGTATAACTCAATTGAACTCAACTGAATCCTCCTTGAACTCTGCTTTGGTATCCTAAACTAATAAAGAAAAGAGGTTTACATTTCAGAAACAAGTCCTCCAAGCCTAATCAAAAAGTTCCAGAAAACTGTTTTCTCTAGGAAGGCAGTATAGATGATGCGAGCAATGTGAGCGCTAAGTGTGATCTCCGTTCCAACACTGTCTCAACTGCTCAGTAGCCGTGTGAACTCATCTGTCTTTTGGAAAATATCTCCTCCCATGGAGAAGAACACAGTACCCACCTCATAGGTGGAGATATTCAATGAGGTGGCACAAGTCACGTGTACGCATCTCCCCATATCCTTTCCCAAACTCAACACGATGGCACTTTTTGCTTTTTAAATTAAAAAAAAAAAAAGCTAATTTTAATGTTAACATTTACCAAGTGCCAGACACTATTTTAACTGCTTTCCATCTATCAACTCATTTAATCCCCAAACAAGCTGGTGAGGCAGGTGCCATTAGTACCCACCTCTTTCTCAGCGAGGAACAGGAGGCCGAGTGACCTGCCCAGCGTGTCCCACAGTCAGTGAACCGCAGAGGCGGATGTGGTCCAGGATGCTGGTGCCAGAGCCTGCACTACCATGACACTACTATGCTTGCCTCAGTGGTAAACCCAGCCTTGCTATGTTTTTAATTAGCTATGAATTGTGGGTGATTCAGTCAAGTGACTGATTCTCAATGGTCCAAATTAAGGAATCCTGATAACTGAATATGGGAGTAACTGGAAAAGGGAAATGGAGAAAACAGGTGGCCACAGGGCAAACCCAAGGTCAAGTGGGCCGTTCATTCATTCATTCACCCAGGCCCGAGTGCCACTGTATGACAGCTACCAATCTGAACACCGAGAGCCCCCAGGCAAGCAGACAGACTGGTTCTCCACTGAGTGCCCCCAGGCAAGCAGACAGAATGGTTCTCCACAGACGCATGGATGAGACAGTGCGAGCCCTGCATGGAGAACCACACAGGCGCACCGGTGCCTGGGCAGCTGCCTTCTATCAAAAGAGCCAGACCCCTCTCTGAGGAGCGCCACATGGAGATGTGAAACACAGGCGTCTCACCCTGTGGAGACCAGGGGGTGTGCTCCAGGAGAGGACACAGCAGAGCCACGTCCTAAGGGAGCAGTGGCTTCATCATGCTTATGGGATGGAAAGACACTGGAGCAAAGAGTGCAGCATGCTGGGGGCAGCTGACGGCAGAGGCTGGGGTGGACACGCAATGCTCTCTCCACCTGGGACAAGGTTGTGGGCTCTGTCTGCACGGCAGCGGCTAGGACACTGGTGAGATCCAAGTCACACCTTTTAAAATCCCTCCGGTTGCTCTGTGGAAACAGACTGGGGTGTAACAGAGGCAAGGAGACCAGTGGTCCAAGTGGAAGATGCATGGCTGGCTTGGAGGCTGCTGCAGGGATGGAGACAGTCTCAGGCTCATCACTGACGAGGGCCACCCTGCACACACCACCTGTGGAGGTAGCGTATGTCTCTTCTCAAGATGACAGGGAAGGGCCTGACACTAATTTTGAGTCCTTGTCTTAAGAGCTGGCAGCGATCACAAATGAGCTAATGCTTTGCAAAAAAAGAAACAGCAGCTCTGTGTTTGAGCAGACGGCATCCTCCAGAAAGAGCTGAAGACAGAACAAATAGCACCACAAGTAAAATATGGGGACATCTTCAAATATGATTCTTAATTTACTAGTATGGAGTTGGCAGCAGGCCTGGAGTCACAATCCCTGAATCTCTGACCTGGAATGAATCTCAGGTGTCATCTGGTGCAAGTGAGCTATTACTAGTTGTGTCAATTTGGACAAACAACATACAAGTTCTCTGAACTCAGCTTCCTGACTTCTAATTACAGTAATAAAAAGTTACTTAATGGGGTTGTTGTGAGGACAAAGGGCGTGATGTGTTGGGGCGCAGCACAAGGCCTCGGTTACTTCCTCCTGCCACAACCTCCCCAGCTTATTCTTTGTTCTCTGAGCCTCTTCAGTTAGACTTCTGAGACACTTGGCAACTTGGATAAAAAACAGGCTAAAACTTCGGTGCCCCTAAAGTTCCTTCCTGGCTCTAGTCCATCTGTCCTCTGACAGATGAGGGGAAGGACTGTGGAGGGGCTAAGCTGATGAAAATTTTATCTGGGTTAAAATTTGGGGAGCTGGTTTAGAACGGCTGTCTTCTCTGCTCCAGTGTTAACAATACTGCACTCAACCAGGCTGGCCTCATCCTGTCTCGGCCTCTCACTGCCACCCGATCTCCCACCAGGTGCGCACCTCTGCCCTCTACTCAGTCACCATACCCTTCTCTCTCAAAGTCTAGCCAAGGGTCAGGGAGGTCATCCCAAGATGCTCTTGAACTTCACAGATTTCCTCCTCCCCTGTGCTTCTACAAAGCGACAACCTAGGCTGTGTAACCGAGCCTTTCGCTGCACACACTCGTGTCGCCTGCTACTCTTCATGGGTCTCATCCCCATAGGACAGTGAGCTCCTGGAGGCACACATTACACTTCTGCATCTTTCACAGAATGCAGCAAAGATGCACACACACACCCATGGGCAAAAGTACCTGTAGATCAATTAGCTGCACCTTGCGACATCTTCTTTCCGGGCAGACTCCACGGTGAGAGGCTAACTAGAACACCCTGAGCATCAGGGACAGCTCAGCGAGGTTGGGTGGCTCCCTCTGCCAGGCCCCATCCTTGAGATCAAATGAGCTATCCAGAGAGCAGGTGTGTGTGAGAGGTGGAACAGAAGACTTGACAGCAAACAATCTGCCTGCCTTATCTAAACAGCGTCCTAATTCTTTCATTCTTCCCCGACTCGGGAGTGCTTTTTACCAACATAGCAGAAGGGCCAGGCACCATGACAGGAGTCAGCCTTTCTCGGCTCACCTCTCTGGGCTCCTTCCTTGCTCCTTCTAACAGAGGTGACTGTTTGTTCACCCTCAGGACAGCTGAAGTGACTAGGTCCTAACGGCATGGCATCCCTCTCCTATATGACCTCACTTTATAATCTCACAGTCACGCAATCTTCTATCAATGTCAAGGTCTTTATGCCACCTTATAAAGATTACTGCCTCTCCTATTAATCTAGGCCCCCTCATTACTCTGGAATCTATAAGACTGCCTCCCACGAAGTCCCTCCAGCATCCTATAGGAATGGGGCTGGGGGTCCTCAATGCAGGGTCCTCAGATGGCGGCCAGCCTGCCTCTGCCCATCACGATGGCTCTATCGTCTGTGTGCAGAATTCTCTACTGTTACCTTATCAAGGTCTTTTCACTGTAAAAACTGGCAGCACATGTTGCCAAAGACCAGGCCTTGAACACCACAGTAAATCAGATTCAGGCCCTGTGCAATGGTTCGCAATCCACCAGAGAGAGATCAGACAGATGCCAGAGAGGTGTTAACACGGGCCACCTTGCAGACATCTCCAAGAGCAAAGGTCTGAGAACCCAGGGGCCTGAGACCCAGCTCCAACTTGCTGTCATCATCAACCTTAGGCAAAATATGTGACTTCTATGGATGTGCAAGTCCCCTTCCGTAAAGACAAAAAACCTTATTTTTATTGTGTTCCTTTTATCTCAAGTTCCCACCCCGAGGTCAGAAAGCAAGTAAGTGTCCCTGAAGTCAGGGAAATGACTTAGGTAAATGCATGCCATTCTCATCAGCCTGGTGACGCTGGGAAATACTGATAAGTAAGAGTCTTAGAGAAAGAGTGATGGAGGGAGAGGGGCAAGAAAGGCTGGGAGAGGCATGATGGAAAAGACGCACATGGAATAAGGCAGGAAGGGGCCCAAAGGCGCCCAGCTCAGATGGAAACACTGTCCAAGCACAGTTTCTCAGTGGGGCCGGAGGCGCAGGGTGTCTCACCATCCTCGATGTCGTAGGCGTAGGCCGAGAGGCGCAGGGTGGTGGCGCAGTACTCGCACTTGAAGCAGCTCCGGTGGAAGAACTTGCCCTCGGCACTCAGCCTCTCCATCACGTAGACCCGCTTCTGGCAGAAGTAGCATGTGTCGCTGCCTCCCAGGTTCTGCGGGAACTCCTTCTTCATGGAGCCCTGCAGGAGGTGGCGGTCGGGAGGAAGGGGAGCACCTCAGGGAGTGCCACACAGGCCCTCCTAGAGGCACAGCCTTGCGAGAGCAAAGCCAACCCTCACTAAGGGGTCTGCTTTGAGACAGACTTCTAACTGGCTACGGTCAACTGTGCTCTTGGCTCTGCCACAGAGTGACGGCACCGCCACAGTCACTGCCTCCACGCACTGACAGAGAACACTTGGCACAACCGCGAAAGCCTGGGCCAGCCTGCTGCTGACGAGGGAGCCAGCATCACAGTGCTTCACACCAGACTTGAGTAATGCTATGATACAGCCTGGCGACGCCGGGAAATATCGACAAGAAAGAGTCTTAGAGAAAGAGCAATGGAGGGAGAGGGGCGAGAAGGGATGGGAGGGGCATGATGGAAAACACACACATGGAAGAAGGCAGGAAGGGGCCCGAGGGTCCCCAGCTCAAATGGAAATGCTAGCAGAGTTCTGTTCTGAGGGTAGCTGTATCTGTATCTATTCCGTGTTGACATAGTTCACATGAATATATGTGGGTCCCTGGACTCACACAACAACTACTGCAGTCTTAGGAATTTGGTTATCAAAACCCAGACAACCTCAAAAGCAATTACCGCATAGCATACACGGGCTATGCAAGCTATAAGTGACTCAGCACACAGGTGTGTTTCCCATGGCTGTGCTGGGTCTAGCTACACAGTGCCTGGAGGCGTCTCTTACCAGTTCCTTCTTGTCTAGAAGGGCTTTGGGTTGTTCTTTCCTTTGAAGCTGATTGGCTATCTGCTCAGCCAATGAGCTCACTCCGCCCGTGTACATCTTTATATACTTCTATCGGTTGAAGATTACAAAATGACCAGAATGAAGGGAAATGAGAAGGAAAAAAATACATAAATTAAGAAGACACGGGGAAAAAAAGAAATCTTTGGGAAGTGCAATTTGAATACAAGGTGCAGCAGCAAACCATGCCAACACAGTGCTCACAGGCAGGGAAACCGGGTGGAAGAAAAACATCGCGTCAGTGTCCACGCAGGGGTACCGGCACAGGCAGGACGGCTGCAGGGGAAGTGTCTTCCTTGGGAAGAACTGGGTCTCTCCCATCTCTGTGGAATGCACAGTTCCAGGGAATGGTGGTAGAAGGCAGGGCGAACGCGCACAGAGACAGGCAGGCAGGGCCTGGGTCCTGCAGAGCTGGGCTGCATTCACAGAACTCGAGGGGCACCCCCATGCACGCAGCAGTGCCCAGGCTGAGCCTGCCTTTCACGGTCCAGGAGGCCATCTCCTCACTCAGAAGGAACCATGTTCACTCCTGCACAGGCCGCCTCTGTGTGGGTAGCGCACGTCGCCAGCTCTTCCTGCTTCCTGACGCTTGACCCCACAATGCCTGCCACAGGCAGCGAACGCTCCCAGGCTGTTTTGGAAGAAGCCTTCTCAGCCCTTTCTCCCTGCTGATGTTATTGGGGGTCTGAGGGCAGCATGATGAGGCCCGTGTGGCCCATCCAGGTGCTGAGGCCAGAGCCTTCTAGACTGGGCTGGGCATGTTGGCCACGAGGTGTGGCCATGCAGCCAAGCTGCTCCACCAGCCCAGGAAGGTGGGAATGTGTTCTAGGCCAGGAGGGCTTATTTTAGAGGTTGAAGAAAGGTAAGAGAAAAAAACCCAACCAACTCAAGCCTCTTTCTGGCAACACTGAAACCACAGGAGAAACTTCCACGTCTCCATCATGAGCCGCCCTGCTCACACCTAAGCTGGGTGCCCAGGCAGCCCCGCCTTGACCTGTCCCGAGAGGAAGTCCTCTAGAGACTCCCACGATCAAATCACCCTTCCATGTGGAGATGGCCACACCACCATGTGGGTGATGCTCCTCTCATGAACTTCATGGAGTAAGGGGGCTCCCTGCCCCCTGGGGGAACCTGACCCTAATTCTGACTCAGCAACTCACCATGAGCCATTATCCCGGGGATGCCAACAGCCCCCTTAGGACATGGCCTGAATGGACAGACACATAAGGCCTCGTGTGAGGAAGAAACACAGAAGCACCGGGCAGGGGGAAGCAGGCGCTCGAGGGGCTCACAGATGCACACACGACGAAGCCGTTCTTGTGGCTCAGCTCAAGGCTCAGCTGAACTGAAGAAGCAATTATAGCTTTTAATTCAAAAATAAGATTCCCAAGGATTGGTGCCATTTGCCCATTAACTTCACAGATTATACCTATTAGTGGTCAAGACAAACACGTGGCTCTCAGATCTAAACCTTCTTTAGGGACACTAAAGAAACTGAGGCTTGGGACAGACAGACACCAGGCAGAGCTGAGCAGGTAACTTAACAGCTGACACTGAGGGAGCAGAAAATGGCATTTCTCTCATTCTGCAGCAGACACGGGGCAGTGTGGGCCAGATGCCAAGTATGAGGCCAGGACACCAAGCCAGCCCTGGGCCCTCACTGCTCAGCCAGGACCCTTTTCTCCTGAACTAAACCATCTGGGTTTAGTTGAACTAAACCTGGGGCTGCCCGTGCAAAGGCATCTGCCACATTCAGTTCTCAGCAAGTTGGCAACACTGACAAGCATCCCTGCAAGAGAGGTGAAGACTCAAGTTCTATTTGTTTCTGGCATGAAAAGCGATGGTTTCCTTCTCATCACTCATAAAAAATAGCAGAAATGTGGCAATTGCGGGATCGATCCCACCGCACACCATACGTGTGCATATGCTACCATGCACATAGGCCTCAACCCAGGCATGGGAAATACCAGTAGGAGCGGCAAAGAGACCTTCCAATCTCTCTAGAAACTCCCTACAACTGAACCAGTGCTACTTCAGATCCCGCCGCACACCATACGCGTGCATATGCTACCATGCACATAGGACGTGAGGTCTGGCGTCAACTCAGGCATGGGAAATACCAGTAGGAGTGGCAAAGAGACCTTCCAATCTCTCTAGAAACTCCCTACAACTGGACCAGCGCTACTTCAGGTGACAGCCGCGTACATTCCTCAAATGATGACAACAGGCAGCCAGAATACCGCATCATCACCCCTCCATTGAGGTGATTTAATTACATTGTGGTTCCTACTTTTTAACACATATTATTTTGGAAGACATGTGAAGTTAAAAAAGCCAATGGCTGCAAAACATTTATCATTATTTGATATAGTTGAAATAGGATCAAAGCGGGTTCACATCAACAGACCTGGATGTGTCAGATACAGTTGGATGAAAGCCAGCAGCCACTTTAGCTGAGGAGTGTGCCACAGACCTCACACACGAGACCGACACAGGCAAACAGCAACACATGCAGCTGGCTCCCTACAGGAGACGGGCCCAAGTGAGGAACACTGCAGCCTCCTGGGGTACATGACACTTGCGAAAGTGACGTGAGTGGAGGCTGCGGAGGGCAGAGTTTTAGTGAGTCCTAGGCCATGCTACCTGTCGGAGGGAGTCGGAGGAGGGAGAGGCGGGGCGGGCAGAGGAGCGGAGACTAAGAGAAAGCTCCCACTGGTCGACAAAAAATCGACGAGGAGGTTCAGGCTCTGGCTATAAAATACAAGATGGAGAAAAACAAAAGTAAAGGAAATGTTAAATTAAGTCACACACTGACCTCTGAACATAAGATGGTTGTAGAGCCTTTTACTCTAGACCTTTATCTAAATACCATGTATAGTAAAAAAAAAAAAAAAAAAAAAGTAGCTCCAGAAGCATAAGCGGCCCATGCAAGGCTTCCGTTTTGCTTTTAACTGTCCTTCCCTCATGCTTGCAGCAGAGCACACCCTGGAACGCGGTCCCGCAGCTGTGGGCCGCCCGGCACAGCCTCGGCCTCCCTCTGAATGGGTAAGGCAGCCTGCAGGAAGGGCAGGGGGATGGCTTGTCGACTCACATGCTCTGTGCTCTGCCAAGCAACCCCCGGCCTGAGCTGGGATTTCTCCAGGGCAAAAAGATTCTCCCGCCACCCTATCACTCCATTGGCCTTAGAAGTAGCAGGCAGCGGAGACAGCAAATCTAGAGTGAAGCTCGCTCCTTCTACAGAAGGGCCAGGAATGCAGCATCTCTTCCTTCCACTTAGTGCTCAGAGAGGCTCTGCTTGCCAAAGAGCCAGCTGAATCCCAAGCAAAGATGAGGAGAAAAGACTTGAGCCCAAATCCTCTGCAGACTGCACATAGCACACGTAACAAAACTGGGCAAGGGTCTCCCTTAGCCGTGGGCCCATGCAGCTAGGAACCCAGTCCCCAGAGATTGAGGCAGTGACCGAAAGCTTTGGCAACCAATAACTGCTTCATTTCCCACCAGGTTCAGAATGAACTATTTACAGGTGGGAAGGACAGCATTAAGTCATGATGCTAGAAAGCCCTCTGCTCCTCCAGCTCCAAGCCAGATTGGTCACACTCCCTACCTCAGCCACGTGCACTTCATAGCTCCGTGGGGTGGCGACATAGACTGGCAGTTACCTGGTACTTCAACACCCTCTGCTTGAGACACTCAGCCAGCTCCTTGGCCCTGGGCTCAGCAACACAGGCCCCAGAGGGAGCTGGAGAGGATGGCTGTAAGCACCGCCCCTCAGAAGGAAGCAAGAGGGAGACTCAGTAGCCCCCTGGGGGGCAGAGCAGTCAGAGCCAAGGGGAGGAGTGGGGGACTGGGTAGGACTGGGTAGAGGTGGGGCAGAGAGGGCAAGTACACATGCAGGGTTATGGAGGTTAGGGAGGTTATGGAGGTTAGGGAGCTTATGGAGGTTAGGGAGGTTAAGGAGGTTAGGGAAGTTATGGAGGTTAGGGAGGTTAGGGAAGTTATGGAGGTTAGGGAGGTTAGGGAGGTTATGGAGGTTAGGGAGGTTAGGGAGGTTATGGAGGTTAGGGAGGTTAGGGAGGTTAGGGAGGTTATGGAGGTTAGGGAGGTTAGGGAGGTTATGGAGGTTAGGGAGGTTAGGGAGGTTATGGAGGTTATGGAGGTTAGGGAGGTTATGGAGGTTAGGGAGGTTAGGGAGGTGAGGGAGGTTATGGAGGTTATGGAGGTTATGGAGGTTAGGGAGGTTATGGAGGTTAGGGAGGTTATGGAGGTTAGGGAAGTTATGGAGGTTATGGAGGTTAGGGAGGTTATGGAGGTTAGGGAGGTTATGGAGGTTAGGGAGGTTATGGAGGTTAGGGAGGTTATGGAGGTTAGGGAGGTTAGGGAAGTTATGGAGGTTAGGGAGGTTATGGAGGTTATGGAGGTTAGGGAGGTTATGGAGGTTAGGGAGGTTAGGGAGGTTAGGGAAGTTATGGAGGTTAGGGAGGTTATGGAGGTTAGGGAGGTTATGGAGGTTAGGGAGGTTAGGGAGGTTATGGAGGTTAGGGAGGTTAGGGAGGTTATGGAGGTTAGGGAGGTGAGGGAGGTTATGGAGGTTAGGGAGGTTAGGGAAGTTATGGAGGTTAGGGAGATTATGGAGGTGAGGGAGGTTATGGAGGTTAGGGAGATTATGGAGGTTAGGGAGGTTATGGAGGTTAGGGAGGTTATGGAGGTTAGGGAGGTTAGGGAGGTGAGGGAGGTTATGGAGGTGAGGGAGGTTATGGAGGTTAGGGAGGTTAGGGAAGTTATGGAGGTTAGGGAGGTTATGGAGGATGGCAGCAGAGTCCAAGAAAAGAACTTAAGTAGTGTCCTCAAAAGTATCCAGCCTGGAGCCCTGCACTGAGGAGTGCAGAAACCAGTTCAGAGGGAAAAAGAGAGAAACATCTCTGCAAGCCTTATTGCCTCCTGAGCTCAAAAACCCTAACTCATCCCCTCTCTGCACCACAGCCCTAAACTTCAAATTGTTTCTCACTGCCAATCTCTCCTATTCAACATGCTCCCCTCCCTTCTTCTTTTTTTTGAGACCGAGTCTGATTCTGTCGCCCTGGCTCTGTCGCCCAGGCTGGAGTGCAGTGGCGCGATCTTGGCTCACTGCAAGCTCTGCCTCCTGGGTTGATGCCATTCTCCTGCCTCAGCCTCCCCAGTGGCGGAGACTACAGGCACCCGCCACCATGCCTGGCTAATTTTTTTGTATTTTCAGTAGAGACAGGTTTTCACTGTGTTAGCCAGGATGGTCTCGATCTCCTGACCTCGTGATCTGCCTGCCTCGGCCTCCCAAAGTGCTGGGATTACAGGCCTGAGCCACCGCACCCGGCCTTCCCCTCCCTTCTTCTTTTAGGCGCTGTTTCATTAAACATTATCAGCATCTCATTAAATACACAATCTGCAAAATGGAGGGCACTGCCCTGCTCAGTGAAAAGGGCTGCTTTCCTTTTTGAGGGGACACAGCCTGGGAAGAAGAGAGAAAGAGGCTGGGCACACAGCGCCGTGGGAGAGCAGCCCCAGAAAGGGTGAGCACCGTGGGGCGAGGCCATGGAAAGGGGGTGGGAAAGACCCCCACCTCCAGCCCAGTCTCCACTCTCCGACCCAGCACCAGGTTCAGGCAGCACACACATTGCCCGCTGCTAGCCTGGTGAGAGGGCGCAGGAAGATGGCACTATGATTAGCTCCTATCGGGTCCGAGGGGTAACCTAATTTACTGCTTGGCCATAACTGCATTTCTCAGAGAGCAAAGGCAGAAGGGAGTTAGAAACCAAAATGGCTTTTGTGAGATTAACAACTAGAGATGATTCTTCCCGCTAGCTGCAGAGCTGTACCCACTTGGAGATCTTTAAGGGTAGGAATAACAAGAACAAAAGTTTCATAAAGTAAGCCGGCTTCTTTAACTGGGCATCTCGGCTATCCCTCACATTGTACGATGGCCAGCTGCAATCAGTAATTTCTCCCCTCAGTGTTTCAGAAAAGACTAAAGCTTTCCACGGGTACAGCCCCATTTTGCCATCACCTACCTTTCTCCCCCTCATTCTCATCCCACTGGAAAAATCCTCACGCTGGTAAGAGCTTTGGCTCTCTTAGGATTTCCACTTCAAGATCCGTGACTGCTGAATGCCACTTGAATACTGATTTAGACCCTCTCCCTAAGAAGTTGTATCTGACAGTCCAATGCTACTACTCTACCACTGGCACATAGTTTGGGGGTAGAAATAGTATGGTCTTGGAAGGGGAACAGTGGGCAGAAATGGGAAGTCATTAAGGCCCTTTACAATACGCACATTTAGGATCAGCATCCCATCTGAATGCCAGATGGGTGACTGCTTTACAGTGAATGCTATTTGCATTGGTCAACACTGCTAGCAAAAAGAATTCTGGCTCTTGGCTGGGTGACAAGAGCGTGCAAAAAGCAAGGGGAGGGGGCCGTCCCCCATATCCCTTCCCGCTGCCCCACCACCACAGCGTGCCCCGTGTGCTTGGCTCTCAGCATCCCATGCCACGGGTTCATGCTCTTTTACCCTCTCATGGTGGGGGCTCTGCTTGCCACGGTTGTCAGCATCAAGATCCCTGTATGTCTGTTGGCAACAAAGTAGAAACTTAAGCTCCATGCATATCGCTCTATTTGGACCTACTAAACGACAGTGGGAAATTCAGGGGCAGAAATGCAGAGTTCAACACATATCGCCTTCCCCTACTAACCCCATCCCCAGGTAACCATAATCCCATCTGTATCAAATCCCATGACACAAGGCCGACTTTCTGCACAGCCATTCCACCCCCCACTGGCCTCCGACGAGGCCAGCTACACGGATCAATGAAGAACTATGGTTAGTACAAAGGTGGAACAAGCATATTTCTTTCACACAGTGGCATAAGATCAGAGGCATCAAATGGAAGGTTTAGAAGGAGAGGCAGGTTAAAAGGGTGACACATTCCACAACAAGACATTTTAGAAAGCAAAGGTGGGGAGGTGGGAATTGGCTAGAATAAATGACTAAGACAGCAGTCCAGAGGAAACTCCAGAGTGGGAAGTGGTTCCTGAATAGGAGCATCGGGCCAAAGCATAATTTACTAAAGGGAGAAGTGAATGTGTTTTTGGCGAATGGACGGGAAGGTATATGTGAAAGGGTAAAGACCTGCAGGTAGGGACATGGCCTTGCTCATCCGAGGAGCCAGAAGCGGCAATCACAGGACCAGGGAAGGCTCCTCGCATTACTCTCTGGCTGGCTAAGGGTTCACCTTACAGCCACGTGCGGGTGGAAAAACAGCCCCAAGGCCTCTGACGTGGCTGCTCCTATCTAGCACCCGTGAGCATAATGTCTCTGTGGGCAGAGGGAGGCCAGAGCGTAGCCCCGGTCCCACAAGCCAGATTCGAGTCTGGCTGCATTGCTTACTATGCGGCTCAGACACGTGACATGGCCTCTCCACTCTATACTTCAGTCTCCTCCCTGGTAAAACGGAGCCAGTAACAGCACCTGCCTCACAGGGTTACTGTGAGAACTGACGGAGACACAGCTTGAGAAGAACTGAGCGTGCTTTCCAGGCGACAGCGGACGCTGAGGACGGCTAGCTCTTGTGTAGATGAAGGCACCCAGCAGCTGCTCAACCTGCAACGGCTCAGTTCTGAGAACCATGGACACAGGTGGGGCCTTTAAAATCAGTCACGTTAATACGGTCACACTTTAAACAGGCCACCCTAGGTGGGAAAATGTCTTTCCATAGATCCTGCTCTTGAAACTCACATTTTATAGAAACATACCATGAAGGTCAACAATGCCATCCTACAAACATGCCGCAGACACACGCCTGCTGTCCTCACTGGCCTGCTGTCCTCACTGGCCACAGCTGTGGCTGGCTATGGGGCTGCTCCTGAATGCTGTGCCTGGCGTGCAAGTGCAGTGGGGAGGAGTGTTTGTTGGAAGATGCTGAATGGGCAAGAGGCAGAGCTCCCAGAATCAGAAGGAACGAAACTCACGTGGAGAAGCCCTGCGGCAGTGCCCGAAGGCCTTACTCCACCTCACTGTGCAGCGAGAGAAAAGGGCTGCCTTCAGTGGGGTTTTAGAAAAACAGGCTGCTCTCAGGGCTCCTGGGCCTCGGATGCACGACAAACATCAATTACAGTTGAACTTCTAGTTCGTGGTGGGACAGTCGTGTTTCCATGATGTGGGTGGGACTGACTAGGGTCAGGTGTGAATGTAGGATGCACCATCCTGAGGGCCATAAAAGTTGCTTCCACCACAAACGGTTTCTACGCATAGCCTTTCTTCTTGATAGTTATTGCTGGTAAGAGGGAAAGTGACTTGGTCTCTACACTAGCCACCTACACAGACAGGCAGGCAGACAGAGACAGGAACATGGAGCATGCAGAGAGGATCACCTGCTGGCCGCCATGTGCCCGACAGGGAGGTGGAGTAGGGGGAGGAGACAGGGTGATCACTTTTTTGGGGCAGGTCCGAGAACACTCCTTTTCCCGTTGCTTTTACACCAACAGACACAAACAGAGAGAACATCATTCAAACAGTGGCCATGTGGAAGCTGGTTCTGGGAGGACTGAAGGGTGTTTGTCAGAAGCACCCCAGGGAGGCCTTTCCTTGCCCCTCCATCCTCAGAGGGCAGCCCAGTGGTCTCCCGTGGGCCCCCAGGTGGGACGTGCACCTTCTGATAGGCACAGCCACAGGGGTGATCTGCGGGACTGGGGAGAACCAGCGGTGCAGCACTTTCCAGGTGCCAGGGAGCAACAGTTTTCTCAGGGAAGTTGGGGATACAAGAAATAGGCTTGCTGATGAGTAGAGAGGGCAAACAGGCCAACCACTAAGAGGGGACACAGAGACCCCCTCTCAAGGGCTTGGTCACGTGCATCCAATGAAGCGAAGCAGCAGCCCCTTCAGGGAGCAGCTGTGATAGTGGCTGGCACTGCTGCCCTCCTCTCAGTCCCTGCACTCATGGAGGCTCAAAGGGCTCCAGGAAACTAACAAGGAAATGCAACAAAGGCAGGAGCATGATGTCAAAATTAAATGTGTCTCACTAACATTTGAATGCCATATACATGTCCCTGGCTTTTCCCTCATTTCTGCCCCCTCCACCGTATTCCCTTCGAGAGTCTGTCTACAATTTACAAAGCCGCTGGTATTTGAGAAACAATCACACATTCCCAGGCCTCTCTGATACCTTCCAAGGAAGTCTCATCTCCCTGTGCCCAGGTGACCCATGGGGCAGCATGCAGGGAGCCGGGGAGCAGGGAAGCCACGAGGTCTGGGGAAACAGCCCCGTACTCGCTCAGAGCTCCCATGACAATCTACTTCCAAACTAGGGCTGGTTAATGCACAGAGCTTGCCTTTGGGATGTGTTTCTGAGATCAAAAGGCAAAAGGGTGGGGAAGGGAAGAGCCACAGTGTTTACAAAGTAAGGAAATAAAGAGAAGCCACTGGCAGGCTGAGCTGCTATTATTTTCCCTCTTCCATATGATGACCTAGGCTGAGGCGGGCCCTTCTGTCAACTCAGCTATCACTGTCCTACCAGGCAATGCCCTCCTGCCTCTGAACCACCTCCAGAGAAGCACCATGAGTCACAATGGGATGCTGCCAGTCAGCCCTGCTTCTTGAAGGGAGATGCGGAGGGCCAGCCATGGGAGGCATCAGACACAGGGCCTGGGTACCACTGGAGTTCCTCTGTCCCAGGCTTCTGCAAGTATCTGGCACTGCAACTCCAACTCTCTTTCAGGAGATAAATTTAGAAGGCCCAAATGCATGATTTAGAGCTGAGAAAGTTCTATGTGAATACTATACATTTCACATGGACTTAAGAACTGTGAGTTCCGGTTCACAGTGCTATCTCCCTGCCACCTGGTAAATTCGCAAATCCCTATTGGATATCCCCTGTACCAAAGAACCTAACGGGGTTCTCACCGCTAACGATTTCTCACCAATCAAGTCTCATTTATACATCTGCCCAGCTACTGTCTCCAACTGTAATCTCCAGTGCCCATCCCACAGAACCTGCGTTTGACTTTCATGGTTCTATTCCACTGCCCACACAGCCTGCCAGTCTCCTACTCCACCATGACCATACCGACTCAGGTGACAAGCTGCGCTGGCAGGGACTACCAACATTCTCCAGGGAGAGTGCTTCTGGCGGCCCCTCAGTGCCATTCCAGCCACAACCACCTGTTCCCCCACTCGCCTATGTCACTCCTGACCTCCCTCTCCCTCTGCTCCTCCCACCTCAGGCACCCGTTATGAATACTGTAAGAGGTTTTGGAATCCAATTTGGAGTTCACCTTCCCCTGCAACAGATCCTCAACTAAGCATCATCTTTCAAATCATATCTTCCACCTAGACATCAAGGCAAAGGTTAAGAAAATAAAATGCAAGTAAACTTCCAATTACATTTTTCAGAAGACCTCCCTCATGCACAGAGAAAGAATGAATTCGCCTTCTGTCGTGAGTTTGGACACTGCTCCCAAAATTCCATCTCAGCCTTTTGGGCCCTGCCTTTAATGTGCTATATTATCAAAGAATGGTTAGAAAGGAACATTTTTGCCTGAATGTAAGTAATTTAAATAAAACCCAACTCACCACTCCTCAGTATCTCCTAACAATAAACTCACTTTACAGCACAGGAGGCTGGGGAGACCGACTACGGAAGGCACTGACGGCATCCAGGGCCCACTCATGGCCCTCTCAGCATCTCAGCAGACCTAAATGATATCGGACAACGAGGTAGCCAACCCTGGCTCCACTCGAGAGCAGGGACTTGCTCAGCTGTGACACGGAGGAAACGCAGCTGGGGGTCCCAATTCCTCTGCTGGGTTTTCTCTTAGAAAGCGCATGCCATCACCTGCCCTATTCTGTACTACTTAGGATAAGCAGTTTTCCAGGAGATCCTGCCAAGGTTTTAGTGAAAATTTCCAAAAACATTAATTTAAATGTAGAGAAAACACCAAGAAAATGTCCAGGAATACCTTCATCCAGGATTTAAAACAAACACAAACTCATAGTTCCAGACTATTTTCCTGGATAACATTCTCCTATTTAATGTAAAAGGCTCTACACCCCAACTCTCAGGCCTGACATACTCAGAATTCTCTCTCCCAAGGTCACGAGGAAACATGCTAGAAAAAAGTCAACTTGAGACAAATGTGACAACAGCAAACCCAAGAGCGCGGGTACCCTTGGGTGAGCCACCTACCACACAGCTTCAGCGAGTTTCAAACCAAATCAACAGTCTCCCTTTTAACTTTCTCAAATCCCCAGGAGTTACATAAATCATGCAATCAATCAGCACTGCCTGTTCAATGTTTTCCCAGAGCTACTACTCGAATGAGCAGAGATTTCCTGCCCTCATGAGCTAGGATTCCAGAGCACAGGCCTGAACCCTGGCTGGCTCAGGAGGAGGGGTAGGAAGGCCTGGAGAGACAGCACCCATCCTGGCCCTGGCAGTTCCTTTACCTGTTTCCACCGGGGGGTGGGGGCAGGGCGAACCTGCCCAGGCAGGCAGCAGGACGGCTGGCTGGCCCCACGCTCTTGTGTCAGCTGGGACACACAGGCCAAGTGTGGGTGGGGACAGGACATGGAGACAAAACAAAATAAAAATACATTAAGGTGGGAGAAGAACAGAAAGAACTCACAGGCGACAGCCCCATATCTGTGAACTGTGGGGAAGAGGGGGACTCATTCTTAGAAAGTTACACTTCTAAAGCAAAGCTAACAGCCTCCCCCAAACCAAAAGCAAATGCAAAAGAACAGAAAAAGGAAAACAGAAGCTGTAATACGCATCATCTCTTTTCCAAGCTAAATGTTCTCTGAGTCTAAGCCACTAATTCTGATTTGGAAAACTAATATTCCCATCCAAAATGAGGAAAGCAACCTTCTCTTAGAGGCAACCTTCCTCTAACGGACAGCATTCCAGCCTTCCCAAGGTAGGGGCACCTGGGGCTGCCAGAGCCTCCAGACAACCACAACCGTTTATCAATGAATATCATCACCTTTTCTGTGAGCCATAGCATGAAAAGACTGGCGTGCAAAGACTAGATGTGGGAGGTAGTTAATTATGGCCAGACTCCAAGCAAAGCTGCTCCCACCCATCTGGTCCATAGGAAGAATGGCTGATGGGCATGGAAAAGACGGAGAGAGAGAAGAGAAATTCAGAGAAGCAGCCCTGCCCTCCAGCTGCTCTCTCCAGTTATCATTGAGATTTATGAGACACTTCCAGTGCGAATCTTCAAAATCCCAGCCCCGCCTCTTGTAAGAAGTCAGAGTGACTTTTAGACAATCAAGGGGAGAGACACGCCCTAACCAAGACACCCCAAGCCACAAGCTGCTGCCATGCACTCGCATGCATGGCATGTGGGAGTGCTGCTTAGCACTCAATGCTCATATTCCTAGGAAAATATCCCGGGAAACAGCTGCAACACACAAAAGAAGCTTTATCATAAGAACGCTTATCCAAAGATGAGAAACAACTCGAACATCCAACACTAGAGCAACAGCTAAGAGAAGCCTGATGCCCACACATTCCAAAAGGTGCTTGTAAAGAGTCAGGAACAACATGGGAACGCCTACGGTTAAATGAAAAAAGGAGAATCGAAAAGTATATGTTAAGAATGACCTCATCTACAAAAACAAGAATACACTGAAAAAAACACCAGAAAGAAGGGCAGGAAAATATTAATTAATAGAATTACAGGTGGCTTAATTACCTTTACTGTACTTTTCAGCATTTTCCTCAGTAAGTGTGTACTTCTCTAGAATTTAAATATGTCTGCAAACATGTACAGATGTACAGGTATATGAATACAGATTTTTTTTAGATCCCTCTGCTGATTCTTGTCAGTGGACACCTCAGGCCTGAACACTGAGGACGGAGCAACCCTCAGAGCCTGAAGCAAGCATATACAGGGCTCTTCTTTGCTGCAGTCAGGCGAGGGAAAGCCAGATGCCAGCCCACGAACGCTGGGGTCTGTGACACAGCCCATCTCAATGGATGGAAAAGATCCCCCCTTCTTGTGTGATCTGACCAAATCGGTGTGGGCAGGGCACGGGTTGGGTTTACCTGTCTCCGTATGCCGATGGACTGTGCGGGCGCATTCTCTTCAAATTTGGCCAGCAGCTGGGTCGCCATGTACTTCACTTTGTTCTGGTTCCCAACGGCAACGTCCATCCTCCTGTCTGTCAGAGTGCTCACCAGGGTCGGTCTTTCTCCTCTGTGGCCCCGAGGAGCTTCCTCCTGGTCAATGCCAACCCCAAAGAACCCGGCGCTGTGACAGGAGGCTCCCCCCATGCCCCTCCCTCACAGAAGTGCACTCAGGACCTGGCATGGGGGCTGGTGGACTGGCTCAGCTCTCAAGGTTCCCGTGTCCACACAGAGACAGCAAGCCTGGAGGTAGGGCCGTATAAAGAGTACTGGGACCTGTGCTGGTACTGCCACATTCCAGGAAGCCACTGCCCTCGAACACATGTATGAACCAAAGAGACAAGGAGGCCCTGGTGCACGTGTGTGCATCCCTGGTGTGCTCTGGAAAATTAAACAAAGGCAAACATCCACAGAAAAAACCAGAGAGGCCAGGCATGGTGGCTCACACCTGTAATCCCAGGACTTTGGGAGGCCAAGATGGGTGGATCACTTGAGGCCAGGAGTTTGAGACCAGCCTGGACAACACGGTAAAACCCCATCTCTACTAAAAAATTAGAACAATTTGGCCGGGTGTGGTGGCTCATGCCTATAATCCCAGCACTTTGGGAGGCCAAGGTGGGCGGATCACTTGAGGTCAGGAGTTCGAGACCAGCCTGGCCAGCATGGTGAAAATCCGTCTCTACTAAAAATACAAAAATTAGCAGGACATGGTGATGCACACCTGTAATCCCAGCTACTTGGGAGGCTGAGGCATGAGAATCGCTTGAACCCTGGAGGTGCAGGTTGCAGTGAGCCGAGATTGCACTACTGCACTCCAGCCTGGGTAAGAGAGCCAGACTCTGTCTCAAAAAAAAAAAAAAAAAAATTACAAAAATTAGCTGGGTGTGGTGGCACATGCCTGCAATCCCAGCTACTTGGGAGGCTGAGGCAGGAGAATTGCTTGAACCCAAATCCAGGAAGTGGAGGTTGCAGTGAGCCCAGATCGTGCCACTATACTCCAGCCTGGGCAATGGAGAAAGACTCTTGTCTCAAAAAAAAAAAAAAAAAAAAAAAAAAAAGAAAATAAAAAAAAGAAAAGAAAAAGCCCAACAGAAATTCTCATAAAGGATGAATATGAAAAGACCTAGCAATACCAATGTGGAAATGAAGAATTTTAACCAAAAGGGGCTATTCCACATGACCATTCTAGCAATTCCCCAAGTGAATCTCACCTCCTCTGATTGACTGGTCTTTCTCCTCTTCCCAGCACCATCCAAGTCCTTTTCCTTTTTATCCTGTACCAAGGGAGGAGGGAAACTGCATTATTCTAGCCATACATACCTTGCCATTAGCTTTGCAGCCCATCAAGAGACTCCTCCACATACCTTGGGAGAACGCTTCCGAGAGATGGTCTGGCCAAGTTTGCTTAGGAAGGAGATAGGGGATCTGGTGCTGGCTATCAGGACTGCTTTCTCCTCGGCATTTAGGTCCAAGGTGTCTGGGAATAGAAACCAGTGATGTTCAAGCACAGCCCTTGAGGGCGCCGCAAAATCCTGACCAAAACTACTCTCCCTCGTGGATGGTTCGCAGAGCCTCAGAAGGCTCTAAAGGTTCACCAGCTCCAGGACAAGCATGTGGTCTCAGTAGGAAACGCCACGGAGGAAATGCATACTTGGGTATGGACATTGAACCTTCTTTTGTTCATCCACATAAACAAAAATGACTCTTCTTCCCAATCTACTACAGTTACCAAAACCCGCACTTTTGCTTTTCAAAAGTTGGAAGCTGGCTGTGATTGTTAGTTACAGCAGAGTGCTGAAGGCTCGTTTTTGTGACAAAAATTTCAGGACAGAGAGAGAGGGAGGGAGAGAGAAAAGCAGAGAGGCGATGAACTCAGGGTTCCTGGTTTTAGTGTATGCAGATGCCACACTCTGAGCTGCACACAGATGGGGGTGGCACTGAATGGGTACGTCGATGTTAGAGCTGTGGCTTTCTGTTGTAAGAACGTCATGGCTAACCAGGAAAAGCCACAGATCCTTACAAGAATATATGGGCTGGAAAGCACTGGAGGGTGGTAACACAAGCTTTTTGGATTTCAATGTTTCATTAGTAACAACAGCAATTTTTAAAATAGTCATTAATTCATAGTAAATCACTAACATTTATTAAGTACTTCCACTGGCCAAACATCCTTCTTGGCACATCACAATGTAATTATACATATTATCCCCATTTTACACCCGTTACCCCATTTTACAAGATAGGTTGACGGAAAGTGAGACACAGGAAAATTGAGTAACTTGCCTAAGGCCAAGTGGAAGCCTGGGATACTGTAAATCCAGGTCAGACCCCACAGCCAACACTCTAGCCTCAACCTACACTTACTCTAAGGGACAATTAATGACAACAGGAATATTTTTTGTAGCACTATGAGAGCCTGAGACAGCAAGCTGAGAGACAAGCAAAGATTTTTGGGAAGTGCTAACAAGTAGGAGTAGAAAGAAGCCAAGAGAATGCACAGTGACAGGAGAAAGAAGGGCAACAAGAGTGGTTCAGGATCACAGACACAGAGGAGACAAGATAATTCCACGAAAAGGGACATCGTTCTCCGGTGCTCAACAATGCAGAAAAGCAAGTGCATGAGAGATGGGAACTGAGAAAAGAGTAGGAGGTGGGAATCCTCCTCACTGGGGAACAGCTGCAGTAGCGCGGTATGAAGAGAAGCCGGATTATAACCCGTTACAAAGTTTGGGCCGTGCAGAAGCAGAGGCCACAAGCACAAGCCACTTCTTCAAAAAGGCTGGCTCTGAGAGCACGAGCACTAGAAGGTGGTGGTCACGGAAAAAGACGGCACAGGAACGATTTCTGCATTTTTATAAATGCAGTGAGAAAGAAAGGAGGGGTTGAGAACACACTACTAGAGAAGGGAGAAACAATGAAGCAAAGCTCCAGAGATTTCCCTGACAGCTAACTGGTAAAAACACAGAGTAACTTTGTGTTTGGTGGCACTGCTGCGGGACAGTCGGAAGGAAGGAAGAACAGCCGGGCCACAGCACAGCAGCAGGGGGCCGCAAAGCAGCTCCTTCCAGGCCTTACCGCTAGAGGGGAGGGAGTCCTTAAACATCTCGTAGAACTGAGTCAGGTACATCACCATGGACAGCTTATCAGGCTCCCCCACGGAGGCCATTTCTTTGCCTGTCATGATGGGAGAAATGCCCAATTCCTTCTCAGCAATGTCAAAGGCCAGTTGGTTATTCTTCTCCACATTTTGCTCATCCAAAGAATCAAAATCTCTGAGAAACAGGACAAGGAAAACATATCAAGATAGGTTGACAGTCCTTAAACAGAAACGCAGTATCCTGGAGTCATCGTCCTTTCTCTGTTTTCAGCTAAAATCCAGGGTGCTGTGCATCGCTGACATTTGAGAGCAAACCTGTCTTATCTCACCTCTTGTTCTTTTTCTTTTTACTGAGGAAAAGCAAAGCAACCTCAGGAAGTGATGAAAGGTCTACCCACCAAAGAAAAAAAGGGAGAAAGTCAAAAAACGACTCTCATTTTTCTAGTAACACAAATTTACTACTAAAATGTGAGCTCGAGAATAGGGACTGGCTGGGCACAGTGGTTCACACCTGTGATCCCAACACTTTGGAAGGGTGAGGCAGGAGAATTGCTTGAGCCCAGGAGTTCAATTTAAATTAAAAATTTAATTCAAATTAAAAATTAGCTAGGCATGGCGGCATATGCCTACAGTCCTAGCTACTTGGGAGGCTGAGGCAGGAGAATCACTTGAGCCCGCAAGTTCAAGGTTGCAATGAGCTATGACTGTGCCACTGCCCTCTATCCTGGGAAATAGGGCGGGACCTGTCTCTAAAAATAAAAATAAAAAATAATAGGAACTATCTTTAATATATCTTGATCCTTGTGTATGGCCCATCCACATTAAACTAATGTCAAAACATGATACATCTCCCATTTGGATCAGATTGCTCCTACAGGCCTGGGACTATCACCCACCATGGCCCTTAGACCTGACAAGCTGTTAAGGTACTAAATCAGCTCTGATCAATCTTAGCCTTCTCCTGGAGGGGAAATTCCAAAATCCTCCTCAAAAAATTTTTCCATTGCTAAGTTTCCTATTTAGATTAATGGCCATTTCCTACTGGGTTTAAGCCTCTTGCTTTTCAGAAGACTGATCGCATTCTTCTTTACATGACTTCAGGTTAACCCAGCAGCCCTTAATTCTGTGTTAATCTAGGATCCCACAGCATTTTCCATTTTCTCAAACTCCTCCTCACCATAGGTTCAGCCTCTGAAACTATGACCTCACTGCTGCTGAACAGTGCCGCGCTGTCCCTGTGCTGCTTTGCCTTCCTAGAAGACGGTCCCCTAACCTTCTCCAGGCGCCCCTCCACCCCCACCTGCTAGGCTCCCTCAACCACTTCTGCCTGTTCCCTTTGGAACAGAGCTGACTCACCTGCCCATCCTCTGCCACTGATCACAATCTTTCCCAAGCTGCTCTTCCTTGCCCTACCCCCTTTCTTTGGCAGGAGTGAATAAGCCCTATTTTTACTTACTTGCTATCAACTTCTGGGTGAGCTAAGTGACAGGAGCACCAGAGGTCACTTACCTCCATCCAAGCACACCAGAAATCCCCATTTGTAATCCACACTGCACAAGGCTATTTTTACCAGCTCTTGCCTTGTCAGTTTATAACCATCATATAAATAGCAACTATATCTTGTAGGATTCCTTAAGCAATCATTAAACAAAACAAACAGAAATTGGCCCCTTAAGTGGACCTAATGATGAAAAGGACAGGAAACCAAAATAATGCAACATGCTCTGCTTCTGAATCCTTCGGTTTGGCTTCCGTGGTAACAAATGCCGATGGGGGAACCTGGGTGTGCTGGTCCCCGCAGCTGACCTGGGGTCACCCTAGAACTCTGATTCTGTAGACAGGTGAGTGGAGAATGGCCAAAGGAGATGTCACTGGGATAGGTGGGTAGGACAACAGAGTATGTCTGTAAAAAACGCAGTCTTTAACACAGAGAAAATACCAATGAACCATCATAAATTGGTCAACTGTTCATGATGTTTTGCTTTGTTAGTAGTGACACATTTGCCTTGAGCTGGCCAAATGTTCTAGCCAGGTTTCCCTTGTGACCCATAGAATTTGAGAGACAGCTGGCCGAAATGAAGAGTTCAACCGGGGCCAATAAACAGTTTTCCTTTGTGGGAAGCTAACAGGCCCAGGTGGGTGTCAAAACCAGTTTTTGACTTATGAGTGTTGTGATTTTTAAAACTCAGCTATAGGAGCACAAAAAAAAAAATTGGAAAAAAACAAAAATAAAAATCATTCCTGGGTTGAGCTATATAATACATGACATACAGAGTTTCAAATATAGTGAAATCAAAATCACTGCCTTCTAGAGAAAGTATCTTACTATGTACCTCATTCTAGGAAAAAGGACAAAATGTTACTTGATAGCAGAGTGGTCTGAGATCCTTGAGGAGTATAAAAAAACACAAAGTTTGATCACAACTTACATCAGGTCAGGGCGGTATCTATGGATAATTGCACAAAGGGCCAAGCCACTTTTCCAGGACATGGTGAGATCTGTCACGTTTACCCCTGCATAGCCATCTGTCTGCCTCTGGCACCAACCCAGCAGTTTGCTTGAACGAGCTACAGACTCTAAAACAACAAAACACAGTATTATTGGAGGTGTGGTCACCTGGTAATGCTGACAGAGAATCCTCTTTGTAGGACACATGTCCCCTTTGAAAAATTACTGAGGGTAGGGACGAAACAGTCAACACTAGTTTCCATGCAAAGAAAACAGTGAGGAACAAGGTTATGCAAATGGTATCATGACAGCGAATTCTAAGAAAAGAAACTACTAGTTTATCCAGACTCTAAGGTCAACGTCCACCCCCCAGTACCCTGAGGGACCACAGCCTGACAGCCACAACCTGCTGTCCCCACGGCACTGAGGTGGAGGAGCGCCACCTACTGTGTGGCCAGCCTGGCTTACAGCAGCTCTGAGTTCCCGGACAGTCGCTGGCACCTAGCTGAGGAAGCCTACCCCCTCCAAAGTAACACTGGGAAGAGGAGAGGAGAAAAGGCTCCATTCTATAGGGTGGCACGTTCAACCCAAAGCACCCAGGCCTCGCCCTTGCACTTCCAAGGCACTGTATAACTTGCCAAGAGAAGAAGCCCTGCAGGGCTCCGCTGACAACCCTGGGGCCCCAGACCAGACAGTCCCCGAACAGAGCTTGGCACCTTGTACTATGAATTCTCAACCCTGAGAAACTGAATAGGCAAACACATGTGCTGGGATGCTTTTTACAGTTCATTGAAACGTCTTCTAAAACCCGAACAGCCTCTTTAAAAATCCTATTATTAATCACATCAGAAGAGCTCTGATATCGGCCATTCAAAAGAATCTATGAACTATTTATATCCAAGAAAGTCTGTTCCCTTACCGAGGGCAACTGAAGTTTGTACTAAGTCATTTAGTAATTTGTGAACATAAGCTAAAAACCAAGTATCATGAAAATCCTGTTTCATTTAGGTTTTTCGCCATGAAAATGTATTCTGCGATAACACATAAAACCACCTTCTGGTGCCATCTCTTGGCTCAGAAATGAGCTTTTACTCAGATCTGTCTCCTATGTGTATATCCAACCATCCAATATGTAACAGGCAACTTCAATATTCCATGCTCTAAAATAAAAACAGTGAATAAAGATACACTCTCTGCTTTCAAAGAGAAGACGCTCCAGTGGAGAAAAATGCAAATGTTTCCAACTGCCTGCTGGTCCTCACATCCACCCTGGCATCCCAATGGCACGTCAAATTCACAATGTCCAAATGACTCAAACCTCTCAACCCTCTCAGCCCTCCCTCTGCCTTGCCTACGCTGATGTAGCACCATCTACAAACACCTACCTCTTGCCCCACAAGGTGATCAATTGCCCCTGCCCATCGACTTCACCTCCTTACCATTCTCTCTCACATAACCAACAATGGCAATGACCATCCACCACAGGCCCGGCACTCATGATCACAATGTGAGGTAGACACTGCTGCCCCCACTTCACAGACAAGGAAATCGAAGTTCAGAGCTATTCAATCACCTCTTCGAGGCCGCACAATTCACCAGCAGCAAAGCTTGGCCTGGGACCCAGTTGCACCTGGCCCAAAGTCTGAGGTCTCCTCCACTGCCTCCTCCCTTCTTCATCCCCAGCATCAGGCCCAGATCTGGGCCTCCACCACCTTCAGCCTGACTATGGCGAGGTCTTTCTACCTGGTCTCCCTGCCTCTGGTACTTCCCTCCTCCAACCCCTCTCACGTGTGGCTGACCAGGTGTACTCATGTCATTCTCTTTCAAAAAAGTATTCAGGGCCTTCAATACATACAAAATCTGGAGTGGTCCTCACCTGTCACTGAATCCTGGCTATGTTGCAGGACCCAGCCAAAGACTTTTTCCACAAAGTCTTCTCCCGAAACCTTAGCTCTCACACTCTCTCCCTCTCTCCCCTCTGCCCCGCGTCTGTACCTGGTTTCTCTCTGTGCTCTCGTAACACCTCAGGCCAAGGTAATTCCGTGTGGTGGAGGCCTGTCTCGTGCACTGCGGGATGTTCAGCAGCATCCCTGGCTCCTGCCCACCCCCAATCATGACCATCAAAAATGTCCCCAGACAACTACCAAGTATCCCCTGGAGGGCAAAATCACCCTGGGTTGAGAGCCACTGTCTCAGACAGTACTTCGGCCACTGCCTCGGACCGCACCTTGTGGCTCAGGGAATGAGTATAGACTTCTCTGAAGGGGCTGCCTGCATTTTAAAAAGCCACCACCAGAACTCACCATTGCGAGTCAATTTGGGGGTGGTTCGGGAATTCACCAGGCTCTCCATTTCCAGGTGAATATCTTTTGTTTCGCCAGTATCATATAAATGGCGCACCTGGCAGAAATTTACAAAGTCAAACAGAAAGAAAATCAAATATCAAGTAACAAATTCCTACCTAAGAGCAGAATGGCTGAAAGGAAAGTCTGGGATAGAAGGCTGGGTAAAGTTCAGACAGAAGTTAGGATGATGACCTTTAAATCTTTTATGAAATAAGGTGGGGTTTGAGAAAAACAAACACATTTTAACTGTGGGACTTTGTGCTAGAAATCAGCTACACAGGGCCGGGTGCGGTGGCTCACACCTATAATCCCTATAGTTGGGGAGGCCGAGGCCAGCAGATGGCTTAAGGCTAGGAGTTTGAGACCAGTCTGGGAAACACAGGGAGGCCTCGTCTCTACAAAAAATTTAAAAATTAGCTGTAGTCCCAGCTACTTGGGAGGCTGAAGTGGGAGGATCCCTTGAGACCAGGAAGTCAAAGCTTCAGTGAGCTGAGATAGTGCCACCACACCCCAGAGAGCCTGGGCAACAAAGCAAGACTCTGTCTCAAAAAAAAAAAAAAAGAAAAAAGAAAAGAGAGAAAAAATTAGTTACTCGGTCATGGAGGTCCCTCTAAGAGTCTCGGTTGGACTACTAATAATGCTGCCTCTTAACAGAAGGCCTAAAGGTATAAACTTCAAGTAGAAGGTGAACAGAAAATTACACTAGGGGCCAGGCACGGTGGGCAGATCACAAGGTCAGGAGTTCAAGACCAGCCTGACCAACACAGTGAAACCCCATCTCTACTAAAAATACAAAAATTAGCCAGGCGTGGAGGTGGGTGCCTGTAATCCCAGCTACTCGGGAGGCTGAGGCAGGAGAATCACTTGAACCCAGGAAGTGGAGGCTGCAGTGAGCCAAGATCGTGCCACCACACTCCAGCCTGGGTGACAGAGCGAGATTCCATCTCAAAAAAAAAAAAAAAAAAATTACACTAGAACAAATTCTTTCAAGTGAACAATCTCTTTTGTCCTCACAATAATCCTGTGAGTAGTCAGGGATTATTATTCCCATTTTTCAGGTAAAGAAATTGAGGTTCAGACAATGTAAGTCACACGTGACCGGCAGCAACAACACAGGTGGAAGTTACCTCTCCTCACTAAGGGGCAAGTGCTCTTCCGTAAAGTAAGAATTTGAATTAGAAGACGTGGCATAAAGGCCTGGATTCCTATCATGTTTGATTTTCTCTAAGTCATTTAACAACTCTATGCCTTAGCTCTCAATCTGTTGATGGAAAATGCTATCTACTTCTACCAATTCAGAGAGACATCTACCTGGATGACTAAAAAAGTATCCTTGTATGTGTGGTATTAATAGGTGCACGCATCTCAACAGATCAGAATTCTCATTGGTCCTGCAGATGGGCCCAGATGTAAATACTGACAAGAAGGTCTTACCTGGCTTGGCCGGAGGAAGTTGACGTTGATATTGGGATACCGAGTGACAGGGTCGATACTGTACTGGCTGAAGTTCTTACTCACATTCTCAGGGGTGGTCTGAGGCAGCAACCTGTAAATACTTTCCCTGCAATAACACAACAATATACTCAGAATCGGGACCAGCACCATGAACATCTCCCTCTCGTTTCATGATTGTTCTGACAGCGCAGCAAGTCACCTGACATGCCTGACAAATCCTCATCCTTGACCAGTCTTCTTGAGTCCTACGTCAGCCCCTGCTCCCCACACCCACCTGCAGTGATCCCACAGGAACCGACCGGGTAAGAGCCGAGGAGAGAGAGCAGGCACAAAACCGTGAGCGCCCACAGATGCTGCCTCCAACTCAAAAGGTCACACATTTACTCTTTTATTTTTTCAAGCATCCCAATATTTACTTCAATTTTAAAGAAAATCAACACAAAAAAGAATTATCACTATATTTAGTCAGAATACCTTAAATAAGAGACAAAATAAGATGATATCAACTCCCAATTTCATCTGGGAAATCTTGTCTCTCTAATTCTTCTGGTTAAGGCATTAGTTCTTTATCAGAAAGCAAATCACAGGATTTTTATTGCATTTGCAAAAATCTGCTTCAAAATATCCCATTTAGGGGTTTGAGAAACACTTATAAGCAGTTTGGTGTTTTCCTATGAATTCAAAGCTACTTTTAATTTCTTCTCTGTCAGTAAGAAATTTATCTTGGAAAGGAGTAAGAGAAGACTTAGTCTAGGAGACTCATCTTTAGGTTTCTATGATTTTATGAAATCCTATCTTGCCTTTCCTCTTTTCCACATGAAAACATCTTTAATTAAGAAGGCAGAGAAAGAAGAAGGAAGAACTTGCACTCTGCCTGAAGAGTAAACCACTCCTTCTTCCCAGTTTTCTCATGAAAGGAACCCCGGGTTACTTCCCATTACCTCTCTGCCAGCACTTCCAAAGGGCTCGTTCCTAGAGACCAACTTCGGACCATCCAGGCAGAGTCCATAGCAGCTAGAAAGCCCCGGGCTATTCCTGTTCCCATTGGCCAGAAAGGCTGTAGATAAGACATAAAACAAATAATTAAAATATAACACACCTTTCAAAATGGGAAAAATAAACTAAGGAACAAAGAGTTTGCTGTCGACAGTAGTGTTTGGCAACTGTTTCAATAACAAATTGCTCTCCTTCCCAGATTGGCAAGGAGTAAGTCAAAAAGGGGCAGAATTTCCACTCATACTTAATAGGCCTGGGCTCCCAGTGGCCTGTAGCCCTCCTCTACTTCCTGGTGTGACTCCTGCAGGGAGTTTACCTGTGCTGTACAACACTGCAGACGCTCATTCCAAGACCCAGGATGCCCAGATTCACTCCTAATTATTCCTGCCCCTACCACAGAGTGCTGCCATGCTTAGCACTCACCTCTAGGAGGCTGTCCCCGACCAGAGCCACTAGTAACTGGTGTCCGTTCTGCTCCCGCACCAAGGCGGCGTTCTCGGAGGCATACATACAAGTGAAGTCAAACATGGCCACATCGGGCTGCCCATAGTGATTGATGGCAAAATCCAGAGACGGCAGCTGCTGCTGGGTAGAGAAGTCTGCCGCCTCCCTGGCATAGCTGAGCAGAGCCTCCTGGTCCACGTTTTCTCGGGAAAGCAGGAGCTCTGTGTCGGCGTAGTCCTGTCTCCAGAGAAAGAGGAGGGTAGGGATGGAGAAGCTCTGGCACTCAGCCAGAACCATGTTACACAACCCAGGGCCACAGCTTCTTCTTCCCCCTAAAGTGACTCCACGTTCCAAAACCAAAACTTTTATACCATTAAAATGGGCGGGGGGAAAGGCAGCCAGGCACAATGGCCCACACCTGTAATCCCAGCACTTTGGGAGGCTGAGGCGGGCAGATCACTTGAGGACGTGACTTCGAGACCAGCCTGGTCAACATGATGAAACCCCATCTGTACTAAAAATACAAAAATCAGCCAGGCATGGTGGTGTGTGCCGGTAACCCCAGCTACTTGGGAAGCTGAGGCAGGAGAACTGCTTGAGCCCAGGAAGCGGAGGTTGCAGTGAGCTGAGACAGCACCACTGCACTCCAGCCTAGGTGACAGAGTGAGACTCCAACTCAAAAAAAAAAAAAAAAAAAAAAAGAGGGGTTTGGGGGGTGGATTATTCCCGAGAGAACATAGACCTTGCTGCCTAAACACACAGTCATGGCTTTTCCATTTGCTTGGAACAATGACTACTTCTTTGATCTTATCCAATCTGCCTCAGGGTTGTTCTGAGTATCACATACCTGACAGTACTTTGTGAACTGAAAGGGCATTTCATTATCTTCTGGGTAGTAAATGGCTTTTGTCAAATGGGACCACGTGAAACACTCAGCCTTGCATAACTCATGACACCCAAAGGAAGAACTCAAAAAAGCTTGAGTGCCAAAAAGACATGGAGGTGGGAGCAATGGTAGTCCAGGAGGCTGGGAAGGAATATGTTGAAAATGGAGCAGAGGTTTTCAAAATAGTAAGTAAGACTTGAAAGCCTCCACAGAAACCCACAAAGAAGAACAAAGGACTGAAAAACTCCTTTTCTGTTTTGGAGGTTCCTGGCACACTGAGCCAAGTCTTTATTCTCTGAAAGTGGGGCCTACGGTTTCTAAGTGGCCATGATGGTCCTTTCAGCCACCACTACAAGATGTTAAAGCCAAAACACAAACACTCAGGTTGGTCCTAGAAAGACTGTTTGCTCAATACTAAGTAGCCACATGGGTTTACTATTTAACAGCATACACCAAAGGCATGGCCCCTGCCCTCTTAAAAAAAAAAAAACATGAAGGCAAAGTAAACCAGGTCTCTTGGCATTCTAGACTGCTCCTATCAAATTGTGACTGACAACCACAGTTCTGCCTGCGTGGCAGATTTAAATCTTCACCTTGTCCCAAGGCGTACGAACTGCTTCACTGGCTATTTCTTACTGACAGCAATGTAACCCTGATGTAGTCCCAGATAATTAGCAAGGCAATTTTAGAAAGCATCTAACCAGATACGTCTTGCTTATGCTTTTGGGAAAGTGGGCTGTATAAACAGCTTTGTCCTGGTTCTCCCTGAAAGCACACAGGGTGGCTGTGCTGAGAAACACACGCAAGGTTCCTGGGTAGAAAGAGGGGGCTCTCTGCCACCGGCACATGCTCGTCAGCTCACTCCCCGCTCTGCTGTCATATAAGGTAGTACTGTAGCTCAGACTAAAGTGACTGCATTCACATCACCCTGCAAAGACAAAGGACTCCCTGAAATTCAGCTGTGAGTCTCTTGTGGGAACTGCACAGGCCTGAATCAGCACAACTGGTGTCTCTGCTTCTGTTTTTCTCATCGCATGGGGACAGTGATTCTCACGTTGAGACCAGTGAGACCAGGAAAGACTTAAAAAACTCTCCTTCAGGGACCATCCACGCGGTGGTCTTCTGACTTCATATTTCAGGCCATCATCTCAGGGCACACCATGCAGTCACCTAGAAACAGGCTGAGCTGGACCTGGCTATGATGGAGCTCAGACCTGTTCTGTGGTCATAAAGAGGCCTAAGTGTAGCCTGATCCTGTCAGTGCTGCCTGGACCTCTGAAAACTGTATCGGCAGTGACACCAGAATCCTCATCAGGCTCCCATAAACACCAATTATTGCTTCTTGGTCAAACTCCTTTCCCTCTGTTGCTCCCCCTCCCAAAAGATAACTCTTCAACCAACCAATCATCAGTCAGATATGGAAATCACAATAACCACAAACCAAATCACCTAAAATTAAACTGAGTATTTATGCATGAAATGCTGTCTGAAACCTGCTTTGCAAGAATCCAGTGGTGAAGAAGGAGTGCACAGAAATATTACTGACAGAACACTGGCCACGTGTTGAGAACTGTGAAAGCTGGACGGTAGGTACGTGAGGGTTCATTACACTATTCTCCCCCCGTTTTTATTTACATTTGAAATTAGCCATAGTTAAGAGTTGTTCACGCTAAACTGGAAAACATCAGGGGTTACCAGAAGATGCATTCAGTGCTCATTTTCATTCCCTTGCAGGAAAAACCCATCAGACAATTCTTTCTCTTGGTGATATTAACCACTTCAATAAGAAAGAGTTTTGAAGGAAATCCGTGGCTCACATGTAGTATCACTCCTTTGTCCAGCAAACTCTGCTTTTTGGCTGTCATAACGAAATAGTGTGTGTCATCTTTGTAGTAAACGATGTTCTCCAAGTCAATACCTGGGGCCAGAAGACAAACGTGTGCATGTAAGTTTGCTGAGATGAAGGTGCATCAGGGCAGGCTGAAAGGTTACACACAGGCCTACAGAGACAAGGGCCTGAGGCTCCAGGCAGGGAAAGGTGTCTAAGCCCAGATTCTCACGTCCTGTATCATCAGTTCATGGAAATACAGGGAGTTTTGTTTCTCTGTATTCACTCAACACCCCAAACAATCCTAAAAACTATGACTGACAGTAAACAGAACTGTTTTTACGGGAATAAAAACGAAACAAGCAAAAAAAAAAGAGGCTAACCTCTAAAGAGGGCTTGGATTAGTTATCGGGTTAAGCCTCTTGGGACAGTCATCAAGGAAGCTGGAGGAATCTCCTAGATTCTTAAGAACAGGATAGACAACTTGACGCCTGGAAGCAGAGAGTGAACTACTGACTTTTTAATTAATCTAAAAAATAGATGTAATGAAAAGAAATCAAGTTCTAGAAAACAAGAGAATGAAGGCACATTTAGCAAAATATCTAAGTTGATCTATTCAAAACCTATCATACAACAATCTCATCGCTATCTGACACACGGTTTGCCTTCAAGCCTGAGCTGGAACTCAGGAAGAAGACTACATACTTAAAAGGCCTAAAGTCAGCTTCCCAAGCAAACCAGGGAGCCACCGGCCAGCAGCTACACCAAGCAGCATGCCTCAGCATCACAGCACAGGGCAGGCATTGGGAAGAACTAGTGGAGGCAGAACGAATGCTTTACAACAAATAAACGAACAAACAAAACCTCAGGCTGGGTGTGGTGGCTCACGCTTGTAATCCTAGCACTTTGGGAGGCTGAGGCAGGTGGAGCCCAGGAGTTTGGGAGCAGCCCGGGCAACATGGCGAAACTCCGTCTCTACAAGTAATACGAAAAATTAGCCAGGCATGGTGGAGCTTGCCTGTAGTCCCAGCTACTCAGGAGGCTGAGATGGGAGGATCACTTGAGCCCAGGAGTTCGAGGCTGCAGTGAGCCGAGATCACGCCACTGAACTCCAGCCTGGGCAACAGAGCGAGACCTTGTCTCAAACAAAAAACAAAACCCAGAGCCGCCCAGTCACTGTGAGGAGGTTAAGAATACAAGAGGAGGAGACAAGTTCTGCAGGAAGCAATGCGCTAGGAAGAAGGAACAGGAGTGAAAAGAGCAGGAGGGGCAGACAGTGCAGGAGGGACACCGACGGCCACTCACCCCACCAATCCCCCAAGAAAAAGCCACCAGGGACTATTTAAGTTTCTATCCTAGGGCTCCGGAGACATCAACACCAACCTGTGGCTTCCCTCAGTTCCTGGAAAAATTTTTGGTTGAATATAAAAGCCACACCACTGATCTCTTCCACTTTAGCTTCTGCTGTTGTATTTCGGTTGATAAAATTTGCCGTGATGGCGATGGCCAGTTTGCCACGGAATTCTTTCCGACGAAACCCTGGAGGGAAATAAATTTTCAGAGGTGATAATCATTGGCTAGAGAAGGAAGATCACTTCAGATAAAGTGGGGGTGCTGATAAAGACAACAGGGAAAGTCAGGGATGAGAACTGATGGGAAAGTTAGGGCAGCTCTTCTGCAGATGAAAATAAGGCATTTACCTACCCAAGAATATGAAAATTCAGGGAAGAAGTCAAAGTCTCCATTAACAAACAATTTGAAATCTGACTGGCCAGAATATTACTCAGTACTAGGGATTCCTCTTTAAAAAAGGGATGCGTGGGGGGAGCACCTGCTTATTAATATGTAGATTAAGTCCTACAGGTGCCAGCCACTCAAGGTATGGTTGGTCTCCTAGTGCCTCAGCAAGAGTGCCCTGTAAGCAGCAGCCTGGGCCAGGTGAGGTGGTTCACGCCTGTAATCCCAACACCTTGGGAAAGGCGAGCAGAGTGCTTGAGCCAAGGAGTTTGAGACCAGCCCATGCAACATGGCGAAAACCCAATCTCTACAAAAAATACAAAAATTAGCTGGGTATGGTGGCACGCGCCTGTAGTCCCAGCTACTCAGGAGGCTGAGATGGGAGACTCGCTTGAGACCAGGGAGATCGAGGCTGCAGTGAGCGTGATCATGATACTGCACTCCAGCCTGGGCAAAAGAACGAGACCCTGTCTCAAAAATAAAATAATTAAATAAAATAAAAGCAGCAGCCTGACTGCCAGCTGGCTAGAGGATGGTGGGGCCTGCCATTCCATCAGGGCAGGAAGCACACATTCAGGCTCTCAAAAGGGTGGACGCTGGTCACGCACAGTCTCGCCCCAGAGGTAGGATAGCATCAGCTTTCCCTCTGCTATGAGCCAGGCAGAGGAGCACAGACCAATACCTTCCAAGGTGTTCCTCCGACCATCCCCACCGATGATCACTTCAAATTCATACTCTGACACAGGATGAGTCTTGGGGTGCACCAGTGCCCGCCAGCCTATCCCTGTGAACCAAAACCAAATAAATGGGGGTCACCACCCAGACCACATTCACAGCCAGGACCATCTCTAGATACCCAGTCATGTGAACTGCACAAAACCCTGGGCCAAAAACACTATGTGTAGAAGCAGTGGAGACAGAGGCTGTGCACGGTGGCTCGTGCCTCTAATCCCAGCACTATGCGAGGCAGAGGCTGGCAGACTACTTGAGGCCAGGAGTTCGAGACCACCCTGGCCAGCATGGTGAAACCCTGTCTCTACTAAAATACAAAAATTAGCCAGGCATGGTGACACATGCCTGTAATCCCAGCTACTCTGGAGACCTACGCAGGAGAATTGCTCAGAGGTCACAGTGAGCCAAGATTGAGCTACCGCACTCCAGGCTAGGCGACAGAGTGAGACTCTCATCTAACAAAGAAAAAGCAGTGGGGACAAACCACAGAAGGAAAGAAGCCTTGCAGAGGGCTCACGGGGCCCTTCCCACCACATGTGCGCCTGCGACATCTAAGGCTGCATCCAGGCCAAGTCCCCAAAGGCACAGGCTTTGGCTAGCTCTGGAAGCAGCCCTCAGGAGCCTTTGGTTTGCTCCCTCAATCTCATCTTCCTCACCCATCAACACCCTCTCACGCCTTCTTCACTCCTCCAGTATAACTTACGTTCATTCTCTTGGTCCTCAGGAGGCTGTATAAGTCCTTGGAATTCCACATTGACGTGGATTTCAATGCCTAGGATCAAGGCTACTTTCAAAAGTATTAGTTGGAGCTGACGGATACCTGGGAGAATACAGAGATGACGTTGATGGGAACACATGGAGAAGGGGGTACCCATCCGTGTCGCAGCTCAGGCTCCCACCCCGCCACCTACGCCCCCTTCATTCAGATTCCCAAAGCCTGCTGTAGCAGGAGACCTTCCAAAGCCACGCTCTGTAACTTCTTCCTTTCTTAAAGGCAAATATAACCCAGTGGAAGAGCTGTTCTAGAGCAACACACAGGACACTCCCACGTCTCGGGTTCAGTGTTTTAAACAATCAAAAGCTCGGAGACAACATGGGACTGTGGCCTACAGGAGGTTCCTTTCCATCTTCCCAATTTGGGGCTGCCATATTGGCAGCATCTCCAATCCTGCTAGGAGGCAGATGTGCACCCACAGGGTGCAGCCCACGGTCAGATGCAGAGCTGCTGCATGACCTCCCCGCCCACAGGCGTCTTTCAGCCCATTCCCTGGTTGATCATCACACATTCTTATAAGGCAAGGAAGGGAAATCGCAATCCAACTAGATCCTCCTACCATTCCCCCTCCCATTCCTGGTCTATAGCTGTGGAAACTGAGGCCAGAATGACTGACAATCTTGCTTATTTTCATAGTGAGACTGATTGATTTATTCGACGTCCATGAGCACCTGCAGGCACCAGGCATGGCAGCGACTTAAGGTGCAGAGATAAAGATCTAGGCCCTGGTAGAAGACCCTCTCAACCCTAAGATGAATCTTGCCACAATTAAGGCAGACAAATCCACTGCGTTAATGACCCTTGGTTCTCTCTTAAGACCAAACTTAACTGGAGCCTGTGACTAATGTGCCAGGAGCAATGCAAATCCTCCTCACGTCATCTTGGTTGTTCTCCCCAGTTTACCACAGCCACCACCCTTCTGAGTCCCATTCCCAAATACTTGTTAAGCTCTGCGCTAGCACAGTATTTTCGCAGAGAACTGTGGGTCCCAAGATGCTTTACAAACTATAGCCAGCAGATGGGCAGAGGGCTTCCTCTGCCAGTGGAATGTGGTCACTGCCAGCCAGCGTCTGATAAATTGGCACAGCTGCTGCAAACAGCAAAAGGTTCCATGACTGACTGTGTTTACAGGACACATCTGGAGAAGCTCAGAACAAAGGCTCCTTGATAAAGCTTTCCTGAAAGCATTAATGATAATCAATAAAAAGCTTTCAGTTTCATAACGCACACTGTCTGTTCTGAATTGCTTTGCTGGCCACTTACAGTCAAACACCGCTGATTGCATTAACTTGTATTCATACCCTGTAGGATCTCAGAAAAGCAAAGGCCCGGGCTGAGCTTAGAGGTGACAAAAGAACAGCAAGAGCTTGCAGACCGCACAAGAACCACCTGACCAGAGGAATGCCATTATCCCCTTGCCATTAACGGCCAGGCCAGGGCTCTGCGCCTCCTGCAAGTGTGGCTCCCCCCAGGACTGTGTCCCCACAGCACTTTGTTCTTACATTAGTAGAGAATGTATCAGCTCACAGCACAGACAGCTGCATGCTTGTGTACTTCTGCCACTGCAAGAAGGACCACCAGAGGGTCTGGGCCCAAACTGGTCATCGTTTCCCCAGTGCCTGCCCCAGTGCCCATCCCACAAACTGCAAGAGCTCAGGAAGAGTCCACGACCTAACAGAAATCCTCAAGCCAAACCCCACATTTCACAGGTTATCGATACACTCACATTTAAGAGTCCTAAATTATAGAACCACCACATAGCAGGTGTTTTTACTTCAAGATGAGTGCACTTACTATAAGAAAGACAGTAATGAGATTAGAAGAAATTGGGTGGCATATGAATTCCTCAGCTAATCTGCCTGTCTCTTTCTACTGAACAAGCGTGCAAGGGGTAGGGTGGAATCTTACAGGAAAGCTAGTTTTACTTACTGATATGGTCGATGGCTCCAGCACAGAACTTGCCATAGAACTTCTTGGCACCCAGACCTCGTAGATCATGTATGGTGAATGGCCAGAGATGCAAGACGTTGTTGCGGGAGAAGGCATCTCGTTTCTCAATAACAACCACCTTGGCCCCCAGTAAGGATAAGTCGATGGCTGTACGGAGACCACAGGGGCCAGCCCCAATGATGAGACACTGAAAAACACAGCTGCTTTCAGGGCAGGCGGCACTTCCAACAAACAATTCTCAAGAAGTCTCATGATTGTAAGATCATCACTCCCTAAAGCCCCGAAATAGGGCTATTCTCCCCACTGCCAAGAAACCTTCACACCTACGTGGGTCACAGCAGAGCACCTGCCATGGCTTAAGAGAAGAGCTAGTGATCACCACCATGAATGGAGAAGACAGAACCATCAGTGCTAGACACAAGCTCGGCACCTGTTCACCTTGGACAGCCTGGAAGGCCCTTGATCTGCAGCATATTTAAGTGGCCATCATCTCAACAAACGATATGACAATCAAATACAATCTTACATCAACAGGAGAGGACCATTTCGAAGGTTTCTAGGTCAGGCAGATTTCTGTCCAAAGAGATACAGAGTACTACATACACACTCCAGGCAATCTCAAGCCTCCTGGAATGAGTCTACCACACACATGATTCCCGGGAAGCAATTTTCAAGAGCCAAAGTTTTGTGTGCTAATAAGAGTTCCAAAATCCCCATTTCTAGACTGAACGTCCAGGAACATGATCTCGAAAATCCACACTCCAGAGAAGTACTGAGCAGGAGACTGGACACATATCTTAAGTAGTTTGCTCTGTGTGTGCGGAAGGAAAACGTGCAATGCTTTTGGCTTTGTTTTTGTTTTGTTCTTAGTGGAGTCCAGTACTCACTCATGAAAGTCATGCCTTTACAGTTCTTGAATTTTGCTGATGAATATCTACCCAAATGCAAATCCACTGGGGGTGGGGCTCTAGGTATCCCCTATTGCACAAATTAAAGCTCGTGAAAGAACATAACGTAGCCATGAAGTCATCTGCAAATTTGTGTCCCTGCTAGCTTGTTCCAAACTTCTCACACTAGGTGTTCTTCTAAGGAGGGAAGCAGGAAATGTACCTCTCCATATCCGCTTCCTCGCACCTACCCCGACAAAGGCAAGTGCATAACTCAGGTCTTTGCTTGGGCCTACCTGCTTCGTGGAAACCCCATTTCTCCACATGGTGAAGAAAGCAACAGAAATACTTTGGTTCACAAAGTCCTTGCTTATGAATCAAAACAGACTTTTGGAACATGGATGGGAAGAGGTTGGAAGCTTGTGGCAAATGCCAAGTTCGCAAACAGTATACCTTACCAGCTACTGAGTATGGAACTTTGGAAAGAGGACATGCCAAGAACCCCAAAGCCGTGTTCAGACAGGATACCAGCAGGGCTTGGCTATGTCCCTGCTAAGTGACCTGCATCCTCCGAACCACGTGAGGTTCAAAAGAGAGCTTCAGCAAAATAAAAGGTTCCCATGCCACTTGACTTTGGTTGTTCTTAAATACTTGAAACTTTGAACGCTCAATATGTAAATACATGAAACATGCTTAAAACAGGGTCTGGGTCATGCAAGTCAAACAAAAAGAGGTTAGACATCCACAAAATTTCAACAGGGTTGAAGCCTGATTTCTTATGCTAGGTTGTGGCTAGACTTTGCCTGGTTCTCACTCAGCCTACCTCTAACTCAATCCTCCTCTTTGGCACCTGGATATGGTCGATGGCTCTGGCACAGAACTTGCCATAGAACTTCTTGGCACCCAGACCTTGTAGATCATATATGGTGAATGGCCAGAGATGCAAGACGTTGTTGAGGGAGAAGGCATCTCGTCAGTGACCCCAGGGCCCAACAGGAGCAAAGCTTACCTTGGTGTTAGTGCACGCTTTTCCCTTTTTGTAGTCTTTGTGACTGCCCCGTTTGTCCAATTTTGCCCAGAGGGCTTTGGCTTTCCAGTAGTTAAGCTTGGACTTGAGCTTGTGATAGAAGGAGCGGTAGTCCTTTGGCTTTAGTTCCAGGTGGTCACAGAGCTCCTGGAAAGCCTTGAGGGTTCCCTTGCAGGTGGTGGCCTGGACAAACCGGTCAAAGAGGACATGAGCTGGGTTCATGGTCTCATGCTTCCTCTCCTCCATGCTGCCTCACTCTCAGCACTCCCCAGAGGGGGAGGTGGGATGGCTGTGGGTCCACCTGACACTGTCACGTTAATCTGACAAAAAGAAAGAAAAACGTGGTTAGCATTTCTCTGTCTACAAACATTCTCCAGGAGACATATTCCTCTTCAAAGCAGAGTTCTAAAGTGTCGCAGTCATCCATCCATAAGTGTGGACTGCACACCTGCAATACTCCAGGCACTACGAAACACTGGGGCTGGAAAGGTGAGCAGGATGGTTCTTGCTCTCAAGGATCTGACAGTCTAGGAGACGAGGCAGACACAGACACAGAATGTCTCAATGGACTGTACCAAGTGCCACTAGAGAGGGAGACACAAGGCCATCTCGGAAACAGAGAAAGAGGATCTAAGTCACTATTGGTGGTGAAGGGGGGGGGTCCCCACTGAAGGCGAGCCTCTGAGAGGTGACAGCTGAGTCTCTCAGCATAAATGTTAGCCAGGCAGGGAAGAGGTGTAGGACATGGGAAAGTGACAAAGACAGGCCTGAGTGACTCGTACAGATCAAAGAGGCAAGGATAACTCCCAGGTTTCCAGCTTAGGCCCCGGATTAAACGGAGACATCAGGCCAATGGATTAAAAACAGAAGCACTCCTTGGTGCCAGTGGAGCAGTGAGCCCCTTCCTCACCTGCACACGTGAGCTCCAAGTGGAGGTGCTTACCGGGAAGTCGGTACAAATGTGAAGTTCAGGGAGTGGCTGGGGACGCAGATCCAGATTTGGGAGTCGCTGGCACACGGGCAGTAGCTAAGCATACAAAAGCAGGAAGATCACGAAAGGAGAGTGCACAGGGCAGAAGAGCCGCAGACTCTGGAAGAGATCCAGGAGGCCCCACCTTCAAGAGGCTGGGAGAGAAAGATGAGCCCTCTTAAAAGATGAGGAACAGTAGGGAGAGGTCTGAAGAGAACCAACCAGCAGCATCACAGAAGTCTAAGGAGCAGAAAGTTCGAGAGTGTCAAAGTTGGCAGGGATTAAAAGAACTGAAGAAGTCCTGCTATTGCGTAAGGTACAGGGTTGGGAGACTTCACAGTCATTCCATTTTCACCCTGAATCGAATTGAACAGCAGTAAATGACGATATCTATGCCTTCCACCTATGGAAATGTCCGCACACCTACGTCCAGTGAGTCTGCTGGACAGAGGCTGGGAGGTGGGAGATGGCACCGCGTGTACTCCTGCACCCACCGGCTCCTGTGAGTCTGCAGAATCGTTTTTGCGTCACATCTGATGAAACCTCACCACTGGAACTGTATTGGAAGGTGGGAGGCAAAAGGACAAAGGACAAAACTAGTGAGTAGAGAGTGGGTCAGGGTGACAAGACGAGTGTGACCACAGGGCTGAGCCCACACAGCCAGACCCCAGCTGCACGACCCCGCTGCACAACTCTGGGTAAGCACTGTTGCACGAACCCTCAGTTTCCTTGTGTGTAAGACAAGGAGGTTAGACAGCGCCCCTAAGACTTTCTTTTTTTCTTTTTTTTGAGATGGAGTCTCGCTTTGTTGCCCAGGCTGGAATACAGTGGTGCGATCTCTGCTCACTGCAAGCTCCACCTCCTGGGTTCACTCCGTTCTCCTGCCTCAGCCTCCCAAGTAGCTGGGACTACAGGCACCCGCCACCACGCCCGGCTAATTTTTTGTATTTTTAGTAGAGACGGGGTTTCATCGTGTTAGCCAGGATGGTCTCAATCTCCTGACCTCGTGATCTGCCCGCCTCGGCCTCCCAAAGTGCTGGGATTACAGGTGTGAGCCTGGCCAAGACTTTCACTTCTGAAGTTCTCCAAGGCTACTGCTGAGAAATCCACATGCCCACAGCACTTGCTCCTGGTGCTCTCATCACAATGGCCCAGCACAGGCACATCACCAATTCACCACGAGAGTGACCAACACAACTGGACTGGACTTTGCTTTAAAGATGTACCCTTGGGGTTGGGTGCAGACAGAGGAAGGGAGTGGTTGATGCACTACGTTCAGCAGGCATGTAGAAGCAAGAGACTGCCCACTATTCAGCTGCAGGTGCTGCTGAAACCAACTCTTGGAAGACAGGCACCATGTTCCAGAATGATACAGAAGAGGCCCTGAAGCTCTTACTTTGGGTAAGCACACTGAGCAGCAGTGTGAAGTAGAAATGACATGCCACTTCTCTCCGCACCTCACCATGGTATCACAGGATTAAACCAAACCAAATGAGATGCATCTTAAGTTTCATGAGAGAAAGTTGTAACTAAATACAAGGAACTGCCCTCTCCACCTTATATTTTCTATGTCAACAGACACAACACTCGTCACATAATGTGGAGGATACATTGCAGATGGAACACACTGGCTGGGCTTTTCGCCTCAAATATATCACGTACTCAACAAACCCTCCTGGCTCTAGATATTAAAAACTATACTGCTGGCCCAGTGTGGTGGCTCATGCCTGTAATCCCAGCACTTTGGGAGGCCGAGGTGGGTGAATCACTTGAGGTCAGGAGTTCAAGACCAGCCTGGCCAACATGATGAAACCCTATCTCTACCAAAAAATACAAAAATTAGCCAGGTGTGGTGGCACACGCCTGTAATCCCAGCTATTCAGGAGGCTGAGGCATGACAATTGCTTGAATTCGGGAGGCGGAGCTTGCAGTGAACTGAGATTGTGCCACTGCACTCCAGCCTCAGCGACAGAGTGAGACCCTGTCTCAAAACAAAACAAAACAAAAACAATACACTGTTAACACACATAGCTTCTCTCAATAGCCACATGGCCAAGAGGCCAGCAAGAAATGGAGTTAACTGGAATTAACATTCAGTTTCCCCAAAAAAGAAAGGTTTTATTCTAGGTAGCAGCAAGAGAAATACTTTACAGTTCCTAAAAAGGGCCCATTATTTATCTTACAAGCCAAGGCTTATCTTAGAAATGTTAGAAAGTCAAAAGATGGCTTGTAGGGCAGGAAAGAGCAGATGTGCTTATGTGAAGGCAGGAGAAATGGTGACAGCTGACAACCCATGACTAGAAACAAAGGTCCCACACCATTTTCTACATCAGGGACCCTCTTTGCCTCCTGACCTCTTTGTGGGACTTCTGAGGCTTCACTTGCTCTTTGACAAGCACACAGCATGGCACAATCCTGACCCTGTGTGCCCTGCCTGCATTCACAGTCAACCTGAACTCCACCAGAGTCACAGTGTTTGGTAAGCTTTGCATACACTGGGTCTGATCCACCGCTACCTCATGTCAAAGAAGAAAATGACTTTTCTTTGTTTCTAAACAGTAGCCACTTTCAACTCCTTGCCAGGATTCAGAGCACTCAGAACCATGACATTCTTGCTGAAGCCAATACATTAAAGGTCCTGCAACCCATAACTCCAAAATCCTTCCCGTCATAGCGCCTGCCTTGGCTTACACCTACCCTGAAAGAGGGTCTTGGGCACTTATTTCCCAAGAAGAGTTCTTACGTGTGAGCTAACAACCCCATGGCTGGTTGTCACCCACTCGGTTTGAAATAATTCACTTCCAAAGAGCTGCTAACCGCCACAAAGAATTTCCAAATCAAACCCCACTACAGAGGAACGGCTTCACTAATAACTGTCCCCAATCCTTCTGCTAGTGAAAACACTTTTAAATTAACAGATGTCAGCCACAGCTCCCAGAGAGCTGCAGAGCCAACCAGCAGGCAAGTTTTAATTCCCCGGCCGAAGAGATTTCGACCTGCAGGGCACTGGTGACAATGGATGAACAGAGGCAGGATGGCTCCTGGAACAATGCGACCGGCACCCAAGGTAAGACGACACAAGATGAATTCCCTTGGGCTGCCTCACTTTTCCTGCTTTGCAGCTGAATGATGACTGCAGCGCAAAGACTCCTCCAGAGTGTGACAGCATTGCTCTGTGGCTCTGCTGGGCTGGGCCTGTCTCACTCTGCAAGGGGCTTACCCGGCATTCTCCTTGGCTCTGACAACAGCCGGGAAGCACAGCAGAGCAGGGCTATTTCTGTTACCGCCCCCATTTCCCTCATTCCTTAAGGTCAAAGCCAGATCATGCTCCTCCTGGCCTGTCCTGCACCACCCTGTGTACAGTTCATAATCACAGGAACCTGGAGACCAGGAAACCTGGCAGGAAGGTGCCAGAAATCCCAGAAACTGAAAAGCCAAGGTGTGCAAGGAAGGGGTAGAGGAAGTGAGGAGCCGGGTTGGGGGCTGGGGGAGGAAGAGGAGGTGATGCCAGGTTTCCAGGCATCTGTGAGTCTCTGCCAGCTGACTCCAGCCTGCATGTTTTGTCCGCAGCAGCTGACTGCTGACTCAGAAGCCCCGCATGGGCCTTGGCTGTGGAGGATGGCACTGCAGAGACGGCCTCTGAAGCACACGCAGGACATGGTTATGTTTCTATTTATAACAATAGTTGAAGGTTGTCACTGACTTCTGGCTGGCTATGAGAACACTCAATCTCTAGCTCTTAGAAGAGGTAGCTGGATGTTTGTGGGGGAGTAGAAAGGAGAATCATGTTTAAAAATAGAAAAAAAAAAAGAAACAAAACAACAAAAAAGAATGACACTTCAAGAGTATGGCATCAGAGTGAAGCTTAGTTTTCTCCCTAGCCAATGCACCATGAACACACCAGCGAACGTGCAAATTTCTGAATCTTACACAGCAATCTGTGAACTGCGCCTTCCCCTAGCCCATTCAGTCAGAGGTATGTCTCATCTAAACAGATCTTGAAAGCGGGTGGAAGGCCAGGTGAGGTGGCTCATGCCTGTAATCCCAGCACTTTAGGAGGCCAAGGTAGGAAGATCACTTGAGCCCAGGAGTTCAAGACCAGCCTGGGCAAGACGGTGAGATCCTGTCTCTTCAAAAACAAAAAAATTAGCTGGGTGTGGTGGCATTCGCCTGTGGTCCCATCTACATGCGAGGCTGAGGTGGGAGGATTGCTTGAGCCCAGGAGGTCGAAGCTGCAGTGAGCCATGATCATGCCACTGCACTCCAGCCTGGGAAACAGAGCAAGATCCTGTCTCAAAAACCAAAAAAAGAAAAAAGTAGGTGGAGAGGAACACTTGATCATATTTTCCCTCAGAAACCAGGACCCAAATCGCCAACATGCCTCGGGCTCCTGATCTGTCTTCCTTCAACATAGGCAACTTAGCATCATTATTTGAAAAGCCTGTCCTTTCCGTACTGAGTAGTCCTGGTATCCTTGTCAAAAATAATTTGACCGTAAGTGAGGTGCATGAGGCTGAAGCAGGAGGATTATTTGATCCTCCCAGGAGCTAGACTCCAGCCTGGGCAACATAGCAAGACCCCATCTCTTAACAAAACATAGTTTGACCATATATGTTAGGGTATGTTTCTGGGCCCTCTATTGTATTCCATTGGTTTATATGTCTGCCTTTATGTCAGTACCACACTGTTTTGATTAGTATAGCTTTATAGTAAGTTTTGAAATCAGGAGGCATGAGTCCTCCAGCTTTGGTCTCCTTTAGAAGGGCTGTTTTGGCTATTCAGGGTCCCTTGAGATTCCATGTAAATTTTAGGATGGGTTTTTCTATTTCTGTAAAAAAAAAAAAAAAATCATTGGGATTTTGATAGGGATTACACTGAATGTGTATTGTTTGGGTAATTGTGACATCTTAACAATAGTAAGTCTTCCAACCCATAAGCGTGAATTTGTTCTCATTTATCTTTTAATTTATTCCAGTGATGTTTTTTAGTTTTCACTGTACAAGGCTTTCACCTCCTTGGCTAATTCCTAAGTGTTTTATTATTTTTGATGCTACTGTAGACAATTATTTTCATCATTTCCTTTTCAGACTGTTCACTATTAGTATATAAAAATGTAACTGATTTTTGTGTATTAACTTTGTATCCTGCTACTTTGTTGGATTTATGTACTAGCCTTGAACAGGTTTTTCTGGTGGAATCTGTAGGATTTTCTACACATAAGATCATATCATCTACAAATGGAGATAACTGTCTTCCTTTCCAATTTGGATGCCTTTTAATTTCTTTTTCTGGCCTAACTGCTCTGGATAGAACTTCAGGATTATGTTGGATAGAAGAGGCAAAAGTGGGCATCTTTGTCTTGTTCCTGATCATACGAGGAAAAGCTTTCTGTCTCTCACTGTTGAACATAACACGTACCATGGTTTTTCGCATATGGCTTTTACTAGGTGAAGGTAATTTTCTTCTATTCCTAGTCTGGTGAGTATTTCTATCATGAGAAGGTATTGAATCCACATGTATTGCATCCTGGGATCTATCCTGACTCTCCATCCTATTTATCATCAAGCTGACACTCAGCAGGATGGAGAGGAAACATGAAGCCAGCTCCTCCCCCCACCACTGTGCCCTTCCCCTCTCCTGCCTGTCACCCGGCTGCACTCCTCATCTGCTCCTGCCACTCTGCAAGGACATTATTTAAATGTCTCTCTCCTCCATTGTGAACTTCCTTAGGGCAGGGACTGGGTCTCTGCGCTATAACCCGACCTGGAGTAGAAATAAGTCGTGTTTCTGTGGAGGTGACGAGGGTAGGATGGAGCCCAGCAGCTCTGTACTTGAAGGACCGGTCCTGGGGAAAGCACTAGCCTGGCCTGCGTGGCTGCGGAAGGTGAAGGAGACCTGGACACATGTTAGAGAAAGACTTCCAATGTGCTACCAAAACGTGGTATCCAGGAATGCAACAGTCAGCCTGGGCGGGCAGTGACAGTCTAACAGGAACACTGCAAGAGTGTGGCATTTTTCTCATGACCAGCACTCTGCTTGGCTGGGTGTGGATGACCCCTCTCTAGAGGCATCTGAGAAGAGCCAGACCCAGATAGCCTCTGGGTTCTCTTCCAAGTCCCTAATCCTGCAGGACTGTAGTACAGTCCTAACACTTATGTTGTATCTTTTCTAATTTTCATTTCTATTCTTTGCTAACAACCTATTTCTTCATGAAAACCAAGTTAAGAACATCCACGCAGCTGAGAAATGAAGTAAGTCAGAAGTGACCTGACCTCTGCCTTGCAGTTCTGTCACCCCAAACACATTAAAATGTCTGAATCATAGCGAGGCACCCAATAAACACAATCACTGATGATGACGTCAACTCACGTTCAAAGTAACCCCCAAAACAAGCAATCAAGAAGAATGCCTGAGGCTCACCATCCTACAGTCTCCTCATCTGTAAAATGAAAATCACAGGGTTTTGTAGGAAGTAAGGTAACGAATGTAAAATGTTTATCAGTGCCAGGAACAGAGCAAGGACCAACCCACAGTAGCGCTGTTATCATCCAGCAGTTTATCAATAAACTCCAGCAATGAAAGCGCATACTCAGTCTAAATAAAAACGGAACAACAGGGTTCAGATGGTTTTGTTTTTTGAAGGAAAGAAAAATGGTTTGGAACTTTCTCTGCTCCATTATCACTCTTCCCCTCTCCACTCCATCTGTTCTAGAAAGCGTGAGAATGGCATTGGGTGGAGGGGGGTGCTAAAGGAGTAAGATCTGTGTAAGTCCTGCTAAACTGTAGTGTTAAACAAGACAGATAGAAGATACTGAGTCGTTACTACTCGGTGCCACATCCACGCCTATGGCATCTTCACCACCATCCCGCGAGGCAGGATGTATGACCTCCATTTTGCAGATGGGGAAAGGCATGTTTTGGGTCCAGACTTGTCCAATTGAGAGCCTAAGTCCTTAGCCATCATGAAAAACCACCTGAGAATACAGCTTGAGAAATGAAAGCTCATGAGAATGCATGCCTCCAGTCCCTAACCACCCGAGAGCAGGAACTTGCCTGCCAGGAAGATAGCTGCCCAGCTAGCAATGGATATGCAGTTTCAAGTAAATTTAGCAAGGACACACAATACAGGATTCTTTTTCTCCTCATGATTTATCACTGCATCTGCTCCTTTGAAATGGAGCCCTTTCCAAATGGCAGTGAGAGCAGTCTGGTTTCACAGTAATTCTTCTTACTGGCTGCCAAAAGGCTAAGCAACTAAAACAGTGCTAACACAGTATGTATCAGTTGGCATTCTGCGGCAGGCTCTTGCACCCCAGCCATCAGCAACGCCTATGAGGAGTCAATGACAAAACATTTTCCAATCACCTAATACTACTCCATCCATTGTAGGAGCTTGGGGAAGGACAGAAGGTGGACCTCAACCTGCCCACTGTCAACAGTACAGACCAAAAGACCCACACCTTCCTGACCCACTAATCTAAGAGCCCTGCCCTCAGGGGTGATGAAAGGCCTCTGGGTGGGGAGAAAGCCTCATTGAGGATGTGGGAAAACACAACCAAAGGAGAATCCCAAAAAAAAGCTGTTCTCCTCAAGGGCCGGAATCCAATCTATAACGTCGGTGCAGAAGTCAGTGCAGTTACTTTTGCCGTTACTTTTAATAGCAAAAACCGCACTGACTTTTGCACCAACCCAACACTCTGCTTAGCACCATGTACTCAGTTCCAGGCACACAGCAGGTGCTCAATAAGGTTCTGCTGATTAAAGGGCTACCCGGTCACCTACACTTGGGCAGACCCAGGAAGCTGGCTGGTTGGTAGGCCGTACAGGGCAACCTCCAGGCCACTGCACACAGGGACTCAGAGAATGCCAAGCCTCCAGCAGTCCGAAGGGAGAGAAATACCTCACGAGATGACCGGAGAACTTGTGGGAAACATGCAAGGTCCTACCAAGGCACTCGGGTCAGGTCGCTTCCTCCCTCTTGCAGGGGCAGAGCCTGCAGCTAAGGCTTTCCGACGCTGGCCCAAAACACAGCTGGCAGGAGACTAACCTGGAACAGAATATGGGGTTTCTCAGGTGTCTCGCCTGCCTGTCGTCACTGCCACAGAACCACAAAATACACTGCAGTCAAGGCTCAGCACCATCTGAAAGGTCATCTAGGCCCACCAGCCACCCCACACCTGCCTATCGATGACATGTCAACGGCACCAAGCTGAGCAGCTTGCAATCAATGTTCATTTCTCAAGGATTCGATTTCTGTGTAGAAGACCAAAATAGGCTGGGTGTGGCGACTGATGACTGTAAACCCAGCCCCTTGGGAGGCTGAAGCAGGAGGATTGCTTCAGAAGGAGTTCAAAACCAGACTGGGCAATATAGCAAGACCCTCATCTCTACAAAAAATTAAAAAATTAGCCAGGCATAGATGCACACCTGTCGTCCCAGCTACCCAGGAGGTCGAGGCTGCAGTGAACCATGGTTGCACCACTGCATTCCAGCCTGGGGATGGAGCGAGATCCAGTCTCAAAAAAAAAAAAAAAAAAAAAAAAACCCAAAAAGCAACAAAAAACAAAAACCAAAAAACGAAAACACAATTTCTCTTCTGCCATGGTTCTCAGTTTCTCCACCTTCTCGGCATTCTTCCGCAAGTTTCTATCGGTAATCAATGTCTATGCCCATATCATCTGCCTTCCCTCCAATGATAGCGAGCGACATCTGCCGCATGTCTCGCTGAAGCCAGCCTCTGCCTGTGCTTCTGATCCTGTCCCCGTTCTTACTCAAGCATGCTGCCTCCCACACTGGTCCCTTCCCTGCAGTGATCCTCCCTCACCCCACTGAACTGTCTTCAGCAAGGACACGTCTTTCAACACCCAGTCCTGACCCCACCCGCTCCAACTAACTTACTCTGCTCCCCTTGACAGCAAAACTCGCTGAAAGAATTGTCAATGCTTTGTTCACAACTTTCTCTTCTCCCACTATCTTTGAACCTCCAACAAGTAGACCTTGTCCTCAGCCCTCCACAGAAATGCCTCATCAAGGTCATGAATGACTTCCATGCTGTCCAATCCAATGATCAATTCTCAAACCTTGTTTTCCTCAACCTGTCTGCAGCACAAGTCACAGCTCACTACCGTCTGCCCCCCCACAACCCCACCGGCCTCCAGGACAAGGGGACACTACTCTCTGGGTCCTGCTGTGACCTCATAGCCCCTCTCTGCGTCCTTTGCTGGTCCCAGACCCATCCCAAGCCTCTGCACGTTGAAATGGCCCCGGAATCAACTCAGTCTCTGATCTCTTTTGAAACTACATCTCCTTCTACATCAGTGGCTTTTAAACTGTGATCTGCAGTTTAAAAAAAGAAGTTTCATACTGTGATCTAGGACACAGCTCTCTTTTCACATAAATTTAATTTTTAAAAAATGTTTCATAGGGCAAAATTCCCCTATCAGTTGGCATAAAAGGAAACATTTTACAACAGCCCTTACTACCGAGATATTGTTTTCAATTCTATTTCGTTTTTTGAAAATTGCTGGTGCCCACTGTATTGACTTCATGACCCACGGAGACACAAGCCACTGTGAAAGCTGTGCCCTGGAGGATCCTCCCTCCCGTAGATTTATCTACACAGTATCAATAACCAATGGTGCCTTAATATTTATTTCCTCTCTCCTGAACTTGTGCGACCAATCACTTGTGTGACTTTTCTACCTGGATGTTTGACAGGCATCTCTAGCTTAAAGCACTGGAGGCAACACTCTGATGCCGCTCGCCAGAGCCTGTTCCTTCCCTAGTGTTCTGCATCTTGGTAAACAACACCGCCAGCTACCCGGACACTCAACCCAAAACCTTGCCCCCGTCTGCATTTCTGTCACATCCCACGGTCCGTTCTTCAGAAAATTCTGTGTTCTACCTTCAAATACAGCCAAATCCAACCACTTCTCACCATGTCTTCTCTATCATCCTCATTGAGACACCACCAGCTCTCACTTGCTCATTGCATGAGCCTCCCCTACTTCTGCTCCTCCAAACCCACCCTCCAGAATATTCCACAAAGCAGCCAGAGCATCCATTTAAAACACCCATCAGACACGTTGACTGCCACATCCCAGCCCCAGGTCAGATCCTGCCACCCTCCCCAACACCCTTAGGCCCAGCCACATGGCCTCTCTCCTGCTCACCAAGGCCTCCCTGGGCGGGGCTGCCCTGGCCAGCCATGCAGAGTGCCCCTCGCTCTTCAGGTCTTGGCTCACCTTATCAGAGAGAGCTCTGCTGACCACACCCAGGGAAGAAGGCCCCGCCCCTGCCCCGTCACTCTCGACCCACATCCTGTGGACACTGTGTACAAAGCATGTCCCTTCCCTCTATCTCCCCTGGCAGAGGTAAGCCCAGCTATGAGAAGGGAGTAGAGCATGAGCACACAGTGACTCCAGAGCCTTCTCCTGCTGAGGTGCCCATCCACAGCATGCCGCCCACCCGGATACACCTGCTTTGTCCTCAAGGACAATCAGGAATTGGTAAACTGTCTTCACTAAATTTCCTCAGCTGATTCAGCCATGACTTCCCATCTCAGCCAGCATAAAAGCAAATATAAAATAATGGCCTACAAGGCCCTATAAACGTGTCGTAAACATTTTGGTCTCAGGACTCCTTTATACACTTCAAAGCTAAGGAGGACCAGAGTTCGAGGCTGCAGTGAGCTACGATCATGCCACTGCACTCTGGCCTGGCGGACAGAACGAGACTGT